>NC_000003.12:111281331-111584361 GCF_000001405.40 Homo sapiens
GAAGAAAAAATTCCACAGAAGTAGCTGAGGGAAAAGATAAAGTGATGAATACTGAAGTGGCTGAAGTTACTTTCCCACTGAAGCAGCCTCCAAAAGTAAAGAACCTGTCATGTTTGTGTAAAAAGAAGAGGAGAGGTAATTTTGTGTCAGAAATTTTATAAATGCCTGAAAGAAAGAAGGAGGCAAATGCAAGCCATGGCAAGGTGCATGTGCAATGGAAGTGCAGCTATGTGCATCCAAAGATGGAAGGACATGAATACTGACATGACATAGGAACCATTGTGAGTTTGCAAACAGGCAGGTGATATAATGAAAATTACCACTTAGAGAAGATTAATCCCACAGAACAATGCAAGGTGGTTTGAGTCATAAAGTAATTGGTTGCGAAGAAGACCAACTAAGAGACTATTAGAATAATTGATGTGTGAATGTTGACGAATTTTGCCTACGACAGCAGAGGTGGATGTGAGAGGAACAGGTTTCACAGATCTGAGAAACGTGGAAGAGGAAGATCAGCAAAATGTGATAAACAATTAAAAGACGGAGCAGAAATGAGAGAAGTCCAAGGTGAAAGAGAACACATAGATTATTACGTGGCTTCTAAAGTTTCTTTTAGTTCTGATTCAACCCCTAAAGGTATAATTTTAAAGCTCATTCAGGGGGGATCAGGGAGATTCCAAGATACAAGGGTCTCAAAGGTTCAGTTTGAGTTTTATGTTATGTCTTTTTCCTTCCAAATTGACAGAGTTGGGAATGGGGTTTTCTCAGGACATGCCTGTCTTTTTATCTGATCATTGACAGTGGTGTGAGCAGGCTCCCTCGACGTTTTCCATAGTAACGCAACCACGGAGTTTCCCCGAAAATGTCACAGCTGAGCCCGCTGATGTTCTTTGAACTGCCTTCCCACCATCACACTGATCAGTCAGTCAGAAGTGGCAGCACAGCCCCTGTTACTCACAGTAATGCAGATCAGATGAGGAAAACTCAATTTGTATGAACCAGGGTTGAAAATTGAAAATGTCCCACCTTAACTGCTTTTCATGCTTGACACACCTCAGGAGCTGTTCTTTCTGACAACATAATCAAGGTTAGTGGTAGGCTTAGTGTTTTGTTTTGCTTTCTTTATTATAAAGATGTTGTCACATTTTCCAAATGAATGATCCCCAAAGTAAACTTTTGGAATAGCAATGTCATTTTTCAGAGGCAGAATGGCCTTCCCACTTTATGTTGTAGTACCTTTCTGCACCCTAGGTGCCAGTTGCCTTTTCAGAGAGCATAATTAATGTATGTCCCCTAACTGGCACCTAGGGAGCAGAGGTACAAACTGTGGCTAACTGTATAGTTAAGAAGAAAATAGGTAAGAAATTAGAGAGGGAACGTTATACCAACGTGGCACCACACTTTACTCTTTGCCTTTGCTGGGACATTTTGGAAGAACCACCTTAAAGATACAATCATGTCTTAACTCACTTCTTCAAGGGAGTTTGGCATCCATCTTCAAATACAGAAGGAAGAAACATATTTCTTTCTAGAGCAAGAAAGCCTAGAGTTTTTGTTGTTGTTGCTGCTGTTTAATTTTTAATTTTCATAGGTTTTTGGGGAACAGCTGGTATTCGATTACATGAGGAAGTACATTAGTTGTGATTTGTGAGATTTTGGTGCACCCATCACCCCAGCAGTATACACTGATTTTTGATGGTAGAGCTCTAACAACTGAAAAAGATGATTAATACGACAAAAAGGAACAAACCTTGGGCTGAAAGCCAGTCTTTTGTTCTAGTCTGGATTCTGTCCCTAACTGTAACACTCACTGTTCATCAAGTTCTCATTGTGTCAGACATTTGACAAAGTGCTTTTCATGCATTATTTCGTTGATCCTTATCACTTTTCCAAGAGAAGGGTACTATTCTTATTACTCTTTTAACAAATGCAGAAACAGAGGCTCAGAGAGGTAAAGGAGCTTGCCCAAGATCCCACAACTTACAGGCGTTGGTGCTGGTGTCTAAGCCAGGGGGTGGGACTCTGGAGGTGGAGCTCTTAATCACTGCTTGCCCAGAGTACTGGGCCTTCAGAGAGTCAATCAACCGCTTTGAGCCACAGTGTACGAAATGAAGAAAATGGCCTTGATTCATAAGGTGGCTTCCAACTTCAAGATCCTGTCCAACATTTTCCTCTGAAGGTTGGAGTGTAAAGAGGTGATACAATCTAAAAGACTAAGGATATAAGGTCCCTGTCCTTGGGAAAGGCAGCCTTAGAAAGCAGGCAAATTTCTTTGGGAAGAGGAGGGAAATCCAGCAACAACAACTGAGTATTCAAGTCTTAGAAGAATCCTGGAAAGATTTATAAAATATTGGCTGTTGGTACATCTAGAAAACAGAAGGGTAAGTCTTAATTTGGGGGAAATGACTTTGGGGATTGAAACACATTATGTGGTTTCTTTCCCTCCTTAGTAACTGGATGCTAGCCAGGCACAGTGGCTCATGCCTGTAATCCTACCTACTAGAGAGGCTGTGGAGAAAGGATCACTGAGGCCAGGAGTTCAAGGCCAGCCAGGGCAACATAGTTAGACCCTGTTGCTTAAAAAAGAATAAAAATAAAGATAAAAATGGATGCTCAGAAAACAAAGCCCAAAACTGTGCAAAAATACAATAAATTCCATTTTGAGAGATTTCCAGCTAATCTGCCTTAGTTCTAGAATCTTCCACTTCCTGGAGTCCTTTCACCTCATTTTGAAGTGGGTTATTAAACATTCCCTTCTTCATACTGAACCTGAGTTGAAAACAAACCAAAAAACTATTAAGGGCTGTAGGTAGGAAAAACTTGGAATTAAATGAAAATCTAGCTGTACTCCCTAAAAATATGGGCAGAGGTAGAGACATATGCTTGATCTTCATAGCATTTAAAGTTGTTTCAGTCCTGATGATGTGCTGTGAACAGGTATCTCATTTAATTTTTCATTCTCCTCCCTTTCCCTTTTCTCTTCTACATTTCTTTTGATCACAGGCAATGTTATTATCCTTTAAGCACAAAAATAGGTAAGGTAATATTAATAGCCAATCAGATAACAGGTGTCCTCCACCTCTCTTTCATTTTTGATAGTAATATAAAGGCTGGCTTCTGCACTCTAAAACATATCCCATGCAAATGTTATTATTTGCATGATTTTTTAAAGAAACATTCTAGGCCATAAAGCTGTTCTAGTGAGTCTAGGGCTAATTATATACAGGGTAATTACAATTGAGCCAATACAAAAGATTGTTCAGAAGGAGATGACCTCTGTGCTCTTGGTAACTGCAGCTTAGGACCCAGCAAGCTGCTGCGATGCGTGAAAAACATCTTTCTTCATTAAGATCAAAGGAGCTAGTCACTTGTTCACAGTGCTGAGTTCTGCAGCTGAAAAAGTATTTACAGCAATTAACTTCTTAAGGCCCTCTGCTTGAATTGTTAACCTTCAAATAATCTATCTCTGGGGAAATCATTGATGATACAACCACTTGTCCCAAAATTCATCTCCTTGATCTCATTGAACTTGATGTGCAAACATATAAATGATAATTGAAACACTAATTAAATGCTGTGTCTGGGCACCAGAGTCAGGAATTCAGAGAGAAAGGCTGACTTACTGTCAACCGTATTAGGAGCCAAAAGCCCAAGGTGCTGCCGTTTTCAGCAGGAGCAATTTACATCATCTTTGGGTTGCCTTGATGTCTATTGATGTATGCAAAGAACTTCTGGTTGTGCCATCAAACACAACACAGGGGATACAGCTGGCAATCCCAACAGATCAGCAAAAAGATTTAGCTTTCATTCCAGAGATATTGTATCAATGAGTTAATCTGGTCATGAATGTTGATTCAGACTAGGGTTCAGAGGCTAAGGTGAAATCATATCAGCCATTGTTTAGATTTTTGTTTCTTTGTGTTCAGCATGTACATTTTATTAGTTTGAATTTCAGAACACTGGATGTGTGCACCTGTTTACTATCTTTTCATCAGTGGCTTAAAGCAGTGGTTCTCAGCCCTGACCACATATAAAAATGAGTTAGAAAATACAAATGCTAAGGCTGTCTTTCATGGCAATTCCATCAGAAGCTCCAGCATTTAAAAGTAGTTCTTTAGGTGATTTTAGTGCACAGTCAGGGTTAAGGGTCACGACACTAGATGTAAGCTTATTTAGGCCATGGACTATGTCTATTTCATTCACTCTTGTGTTTCTAAAGTGCAGCACAGGGACTGACACTGAATAGATATTCAATAAATGTTTTTGAGTGACCTGTGTTTTGTAAAGATCCAGGGTAGATCCTAATGAGTTGGGGTCTGTATGAGGGTTTATGGAGTGTGTGTGCCTAGATAATTTAGAGAAGCAGGCAGTGCATTCTCCTGCTTATTCTACTGTTGCTTCCTAATACCAGAAACCAACAATCCTGGGGCAAGCCCTGGGAACTGAATACCTTCCAAGCTGCAGTCTTTCTCCCAATCCCCAACAGATGTGCTCCCTGCCTATGATTCCTATGACTGGCTCCTCTCTTCGTTTGCTAATTGCACTCCAATTTCCCGCTGGCACTGGCACCCTGCCCTGAATCTAACCCTGTGTAGAGCATGTTGCCCCAGCTGCTGGAGTGCTTCCGACAGACAGTCCTTAGTTATCAAACTCCTTCAGGGATTGCCTCAGCTGAAGAGAACTGTCTCATTCAAGGTCACTTTCTCTTTAGGGTTAACCTATAGCCAACGACCAATGTGAGGGTATAAAGGCTCACCCTTTGCCCAACTCAAGGAAACTCTGATGGGCTGTGCCAGCTCCAGAGGCCCTGTGAAATAAGTTGACCTCTTGGTTAGGACTTTGTCACAGCTCAGCTTCTTCCTCTACCAGCATGTCTTCCTTCCCCTTCCTCCACTGGTGTTGATAATAAGATCACTTCCTAATTAACTCCTTCACTCGAATCTCCAAGTCAGTGTCTGCTTACTGAGCACATGCTGACACAGCACGGATTATTTGACCTCAACTCTCCATGCCCACTCAGACGAGCCTGTGCTCCTTGCACTCCTGTCTACCGTGTGTCAGACACCACGACAGTAATGATCCGGACAGACAAAATGCTTGCCCTCATTGAGTTTATATTCTAGTAAGAGAGACAAGCAATAAACATACAAATACATGTTGAGTGGTGATAAAAGCCCATTAGAAAAATAAACCAGGGTAAGAGATTAGAGAATGATAGGGGTAGAGTAGGGTGGTGGTGTGCTGGAGCTGTCTCAGGCTGGCTCATAAAGATCAATTATTAAATCCACAGGAATTTTGCAACCCAGTTGCTAAACAGAGCGAATATTGAAAAATTAAATTGTAAATATTTAAAAAGAAATAAATCACATTAGGAAAAAAAGTAACGCCTACTCAAAACAACACTTTCTCATTTTACTACATGTTGCTGTTATATATGCTATTGTGGTTATTTACATCTATTATATCTGAATAGTATTATAGAAATACTGTACATCTCTTTCCAAGTCTGCATTCAGTGACGTGGATGGGTCTATACTTGTTCAATTGCAACCATAAGTGGGCTGTGGATACAAAAGTATGGCAAAAATTAACCGAAGCATTCTGTGAGAATTTGCTGACTATGTAAAATTTACTAAAATAAATGATGCATGTTATTATTTGTAAATTGTGTGATATACATCTTTTATATCAGTAAAATTTATAATAGACCTAAGTATATATACACATGCATATATTTTTCCTCCAGATACCCAGTTGTGAACATTTACCAGCACAACACTGGGAAGGGGGTTCTGTTTTAGGTAGATTAAGGAAGAAAGGGGTAGTATTTGAGCTGTTGCCTGATTGAATCCAGGAAGCCTCTGTTTATTGCTCTTTGTGATAAAAAAGGATTTGCTGTCCCCAATCCTTTGTGTTCTCATTTCTTATTCTCAGATGGTGGTCTCTGGACAATTTTGTTAGTGCATCACCATATGGATGATTTATCTCTCTCAAACTCTATTGATTTTGTTTAGAATTTTAAGAACTTCTATAAGGTCACAGTTCAAGGTCTTACCTTTCCCAGTGAGAATAAACTCAGTTTGCTTGATTCATTATTATTTATATTCTGATAACACTTTTTGTTTGTAATTGCCTAGCTATAAATGTATTTAGTCATTCTTAATTGTTTATATGATAATTATAGGGCTTTTTACATAAAGAATCAATCTCTTAATTATCTATTTTCTCTCTTCTGGGAATTTATATACTCAAATACTGAAATAATTGTTTTGTTAGCCACAGCTAAAATATCCTAGACATGTCAAAGTGCAGGTATTATAAAAGAAAAGGCATAGAAGTTGGTTGTCCTGAGCCACTCATTGACTTTATGACCATGAACAAATCCTAAAGCCTCCGTTTCTTAACCTGTACAATGGGAATTTAACTTGGCAAACCTATTGATAGTTAAGACAAAGCAAGTTCCCTACTCTCAAGGAGTTAACAATCTAGCCTTAAAACTATCCCTAATAAAACTATTCTTAATTCATTATGATTAACACTAATAATAGCTGTAATGTAAATATAGAATTTTGTAGAAATCAAATGAAGTAACATAAGTCAGCATATTTTGTGAACATGGAAACTGCCATAAATATGTCAGATACAGTTGCTCATTTAGCCGCATATGGAGTGCTGGTTAATTTCTGGTACTTGATAAATGACTACTGAAGGAATTAATAACCAGTAAGCCAACTGGTTATTTGGTTAAAGACCACCATGTCTTTAGGTAACGTATAGCTCTGTTTCTGTGTGCTTATGATTAAGCTTTTCCTTTTTCAATCCCATGTTCTGTCTTTTTTTTTTTGGCACTGAATACATATTTTATTTTAATTTCAGTAGGTTTTGGGGGAACAGGTGGTGTTTGGGTACATGAATAAGTTCTTTAGTGATCATTTCTAGATTTTGGTGCACCCATCACCTGAGTAGTGTACACCATACCCAGTGTATAGTATTTTATGCCTCACCCACCTTCCACCCTTTCCCGAGTCCCCAAGTTCCATTGTATCATTGTCATGCCTTTGCATCCTCAAAACTCAGCTCCCACTTATGAGTGAGAACATATGATGTTTGGTTTTCTATTCCTGAGTTACGTTATTCTACTTTACCTAGAATAATGCTCTCCAATTCCATCCAGGTTGCTATGAATGCCATTATTTCATTCCTTTTTATGTCTGAGTAGTATTCCATGGTGTGTGTGTGTGTGTGTGTGTGTGTGTGTATGTGTATGTATATGTATATATGTGTGTGTGTGTGTATATATATATATATATACACACACTTTTTTCATCTACTCATTGGTTGATGGGCATTTGGGTTGGTTCTAAATTTTTGCAATTGCAAATTGTGCTGCTATAAACATCTGTGTGCAAGTATCTTTTTCATATAATGTCTTATTTTCCTCTGGGTGGATACCTGGAAGCGGGATTGCTGGATCAAATGGTAGACCTAATTTTAGCTCTTTAAGGAATCTCCACACTGTTTTTCATTGTATTAGTTTACATTCCCACCAGCAGTGTAAAAGTGTTCCCTTTTCACCACATCTATGCCAACATCTATTGTTTTTTAATTTTTTTTTATTATGGCCATTCTTGCAGGAGTAAGGTGGTATGGCATTGTGGTTTTGATTTGCATTTCCCTGACCATTAGTGATGTTGAGCATTTTTTCATGTTTGTTGCCCATTTGTGTATTTTCTTTTCAGAATTGTCTATTCATGTCCTTAGCCCACTTTTTGATGGGGTTATTTGTTTTTTTCTTGCTGATTTGTTTGTATTCCTTGTAGATTCTGGATATTGGCCCTCGTCAGATGTATAGATTGAGAAGATTTTCTCTCACTCTGTGGGTTGTCTGTTTACTCTGCTGTTTCTTTTGCTGTGCAGAAGTTTCCTAGTTTAGTTAAGTCCCATCTATTTATCTCTGTTTTTGTTGCATTTGCTTTTAGGTCTTAGTCGTGAAGTTTTTGGCTAAGCCAATGTCTAGAAGGGTTTTTCTGATGTTATCTTCTAGAATTTTTATGGTTTCAGGTCTTAGATTTAAATCCTTGATC
Organism: Homo sapiens; assembly: GCF_000001405.40. Classification (NCBI taxonomy): domain Eukaryota; kingdom Metazoa; phylum Chordata; class Mammalia; order Primates; family Hominidae; genus Homo; species Homo sapiens. The sequence goes on from NC_000003.12 coordinate 111,289,416, forward strand.
CATCTTGAGTTGATTTTTGTATAAGGTGAGCTATGGGGATCCAGTTTTATTCTTCCACATGTGACTTGCCAGTTATCCCAGCACCATTTGTTGAATAGGGTGTCCTTTCCCCACTTTATGTTTTTGTTTGCTTTGTTGAAGATCAGTTGGCCACAACATTTGGGTTTATTTCTGGGTTTTCTATTCTGTTCCATTGGTCTATGTGCCTATTTTTATACCAGTACCATGTTGTTTTGGTGACTATGGCCTTATAATATAGTTTGAAGTTGGGTAGTGTGATGCATCCAGATTTGGTCTTTTTGCTTAGTCTTGCTTTGGCTATGCAAGCTCTTTTTTGGTTCTGTATTCCATATGAATTTTAGGATTCTGCAGTTGTTGGGTAGAATGTTCTGTAAATATCTGTTAGGTCTATTTGTTCTAGGGTATAGTTTAAATCCATTGTTTCTTTGTTGACTTTCTGTCTTGATGACCCACCTAGTGTTGTCAGTGGAGTATTGAAGTCCCACACTATTACTGTGTTGCTGTCTATCTCATTTCTTAATTCTAGTAGTAATTGTTTTATAAGTTTTGGAGCTCCAGTGTTAGGTGCATATATATTTAGGACTGTGATATTTTCCTGTTGGACTAGTCCTTTTATTATTATATAATGTCCCTCTGTCTTTTTAAACTGCTGTTGCTTTAAAGTTTGTTCTGTCTGATATAAGAATGGCTACTCCTGTTTGCTTTTGGTGTCAATTTGCATGGAATATCTTTTTCCACACCTTTACCATAAGTTTATGTGAATTCATGTGCGTCAGCTGAGTCCCTTGTAGCCAGCAAATACTTGGTTGGTGAATTCTTATCCATTCTGCCATGGTGTATCTTTTAAGGGGAGCATTTAGGCCATTTACATTAAACATTAGTATTGTGATGTGAGGTAGTATTCTATTCATTGTGCTATTTGTTGCCTGAATACCTTGTTTTTTTCATTCTGTTGTTGTTTTACATATCATGTGATATTTATGCTTTAAGGAGATTCTATTTTGGTGCATTTCCAGGATTTGTTTCAAGATTTAGAGTTCATTTTAGCAGTTCTTATAGTTCTGGCTTGGTAGTGGCAAATTCTCTCAGCATTTGTTTGTCTGAAAAAGGCTGTATCTTTTCTTCATTTATGAAGCTCAGTTTTACTGGATACAAACTTCTTGGGTGATAATAGTTTTGTTTAAGGAGACTAAAGATAGGAACCCAATCCCTTCTAGCTTGCAGGGTTCCTGAGAAATCTACTTTGAATATGATAGGTTTTCCTTTATAGATTACCTGATGCTTTGGCCTCACAGCTCTTAAGATTCTTTCCTTCATCTTGACTTTGGATAAACTAATGACTATGTACCTAGGTGATAATCTTTTTGCAATGAATTCCTCAGGTGTTCTTTGAGCTTCTTGTATTTGGATATCTAGATCTCTAGTAAGGCCAGGGTAGTTTTACTTGATTATTTCCTTACATATGTTTTCAAAACTTAGAGATTTCTCTTCTTCCTTGGGAACACAAACTATTCTTAGATTGGTCATTTAACATAATCCCAAACTTCTTGGAGGCTTTGTTCAATTTTTTTTTTTTTGAAATGGAGTCTCACTCTGTCACCCAGGCTGGAGTGCAGTGGTGTGATATCAGCTCACTGCAACCTCTGCCTCCCGGGTTCAAGTGATTCTCCTGCCTCAGCCTCCTGAGTAGCTGGGATTACAAGTGCCCGCCACCACGCCTAGCTAATTTTTGTATTTTTAGTAGAGATGAGGTTTCACCATGTTGGCCAGGCTGGTTGCAAACTCCTGACCTCAGGTGATCCACCCGCCTTGGCCTCCCAAAGTGCTTGAATTAGAGGCATGAGCCACTGCACCCTGCCTGTTCATTTTTTAAATTCTTTTTTCTTTGTCTTTGTTGGATTGGGTTAATTTAAAAGCTTTGTCTTTGAGCTCTGAAGCTTTCTTCTACTTTTTCAATTCTATTGTTTAGACTTTCCAGCATATTTTGCATTTCTCTAAGTACGTCCTTCATTCCAGAAAACGTGATTGTTTTTTATTTATGTTATCTATTTATCCGAAGATTTTTCCATCCATATCCTGTAACATTTAAAAAATGCATTTGAGTTGGTATTCACCTTTTTCCAGTGCCTCTTTGAGTATCTTAATAATAGACCTTCTGATCTCTTTTTCTGGCAGTTCAGAGGTTTATTCTTGGTTTGGATCCATTGCTGGTGAGGTAGTGTGATCTACATGTGTTAAAGAACTTCGTTTTGTCATATTACCAGAATTGTTTTTCTGGTTCCTTCTCATTTGAGTAGGCTATATCAGATGGAAAGTCTGGGGCTCAAAGGCTGATGTTCAGATTTTTTAGTCCCACAGGGTTCTTCCTATATGTGGGTACTGAGGGATGTGGCTTCCTGAGAGATGAACTGCAATGATTGTTATTTCTCTTCTGGATCTAGCCAGTCAGTGGAGCTCCTGGGCTCTGGGGTGGTGCTGGGGAGTATCTGCAAAGAGTCCTGTGACATGATCCATCTTAGGTCTCTCAGCCCTGGATACCAGCACCTGCTCCAGTGGAGATAGCAGAGGAGTCAAGTGGACTCTGCGAGGGTCCTTGGTTGTGTTTTTGTTTATCACACTAGTTTTGCATTGGTTGGCCTCCAGCCAGGAGGTGGTGCTTTCAAGAGATTATCAGCTGCAGTAGTATAGGGAGGATACAAGCTTGCCCTAGGGTCTCCTTTTATAAGTTTCTCAGGTAGTGGGTGGAGCCATAGGGCTCCCAAGAGATTATGTCCTTTGTCTTCAGCAACCAGGGCAGATAGAGAAAGACCATCATGTGGAGGCAGAGTTAGGTATGTCTGAGTTCAGACTCTCCTTGGGCAGAGCTTGCTGCAGCTGCTGTGTGGGATGGAGGTGTGGTTTTTAGTCCAATGGAGTTATGCTACCAGGGGGATTATGGCTGCCTCTTCTGCCTCATGGAGGTAACCAGGGAAGTAGGGGAAAGCCGGCAGTTACAGACCTCAGTCAGCTCCAGTGCAACCCGAAAGGCCAGTCTCACTTTCACCATGCCCCCCAACAGCACCAAATTGATTTCCAGGCAACAGGTGAACAGGGTTGAGTACTTGTCCCAGGCTCCAGGCATGCCTGCTGGGAAAGTAAGCAGGGCTTTCAGGTTTTGTGACTCCCCATCTGCTGCAACTTCTGTGCTGTGTCTACACCCCTGGTTCACCCTCTCCCCTAGATTCCGTCCAGGAAACTTCGCATAAAGTTGAAATTGTTACAGAGTTCAGCTGGAGTTTTCCCTCTCCCTGTGGTCTTTCCCCAGCTCCACCGGCAGCCCTCCCTAAGGACTCCTGCGAGACAAAGACAGAAATGGCTTCCCTGAGGACTGAGAGTGGTTACAGGGCTCTTCCTGCTGCTTCCTCTACTCCTGTATTTCACTTGGCTCTCTAAATTTGTTTCAGCTCCAGGTAAGGTCAAGTTCTTCTTCCATGATCTGGACCCTCAGGTTCTCCAGTGAGGATGTATGTTCAGGGGCAGATGATCCCCCTTTCACACCTTCACGCTTTGCGCACTCACATTTTTTTGGCTGCCTCCTGGAGCCAGCAGCAGAAATCTGCTTCCTTCAAAGGGTCTGTGGATTCTCTCAGCTTCCCTGGTATGTTCCTTGGTTGTTCTCGGAGCAAAAGTTCACGATGTGAGTCTCCATACGCTGCTCTGTCTGTCTGAGTGGGAGCTGCAAGTTAGTCCTGGCTGCTATCCACCCTTTTTCCTCCCCCTGTGATTAAGCTTCTTAATATATATATGGCTACATTGTTCTAAAATGAATATATGGTTAAAAATTTAGTCTAATTTTGGTATAAGTTATTCAAGTTAACAAAATACTACTTTAATAGAAGCAAATCATACCATTTTATTGTGCTGTGACTTTTCTAGGTTTTTAATCTTAGGATCTTTGTTTGCTGCATGTTGGTGTTTTTCAAAGCCTTTAGAGTGATGATAATTACCCAACCACTTTATGTTATAGATGAAGTATGGTGCAGGGAAGTGATCATGGTTTGAAGCCAATATAAGCAATTCTTTTACTGGTTATGAGGAAATGCACATATATAATAATTTTTTTAAAAGAAACAAATGATTTTCTCATTTTATAGATTATATATGTTCATTAGAAAAAATTTAGAAAACACCAAAAAGTAGAAATGTAATGACCTGCTGTTTCACTATCCAAATACTATCACTTTCAGCATTTCAGCCTTTATTCCCCCAATATTATTTATGTCTATTTGTATGTAATTGTGATAGCCTTTCATGTACAATTTTCTATATTGCTTTTTAAAAAATTTTGTGGGTACATATTAGTTGTATATATTTATGATGTACATGAGATATTTCAATGTAACCATACAATGCATAATAACCATGTCAGAGTAAATGGGGTATCCATCACACAAACGTTTATCTTTTCTTTGTGTTACAAACAATCCAATTATACTCTTTTAATTGTTTTGAGGTATACAGTAAATTATTATTATCATCTGCAGTAACCCTATTGTGTTAAGAAACACTAGATCTTATTCATTCTATCTAACTATATTTTTGTGTCCATTCACCATCCCCACATCACCCTCCCACCACAACCCTTCTCAGCCTTGGGTAACCATCATGCTATTTTCTATTTCCATGAGTTCAATTGTTTTAATTTTTAGCTCCCACAAATAAGTGAAAAAATGAGAAGTTTGTTTTTGTGTGCCTAGCTTATTTACTTGACAGAATGTCCTTCAGGTCCATCTGTGTTGTTGCAAATAACAGGATTTCATTCTTTTCTATTGCTGAATTGTTCTCCATTGTGCATACGTATCACATTTTCTTTATCCATTCATCTGCTGATGGACACTTAGGTTGCTTCCAAATCTTGGCTATTGTGCCTTGTGCTGCAACAAACATCAAAAGGCAGATATCTCTTCAATATGCTGATTTGCTTTCACTTGGTATACCCTAGTGATGTATTTGCCTAGTAGTAAGGTAGTTGGATCATATGGTAGTTTCGTTTTTGGTTCTTTGAGGAACCTCCAAACTGTACTCCATAGTAGTTGTACTAATTTACATTCCCACCAACACTGTAAGAAGGTTTCCTTTTCTGCACATCCTCACTTGCATTAGTTATTGCGTGTCTTTTGGATAAAAGCCAGTTTAACTGGGGTGAGATGATATCTCTGTAGTTTTGATTTGCATTTATCTGATGATCAGTGATGTTGAGCACCTTTTCATATACCTGTTTGCCATTTGTATGTCCTCTTTTGAGAAATGTCTATTCAGATCTTTTGCCCATTTTTTATCAAATTATGAGATTTTATTGAGTTGTATGAGCTCTTTATATATTCTGATTATTCATTCTTTGTAGTTTGAAGTCTTATACTGAAGTCTTTAATCCATTTTACTTGATTTTTGTATATGGTGAGAGATAGGGGTCTAGTTTTATTTCTCTACATACAGATATCCAGTTTTCCCAGCATCATTTATTGAAGTGACTGTCCTTTCCCAAATGTACGTTCTTGGCTCCTTTAGTGAAAATGAATTTACTGTAAATGTATGAATTTATTTCTGGGTTATCTATTCTATTCCATTGGTTAATGTGTCTGTTTTCATGCCAGTACAATGCTGTTTTAGTTGCTATAGCTTTTTAGTATAATTTGAAATCAGGTAATGTGATTCCTCCAGTATTATTCTTCTTGCTCAAAGGATAACTTTGGCTATTCTGAGTCTTTTGTACTTCCATATAAGTTTTAGGATTTTTTATGTTTCTGTGAAAAATGCCATTGGTATTTTGCATTGAATCTCCAATTGCTTTGGGCAGTATGGACAATTTAGCAATATTAATTCTTTCAATCCATGAACATGGAATATCTTTCCATTTTTTGTGTATGTCCTCTTCAATTTCTTGCATCAATGTTTTATAGTTTCATTGTAGAGTTCTTTCACTTTTTTGGTTAAGTTTATTCCTAGGTATCTTATTATTATTATTAATTATTATTATTTTGTAGCTATTGTAAATGAGATTATTTTCTTGATATCATTTTCAGATTGTTAGCTGTTGGCATACAGAAATGCTACTGATTTTTGTATGTTGGTTTGATATTTTGCAACTTTACTGAATTTGTCTAATAGTGTTTTTGTGGAGTCTTTGGGTTTTTCAAAATATAAGATGATATCATCTGCAAACAAGGATAATTTGACTTCTTCCTTTCCAATTTGGATGCCCTTTATTTCTTTCTCATTTATGATTGCTCTAGCTAGGACTTCAGGCATTGTTGAATAACAATGGAGTAAGTGGGCATCCTTGTCGTGTTCCAGATCCTAGAGAAAATGCTTTCAGTTTCCCTCATTTAATATGATGCTAGCTGTAGGTCTATCATATGTGGCTTTTATTATGTTGAGTAATGTTCCTTCTATACCCAGTTTTCTGAGGGTTTGTATCAGGAAGGGATATTGAATTTTATCAAATGCTTTTACAGCATCAGTGGAAATGATCATATGATTTTTATCCTTAGTTCTATTGATTTGATGTATTACAATGATTGATCTGCATCCCAGGGATAAAAACCACTGATCATGATGAGTGATCTTTTAAATGTGTTGCTGAATTTAATTTGCTACTATTTTGTTGAGGACTTTTGCATCAGTGTTCGTCAGGAATATTGGCCTATAGCTTTTCTTCTTTGATGTGTCTTATCTGGTTTTGGCGTCACAGTAATACTGGCCTCATAGAATGGGTTTGGAAGTAATCCCTCCTCCTCTATTTTTTGGAATAGTTTGAGTAGGATTGGTATTCGTTCTTCCTTAGATGTTTGGTCAAATTCAGCAGTGAAGCCATAGCTTTCCTTTGCTGGGAAATTTTTTATTATAACTTCAAATTCACTACTTATTGGTGTGTTAAGGTTTTGGATTTCTTCATGGCTTAATCTTGGTAGGTTGTATGTGTCTAGAAATTTATCCATTTCTTCTAAGTTTTCCAATTTATTGTCATCTAGTTGCTCATAGTAGTCTCTAATGATCATTTCAATTTCTGCAATATTGGTTGTAATGTCCCCTTATTCATTGCTGGTTTTATTTATTTTTATCTTCTCTCCTTTTTCTTATTTAGTCTGGCTAAAGGTTTGCAGATTTTGCTAATCTTATAAAAAAATTTTTTTCATCCTGTTGATCTTTTGTCTTTTTTAGTTTCAATTTCATTTCTTTTTGCTCTATCTTTATTACTTTCTTCTACTAATTTCGAGTTCAGTTTTTTCTAATACTTTAGGTATTAGAACAATTGTTAGGTTTTTTTTTGAAGTATTTCTACTTTTTTGATGTAGGTACTCATTGCTATAAACTCTCCTCTTAGTATTGCTTTTACTGTATCCCATAGATTTTGGTATTTTGTGTTTCCATTGTTGTTTGTTTCAAGACATTTTAAAATTTTCCTTTTTAAGTTCTTTATTGGCCCAATGGTCATTTAGGACCATATTGTTTAATTTTCATGTGTTTCTAAAGTTTCCAAAATTCCTCTTGTTATTGACTTCTAGTTTTGTTCCATTATGATCAAAGAAGATACTTGACATAATTTCAATTTTTCTGAATTTTTAAAGACTTGTTTTTTGGCCAAACATATGGCTTATCTTTGACAATAATCCATGTGCTGAGGAGAAAGCTGTGTATTCTGTAGCCATTGGATGGAATACTCTGTAACATCTATTAGGTCCATTTGATGTACAGTGCAGACTAAAATCTGATGTTTCTCTGTTGATTTTCTGTCTGGAAGATATGTCCAATGATGAAAGTGAGGTATTGAAGTCACCAGGTATTATTGTATTGGGGTCTATCTCTCTCTTTAGCTCCAATAATGTGTGTGATATACATCAGAGTGCTCCAGTGTGCATATATATTTACAGTTATTATAACTTCTTGTGGTATTGGCCTCTTCATCATTATATAATAAACTTATTTGTCTCTTTTTATAGTTTTCATCTTGAAATCTATCTTGTCTGATGTAAGTATAGCTGCTCCTGCTATTTTTTGGTTTCCATTCATATGGGATATCTTTTTCTATCTCTTTATTTTCAGTCTATGTGTGTTTTTACAGGTGAAATGTGTTTCTTGTAGTCAATAGATCATTGGGTCTTATTTTTTAATCCATTCAGACACTCTGTTTCTTTTGATTGGAGAATTTAGTCTATTAACATTCAATGTTATTGCTGATAAATAGGGACTTACTCCGGCCATTTTGTTATTTGTTTTCTGGCAGTTTTGCGGTCTTCTCTTTCTTCTTTCCTTCCTCTCTGTCTTCTTTTCAGTAAAGGTGATTTTCTCTGATAGCACGTTTTCATTTCTTGCTTTTGACTTTCTGTGTGTCTATTGTATGATTTTGGTTTGAGGTGACCATAAGAATGCAAATAATATCTTATACCCCATTAATTTAAATGCATGACAAATTAGTAGTGATTGCATAAAGAAACAATCTAACAAACAAGCAAAGAGGAAACTAATCAAAACTGTATAGTTTAACTTTATTCCATCATTTTTAACTTTTTCTTGTTTCTCTTTACATTTTATTATATTATGTCGTGAAAAGTTGTAGTTATTTTTGATAGGCTCATCTTTTTGTCTTTCCAGTCAAGATATGAATAGTTGACATACCACAATTACAGTGTTACAATATTATATGTTTTTCTGTATACTCACTATTACCAGCGAGTTTTGCACTTTCGGATGACTTCTTATTGCTCATGAATATCTTTTTTTTTTTTTCAGATTGAAGAACTCCTTTTAACATTCCTTATAGGACAGATCTGGTGTTGATGAAATTTCTCTGCTTTCATTTGTCTGGGAAAGTCTTTATTTATCCTCCATATTTGAAGGATATTTACACTGGATATATTATTCTAGGATGAAAGATTTTTTTCTTCAGCACTTTAAATACATTATGCCACTCTCTTCTGGCCTATAAGGTTTCTACTGAGAAGTCTGCTGCCAGACAAAATGGAGAACCTCTTTGTATGTTATTTGTTTCTTTTCTCTTGCTGCTTTTAGGACTATTTCTTTGTCCTTGACCTTTGGCCGTCCAATTTGGGTTAACTCCGCTTGGTGTCTATAATCTTTTAGTACTTTAATATTGCTATCTTTCTCTGGGTTTGGGAAGTTCTCTGTTGTTATACTTTGGATAAACTTTCTAGCCTGATCTCTCTTTCTCTACCTCCTCTTTAAGGTCAGTAACTCTTAAATTTGTCCTTCTGAGGCTAATTTCTAGATCTTGTAGGTGTGCTTCATTCTTTTTTATTTTTTTTCTTTTGTCTCCTGTGACTGTGTATTTTCAAGGAGCCTTTCTTCAAGCTCACTAGCACTTTCTTCTGCTTTATTAATTTCACTGTTAAGAGACTCTGATGTATTCTTGCATATGACCATTGCATTTTTTTAGCTCTAGAATTTCTGCTGGATTCTTCTTATTTATTTCAATCTGTTTGTTAAATTTATTTGATAGGATTTTGAATTCCTTGTCTGTGTTATCTTGAATTTCACAGAGCTTCCTCAAAGGAACTATTTTGAATTCTGTCTCTGAAAGTTCACATTTCTCTGTCTTTCCAGGATTGGTCCCTGGTGCCTTATTTAGTTTGTTTTGTGAGATCATGTTTTCCTGGATGGCCTTGATGCTGTGGATGTTCATCAGTGTCTAGGCATTGAAGAGTTAGGTATTTACTGTAGTCTTTGCAGTCTGGGCTTAGTTGTACCGGTCCTTCTTGGGAAGGCTTTCCAAGTATTTGAAAGAATGTGGGTGTTGTGATCTAAGTCTTTGTCACTGCAGCTGTACATCCATTAGGAGGCAGGCTAAGCCCAGTAACACTGTTTCTCTTGTAGACTCAGAGAAGTACCACCTAGGTGGTCTTGGATATGATCCAGGAGAATTTTCTGGATTACCAGGCAAAGACTCTTTTTCTCTTCCCTTAATTTCCCCCAAACAAATGGAATCTCTTTCTCTCTGTTCTGAGCTGTCTGGAGCTGAGGGAGGGATGATGCAAGCACATCTGTGGTCACCACAGGATTTGCACTGGTTCAGACCTGAAGCTAGCATAGCACTGGGCATCACTCAAGTCTCATGTTGTCTACCACGTGGTTGCTGCCTATGGTTACTTAAGGCCCACAGAATCTATAATCAGTAGGTGCTGAATCCAGCCAGGCTTTCGTCCTTCCCTTCAGAGTGGTGAGTCGCTCCTAGCCCCAGCTGGGTCCAGAGATGCCATTCAGAAAGCAGGGCTTAGAAACTCAGTAACCTTTGTAATCTACTTGGTTCTCTATTCTACTGAGGCTGAACTGGTACCCAAGCTGCAAGACAAAAAGTCCTTCCCATGCTTTCCTCCTTTTCTCTCAAGCAGAGGAGTCCCTCTATGTGGCTACCACTGACCCAGGCCCACAGTGGGTACTGCCTGGTTATCACCCATGTTCACTCAAGACCCAAGGTTTCTTCATTCAGTTTGTGATGAGTGCTGCCAGGCCTGGCTCTCTTCTGGCCCAGGGTGGGTCCAGAATTGCCATCTGGGAGCCAAGGCCTGAAACTGGGGACCCCAGGAGCCTGCTTGGTGCTCTAGCCCACTGTGGCCAAGCTGGTATCCAAGCTGCAAGACAAAGTCTTCTTTATTCTTCCCTCTCTTTTCCTCAAGCAGAAGGATTATCTCCCCAGGAATTGCAGTCCTTGTGGCTTAGACTGCCATTAACGTTTATTTAGGACCCCAGAATACTTTAGCCCACTGTGGTGAGGCTTGAGGGGCTCAGGTTCCAGCCTCTAGGGTGGATGATTTTTCTCTGGCTAGGGCTGTACTAAATGCTCCCTCTGTGGGCACTGGTACATTTCAACCCTATATTGCTTTCTGCTCTGGCAGGGCATCACCGAGTTTCAGTGCAAAGTCCCACAATCACTGTGCTCTCCTTCCCCTAAGTGCACAAATTCTATCTAAGCATCACATGGCTGCTACCAAGGGATGGGGGAAGGGTGGTGAAGGTGATTCAAGTCTGTATTTCCTACCCTCTTTAGTGCTTCTCTCTTTAATATGATGTTAAAGCCAGGTGCTGTGATCACTCACTTAATTTTTGGTTTGTATAAAGGTGATTTTTGTATGAATAGTTGTTCAGTTTGATGTTTCTCTGGTGGAGCCAGTTGCTTCAGGCTTCTATTTGGTCATTTTGCTCCACCTCTTCCTCCTCATATCTTGCTTTTTAAAATTTAACATTATAAATCAATATTTTCTAAGCAATTAAACATCTTTTCAAACATTTGTGTAAATGGCAGCATGTATTTCATTGTGGAAATGTGTCATACTTATGGCTGGTCTTTGAATCACAATACCAAAACTTACTTGAATAAATGGAAGTTGACTCTGATTTAATCACCTGCAGCAATTGCATTCTTATTCCAATGACACTGTCATTCCTTAGATTATTTTTGAAATAATGTTTTTGTAAATGTCTTCAAAATAACTCAGAAAATTGGTGTCATTTTCTGTGTACAACTTTTTAAACCAAAATAAAATTTTGCTTACCTTGTCCTTTCCAATTAGCTGAGTGACTTTTGCCTATTTCTAATAACCAAATCAATCTTTAAGCAAAATCTATGAAATCTTTTGATGGCATTCAAAAGAATGTTTCATAGGCTTTTTATAGCAATTTCCAAAAAAGATGTTTGAAAATATTTTATGAGATGGCTGTGTATTAGGATGTACTATATATATTTTTACTGAATGAGTACTTAGGGGTGAAAAAAAAATTTGTATAAGCTAGTTTCATTGTGTTTGCTAAACATGTTATTTTATGTTATAGTTATCCCCTCATCTTGAAATATCCTCAAGAACTGGTCATGCCCTATGAGTTTCCTAGTATCTCTAGCTGCTTTGTCCCTCTAGTGTGCCCTTGAGTTTCAAGGTATCAGACTTGAACACTGTTGTTACAATACCACCCAAAAAGATATCTCTGCCCTGATGTTAGTAGGATGCTTCTTTAAGATCTTGAGGCAGAAGAGAATCTGGTCTTGGTCAGGAAAAGGAAAACCAAAACCAAAAAAAAAAAAAAAAAACTGTCTAAGGCCTTTCTTGTAAAACTTGTGCCATTTGATGTGTCATTTATTTATTAAAAGTCATATGCTGGGCATCCAATTTCTGCTGTCATAGGATGTGGGGAAGTACTGTGAGGTGATCTTTAGTAAGTTAAGTAAGAGTTTTCATGGAATGACAAAAAGAGCAGAGGGTTGTAGTCAGGAGACCTAAATGCTAATAAACATTACTTTCATTTCTGACATAGACAATTCTTTTTTTTTTTTTTTTTTTTGCTTCCATTTCTTTTTTTGTAAATGGTGAGAATGGGTATAATTTTTATTAGATGATCTTCAGATCACCATTAAGATGTATGGATCCTTGGCTCTAAAAATATAATTAGGGACACAGTGGAATATCAGGGTCATTTTAGTTATGATGATATTTGATCTACTGCGCAGCAAAGAATCGGCAGTGCTTTAAAAGGCAGATGATTAAAAAAATGAGTTCTAGTTGTATGAATGTGATAGACTTTCAAGAAACTACCATATTCTTGACTCGGGCCTTTGAAGTGTCAGATGGAATTTTAAGTATTTTTGAAATGTTCTTCTTCCTATGAATAGAGAGTTTGAAAATGTAGGGATTGCCTCTACCTAGTTCTCTCTCTCAACTAAGGCAATGTGCAAAATTTTAGTCTGGGTTGGTGAGGGTGGTGATAGGACAGACTTGTAATCTCTCCATGGGGCTCTCCAAAAGGTTTGTTACATGTTAAATACTTAGGGTGGGGTTAGAATGCACTGGGAGGAGAGAGTGGAGGAGGGAAATTGTAGTAGTTGCACAGAATAAACAAGAGGGCAAAAGTCTCAGAAGGTGTTTAAGAAGCACTTAACAACAATAAAGGAATTTTGACAACTTTGTTCTAATCTCCAGTTGCCTGGAGATACAAGGATGTGGAGATACAAGCATGTATTGGTCAGGATTCTCTAAAGGGACGGAACTAATAGGATATATGTATATATGAAGGGGAGTATATTAGGAAAATTGATTCACACAATCACAAGGTGAGGCACCACAATAGGCCACCTGCAAACCGAGGAGCAAGGAAGCCAGTCCAAATCCCCGAATCTCAAAAGTAAGGAAGCCAGCAGTATAGCCTATAGTCTGTGGCTGAAGAAATCACTGGTGTAAGTCCAAGAGTCCAAAAGCTGAAGAACTTGGAATCTGATGTTTGAGGGCAAGAAGCCTCCAGCATGGGAGAAAGATGAAGACTGGAAGACTCAGCAAGTCTCCTCATTCCGCTTTCTTCTGCCTGCTTTATTCTAGCCACATTGAGCAGCTGATTAGATGGTGCCCACACAGACTGAGAGTGGGTCTGTTTCTCCCAGTCCACTGGCTCAAATGTTAATCTCCTTTGGCAACATCCTCACAGACACACCCGGGAACAATACTTTGCATCCTCAATCCAACCAAGTTGACACTGAGTGTTAACCATCACAAAACAAAATGGCCATCACGTGGTTTAAGAATATTTTGAGATAGGACATAAAAAGCAGGAAACAGGGTTCTAGAATGTGGGGCCAACAAGAATAATGATAGAAAACAATCTTACATCTAACTTCTGAGTACTGGGCAGAATTTCCTCAGCTAGCAGAGACTCTCCGTTCACTAGATTTGAAAAGAAAGAGGACTGATTGGCCTCTGTATCGGGGGTTTCTCATGCATTATCCAAATACCAGAGGGTCAAGTTGGCTGCCCACTTCTCCCCCAGAGCAGTGACAGACTATCATCATGTAATTCCATGAGCAATGGGGTAGGCCTCACTGCTCAGCAGCCTGGAGTGGTCCCAGGCAGGGGTATGGCAGCCAGCAGAGTTTGGGATAAGTACTGAAATCACATTTTTTCAACTTGACTTTTGGGAAGTTGGTTATGTAAGGGGGTCAATGAGGGAACATGGAAGGAGTAGAAGCTGCAAGCTACTTTCACCATCTTCTATTAAACATTTCAAATAGGGCAGATTTCCCTTCCTGTCTGTCTATGCCTTAGAGATTCAGTTGCTGTGTGTGCAGGATGAAAGCCGCAGGGTTTTTGCATTAATAAGCCCTTTTAAAAATGTCAGCCAAGAAGTGCTAAAGACCTTTTCAACAGCCACTTTTCAATCTTGTTATTTTAATACTTGCCTCTACCCTAGGCTTCATAAAAATGTAAAAGGTAATGAAGTGTTTCACATGCTGTTTTCTGTCTTTTTATTCTAATTTAAATCTATCATTTAGTGCATGCTTTAAAAATGATGTTTACTTGAGTTGGAGTCCTATTCCATGCAGCCCAGATCAGCTTTCTGGGCTTGTGTTTTAGAAATATCACGTATTTTATTGTACACAATCAGCACAGTGGGATGACAAATATATTTTAAAATCTTTAGACTACAATTTTAATGTGGCAATCTGTGGTTTTCTGTAATGTACACTATTTGAGTCAACTTGGGTCTGCTGTCATCTAGTAAATCAGACACAGAATGGCATTTTCAGCCTCCTGAGTCAGTCTTTTGCTTCAGACTTGAAGCTATGACTTCCTTCTCCCTTGGCTTTATGTTTTTAGGTATAAAATGATGGGAAGAGGTCAGACATGGTGGCTCATGCCTGTAATCCCAGTGCTTTGGGAGGCTGAGGCAGGAGGATTGCTTGAAGCTAGGAATTCAAGACCAGCCTGGACAACATAGTGAGACCCCACTCTATAAAAAAGTTTAAAAATTAGCTGGGCATGGTGGTGCATGCCCATAGTCCCAGCTACACAGGAGGCTGAGGAGGGAAGATCGCTTGAGCCCAGCAGTTCGAAGTTACAGGGAGCTATGATCACATGACTGTACTCCAGCCTGTGACAAAGTGAAACCCTACCTCTCTGAAAAAAGAAGAAGAAGAGGAAGAGGAGGAAGAGGAGGAAGAAGAAGGAGAAAGAGAAGAAGAGAAGGAGGAGGAGGAGAATGAGAAGGAGGAGGAGGAAGTGTAGGAGGAGAAAGGAAGACATTTCTATGTTATGTTTGGGGCAGGTACAGAAGTATTTTATTAATGTTAAAAAGATCTCTAAATGATAATACTAATTTATTGAGCATATTCTACATTTCTAATAGCTACATGTGGAAAGGAGATAAAATTCTTGCCCTTGAGCATTTCTCAATCTGAGACAGATAGATGGGTACATAAACTGATAAAAGCAATACAACGTGATACAGGCAAGTATGAGACTAAGAAATCTGAACTGCAAATTGCAGTAAGAAGAGGCAATGGATTCTACCTAGCCACTTTGGGAGAAGAGAGAGGAGATAGTAGTTGTGAGTTTGAAAGATGAATAAAGGGCGAGGCTAGGACACTCCAGACAAAAGGAAAGAGCATCTGCATGGAAACCGTTAGGAAAAGCACAGTGCATCTAGGTAATAGGAGAAATTGAGTATGGATACAGAATCAGTGCAGGGTAGGGGCAATGGGAGAGCCAGGGAGGTAAAACTGGAAATGAGGAAATACACAGGGATGGACTTGAGCTGCTGTAAATTACCCTTTGGTCATTTAGACTTACCCTTTAGTCGTCTGAAGCCAGCACAGAACTTAAATCAGGGAAGAAATGCAAGAATATTTACGTTTTAAGGGGACCCATTCTGGTGTCAGTGTGGATGAATGATAAGGGAGGGCATCAAAGTGATTATAGCAATTTAGGTGAAAAATGGTGAAGGCACGAATTAAAGTAATGTTAGTGAAGATGGAGAGGAGGGGCTGAATCCTGGAAATATTTCTAAAATAGAATTAATAGTATTTGGTGACTTTCATAGGTAGATGATAAGAATAAGAGCTGACTTTAGAAAAAAAATTGTGAAAATGGGTAAAATTTGTGTTCAATACTCTGGAATTCACTTTCTGGGCTTTGCCCTCTCTCCACAGCATATTAAATCAAAGTCTGTTCTAGACCTTTAACTCAGGCTTATGTGAATTTTAATCATTACAGATTATAGCCTACACTATTACTCCTGAATGGTAGGATTTATTTTTTACTTTTACTATTGATTACATATCTAATTTTATTATTTATTCTATGTTTATATTATTTATATTTTATATTTGCATAAACTATTACATAAATATATCTTTTTTGTTTATTGATTTTATATTTTACTATAAATGAAAAAATGCATCCACAATGATGTTCAAAAGAGTGATTTCTATGTGGTGAAATTATTTTTAAAAAGTCTAAGTATCCTAATAATAAATAATTTGTTAAATCAACAGTTATATGTCCAAAGATGGTATCTAAAACAGCCATTAAAAATATTTGGTAACACATTTGTCAACTTAGAAAGTTGTTCAAAAATATATTAAAAAAACAGTTTGCAAATGGTATGATAGCATAACCCCATTTTATAAAAGTATATATTTTTAAATGTATTCCTAGGCAAAAGAAAAAGACAATGAATATTCCTCCATGTGCGGACAGTGGTTGTGTTTGTATGGGAAGTGAGATTATAAGTGAGTTTTATTTTTTGTTGTTGTATGATCTTGTGAGTTCCAAATTTTCAGTAACGAATATATTAGGGTGTGAAATTGGAAGTTTGTGTGGAAGAGCTAAGGTATAAGGGGTATGATATTTCACAGTCAGGCTCTGGGACTAAGTTGCAAAATGTCAAAGGTAACTTCAGTAACACAAGTTTCACAACTTCTGAACCCCTCCTTCACATTGAGCGTGTAAAGTTTCAGGTTGTTGAAGGTAGGTAGAGTAGGACTGTGGATAGAATTTCTTTCAAAAGTGTTATTATATGAGTCTTGGCTCTACCAAGGAGGAGAGGAGGGAAAGATGTGTCTCTTTCTCCTTTATCTTGAAAGGGGGGCAGCGTTCAAGAGGATGACTAGAAGATTTTGATACATATTCCCTGAAGTTGAAGGACATGTGGACTTGTGTTTGACTGTCATGTGAAAAATCAAGAGACAGACAAACAGTATAGATGCTGATGGATGAGCTGAAGTGAAAGTAGCTGCTTTAGGATCAGCCTACACTCCAACAGCATGTGAAGGTAAGGGGTGGATATTTATTTCCTGTGGTCCGCAGTGGGCCACACTCAAAAGAGAGCCTGTGTGGGCTTCTATAAGGCCCTGTTCAATAGTTAACTGAAAAGACAGGTGACCATATTTCTAAATTCCTAGGGACTGCACAAGGAGTAAGTGATATAATTTGTAATGATAAATGTAAACTAAATATAA
This sequence comes from Homo sapiens, assembly GCF_000001405.40. Taxonomy (NCBI): domain Eukaryota; kingdom Metazoa; phylum Chordata; class Mammalia; order Primates; family Hominidae; genus Homo; species Homo sapiens. The sequence goes on from NC_000003.12 coordinate 111,306,706, forward strand.
TATCCTAAGCCTGCTCCCCTCCCTAACTGAATGAACCCCCTTGTGGCCAAGGGGGTCCCAGGAAAATCTTAAAACTGAGTTCCCCGCCTTGACAAAACGGGAAGTCAGACACACCTTATTATACTCCTCTCCCTTTTATGGCTTAGACACAACAACTAACCAGCATTAATGTAGAATGGAGATCATAAGACTGACAGAACAGACTCTTTGTGGCCGTAAGATACCAGATTATAAATAAGATCAAAGGTCATGCCAGGAAAGGGTTAAGTCATTTACCTTTACACTTACAGAATAAACTACGCTCTAACTGCCACAAGGTTTTCCTTTTTCACTAGCAGCTAAACAAGTACTGGCGTTGGATAAACAATATTAAGACAATTACAACTCATCCAGTTCACAGGCCCTGACTAACTGACTCCCTCTTTCCACCAGCCGTAATGACAGTTTTGATTGGACAAGAGACTGATTTCAGTAACTTTCTCCCGATAAGAAGACCATGGACCATGGATTGGTTCTAGCTGGATTGTAGAAGCTGCAAACTTGCATGCCTTCATGTCCTGAAAAGACTTTTTGACACCTAGAGCCTAATTATAATACATTTAAATGCTCAGTCTCCATTCCAAAATAAACGTGAGTCCTATGTTATATGCATGTTCACTCAATATGCACATGTCAAGGACCACCTTCATGAATATCCATAGCTCCTCCTGTAACATGTTTAATATGTATGTTTTGCTAACCCTTTCAGCATAAAGCTTCCATCCCAGCCCCTCCTCCTTCAAAGAGCCTGTCTCTGGTCTTTGCCTGAGGCTGCTCTTCTTAGCCTGTGGGATAGCTACCTCCCTTTATAAAAAATAAAGTTTCCTTTTCTAAATTTATAAATAGTGTTTTTGTAAGTTAACATTAATACCCATTTTATGGGAACTATACGTTAGAAATCCCCAAGAGTAGTGACGGAGGAGCTGCTGTATAATTGTGTTAGCTAAGTTTTTATTTAGTGTCTTCTCTCAAATACACATTATTTTGGTAACTCTTAAGTCAAGAGTTTTCTTTTAAAGGTTGTCCTGCTGATTATCACTCTAATATCTTACTGTCAACTTACCAGTGGCAAGAATAAACTATGGCCTATGTCTTGAGTGGCTTTCCCAAAAACCACACAGTATTTAACAAAGTACCTTCCTGTGCTAACAATAATTGAGAAACACTGACACCGATTCCATTTATAAACAAGGTGACTTCACCTCTGTCCAGTTAAGGTTTTTCTCCCACTTTCCTTTAAAAAACATAGGATATGTTTCTTCCAAAAGAGTAACATGTACCTCTCCAGGAGTTGACAGAACACACTACTGGTCTTTGATTCACTTTTAGGAGGCATTGGTAAACACTATAAATTAAGTACTCATCTACAAAATGCACAAACAAATTCAACAATCACCATGTGTTACAATCACTTTTAAAAAACTTGAGTAAGAACTTACGTAAGGCAGAGGCTGAAGAATACTTTAAATTATTTGAAAATATTAACAGAAACACTTATAAATTGAAAAGCATTCTAGGGGCAGGATGGATGTAAAGCATGAGAGAGAAAGAGAGAGAGAGCAGAGGGAAGTTTTCTATCATCCATTCTAAAGTTTGAACTATCAAGTTAATCGAATCTGTTACATCCACTAAGCTTTGCCTTTGCTTCTACTGAGTTTTATACTAAGAAAAAATGTTTAGCTGGAAGAAGATTTTGGATTAGCAAAGGATAAGAAAACCAAAATAGAAAATAAAATAGGCTGGGCATGGTGGCTCACACCTGTAATCCTAGCACTTTGGGAAGCCAAGGCGGGAGGATCACAAGGTCAAGAGATCGAGACCATCCTGGCTAACACGGTGAAACCCTGTCTCTACTAGAAATACAAAAAAAAAAAAAAAAATTAGCCAGGCGTGGTGGCGGGCACCTGTAGTCCCAGCTACTAGGGAGGCTGAGGCAGGAGAAAGGCGTGAAACCAGGAGGCAGAGCTTGCAGCCTGGGCGACAGAGCAAGATTCCATCTCAAAAAAGCAAAACAAAACAAAACAAAAACAAAAACAAAAACAACCCAAAAGGTTAGGAGTTAATAAGCCTTCTCTTGATGTTGACAATGTTACCACAATAAGACACCACTACTGATAGAATAAAAACAGCAAGACAGGGGGGGATGCATTTCTCCTAAACAGGCTGACACATGGAAACCTATCAATTACATGTGTAGGATCCATGACATTGATCAGGTAGAGTCTGTCTCTCTGAATGCTCAAACTTTCACTTTGAGGATGAATCCTTTTCTGCTGTGGGTACACCACACTCCAGGTGGTACACTCCACTGTGAGATTTGCCAAAGGGTGACCAGTTATAATAACTTTAAAGTTTCAATGCTTAATTTTGAGTAAATGGTTTACACTTTGATTCCTGAATCACTGTTCTCAGTTCACTCAAAAGGAGGCACGCAAATCATTACCGCTACTCCTGAGTATGTGTTTTTTAAGTGGGACAGGGTGGGCACTTCAGCAAGTGTCATAGAGGAGAAAACAAATACCTCAGTTAATTGCTTCTGTTTGACTTTCTCTTCAATCCACACATCAGACAAGACCAGACAAACAACTACGCTTGCTTTTTATATATAGTCCTGCCAATGAGGAGCTGTGTAGATAATGTGTTAAATGGAGAAAATAGAAAAAGAATAAGATAAAAACCTAGTGGATCAGAGGAATCCATGTAGAAGACACAGGACTGGATTCCATGGTGTAAGACCTTTGTGCATTTACAGCTCCTGGGAGGAATGCTCTCTCTCCTTCCTAGGCCAAATGACTGTGGGAAGCACTGTAGGACAGACAGTGGGAAGGTGGACTCTGGAGCCAGATTCCTGTATTTCACTTCCTTTACTGATGATGTGATGGTGTGCCTTTGGGCAATCCCAATCACCCTTTACCCTACATCCAACATCAGTAGAATTTGGATAATAGTTGTGCCAACATTATAAGGTTGTTATGAGATTAAATATTATATATATGTGTGTGTACATACACACCCACACACATAAAGCACTTAGCACACTTAGCACATAGTAAGAGCTCAATAACCATTACTTCTTATTATAGAAAAAAGAAAGGAGACCAACTCTTATTGAATACCTACTATACGCCAGGAATTGCACTAAGGACTTTCACATCTCCTCATTTCCTCCCACAAAAACTCTATAAGGTAACTAGTTAGAATACTTAAATGGCCTACCCAAAAAACAAGCAGCTAATCTGTGGAAGAGCCTAGGTTTAAAATCAGACCTTTATTTCATGATAGGATACTTCATGTCCTGTGATTCAGGGTTTGATACACAGGAAGAAAATGAATAATACATAATTATTTTAGAAGTCAATCTCTCTGGGAGCTAATGAGCTGCCAGGGTTCTTCTTCTATTTGAGATGATCTAAGTATAGGTGGTTGGAACTCTGCCCACCTATATTAGTAAGGGAAGGCTTGCTGCTGGAAGAAATAACTCCCAGATTTCAGTGGCTTTGCACAATATTTTATTGTGCTCACATTGAGTCCAATCAGTGTTAGAGGAAGGGTAGGGATGGAGCTTCTGCATTTAGGCACTGAGGCTTCCTCCTCCTTGCCAGTCCTGGAGTCCTCTATTGATTTCCCAGGCTGCAGCTGGAAAATGAGGGAAAAGAGTGAGTATGGCACATTTGGACTACTTATGGGCTAGGCTTGGAGGTGGACATAATTCTGCCCATATGTCTAATTGCCGGAACTTGGCTACCTACAAAGGAGAATGAAACAATAGTTTAAATGAATGCACTGGAAGAAAATAGCTTGTATGACTAGATAATTCATGCCACAGTTTATTCTCCTGGTCACTAAATATGAATTTTACTCTTTCTCCCATGTATAAGATCCATCCTTCTTCTCCTGAAGGCAGATGACTCTAAGTCTCAGCCAGTTCCTACATCCCACTCAAAGTCCAGCATTTATGGGAAATGTATGTCCTTACCAGGCTTAGATGTGGAGACTCTGCTGACTTATGAAGTGAAATAATAAGTTATCAGTTTCCCACTCTTCACTCCTCCACTCCACCCTCCTCCCCCAACAATGCTCAAGCAATATGGGAAAGGGCAGAATAAGAGACACAGAGCTACCACAGGTCTGCTGTATATTTCTGAAATCCTCCTGGCCAGGTATTTTAAAGGGCCCTCTCTGAGTGGAGAAGTTACTTGATCAGCCCTAGAATCTGTGTTCAGGAAGAAACTCCCCTCTCTCTCATTCTCTGTGACTCCTGCTCTACCCACTGGGAAGTTTATCCTTCTCTGTTTTCCTCCATGGCCATATCTGAAGGGGGCACAGGGAGTGCAATCTTCTTGGGAGCTCTACAGCTTTCACAGCCTGCTTCCTGCTCATACAAGTTTGGGGACCCAAGAATTGTTTTAAGCCATAAACAAACAGAGATGCCTTGTTAGAGCAAAAATATTATTAATTCAGCAATATAACTTCCTGAAAGACTGAATAGGCTTCTGATCTATTTGCCTTATCTAATCAGTACCATGCAAGAGCAAACATGCTCAAGTTCTTTCCTAGACATAATTCTCAAGCCTGATTTCATTTTCTTTTTCATCTCTATGCAACCCTCTCTCAACTTCCTGGCAGCTAACTTGAGGCTCACTGAAACAATAGGTTTGAATGCCAAGGTGATCCCCTTATTCTGCTCTTTGCTGCAACACCACTCTGGTGTGTTTAAGCAAGAGTTTTGGTGGGTCTTTGCAGTTTGGGACCTTTTCCAGTCTTATCTCTTAGAATTTGGAGTCCAGAAGCAGCTGGATTTCCAAACTTGTAAGACTTTTTATTTTTAGACTTTATTCCTTTTAATCTATTCATGAAAAACACTTATTTCTTGTCTGAGCTCCTGTACTGAAGGCATTTAATTGTAAGCCACAACACGCTTTCACTCTACTTCTTTCCAACCACTTTTCTTACAGCTTTAGGCTCAGAGGCATGTGCTCCTTTCCTTCAGTTATTGCAGACGACACTTACATGAAATACTGGGCCAGAGAATAGCAAGACTCTCTAACTGTAGCTCGCTCTTTTTATTTCATCACTGTCTGCTATCTGACCACTGAAACAATAGCACACATCTTGGGCTTTCACTAAGTCAGCATTCCACTTCCTGTCTTGATTCCTGTATTAGAGACAGTTAACTACTGGAACTGATAACCCCAAAATATCTGTGGTTACACACTAGAAGTTTGTTTCTTCTTCATGTAAAGTACAATTGGCAGCAGGGGTATAGTAGGGCTCCTGTGTACACAGGCACTCAGAAACCCAGTTTCCTCTTTTCTTGTGACTCTATCATTGCCTAGGCCTCTGGTTCAGTGATGGGTTGATTTTCTGTATCAGGTCTCAGACTGCCTAGACATGAATCACATCATCCACATTCTATTGGCCAGAAAGCATCAACAGCCACATTTAATTGCAACACAAGATGGAAAACATAGTCTAACTGTTTGCCTGGGAATAAAAAAATAAGTTCGCTAAAGAGCAAGGCTGTCTCCACCACACTATCTCTGCCCCAGGCACTGAGATGCCATCAGCTGTGGCATTTGACAGTACATGAAATGGAGTTTAGCATGGTGCAAGGAGTGCCCCTCTCTTGATGGACAACACAAGCAGTGCCCTTGAGATAACAGATTAATTCCCCTCCCCCTCCAGATTTTATATTAAATAAAATCCATAAATATTGGAAGGTCAATAAACGCAAGATATACTGTCATTTTTTCAGCATTCCACAATGGTTTCAGTCTTATTCTGCAGAAATAGATACGATTGGTCTGGCTTTATAGAGAGGAGCTGACTCTGAAAATAGCTCCTTCCAAAGTTCCTCCTAGAAAACACCCTCCGCATGTACAAGTTCCTCCTTGTTTTCTCCATACCAGAATGTTTTACATTAAAGTCATTATTATTTCCTTGCTCTCATAGATGCTTATATAATGATAGATGTAAGATCCTAAATAAAGTAAAATCAGAAATATTATAGTCCATTATCCCTAGAAGATGATTTCAAGCAGACTACATAAAATTCAAGTTATGTACTTTGACTAAATCTGCATACTGGCATCCAGTTCTGCAGATAAGGCTTGATTTTAAAAACACTCAAGATGACCTTAATCTTGACCACTGTTCTGTTTTGGGGATCACTATTCAAAAAGACTGTTGGCCTTGTCTGTCCGAATTTTAAGTTAGTACCTTTGGGTTGATTCTATAACAAAATTGAGGACTTCTTGCTATCGGAGCAAAGGGACACAAGGGTTTTTTGCTTGCTGTTTCTTGGAGTCAGGCAGAAGGCCCTTCTCCCTCCTTTTATCTGGTTGAATTACTAAATGGCTCTTTTTTCTGCCCTGATCTATTACTTTAGCCTGTGAGTTATCTGATAGTTAAATAATTAAAGCTAACTTTACCATTTCCGAGAGAGAGGGAGGGGGGGAGAGAGAGAGAGAGAGAGAGAGAGAGAAAGCCTCCTTGTGGAGCTGGGTTGTTTTGAAAAAATAAAACAGACTTTCAAGGTTTGGGGTTCTCTTCATGTGAGAGTACAAAGGAAAGACATAGAAACTGCTAACACACTGGAGCCAAGCTATAAACTTGGGGAGCTTTGCTGGTGCACAGAGAAAGAAAGAGAGAAATGGCTGCGTTTAGAAGAAACTTCTCCTTCCTCACCCAGTGCATATAAGGGGCCCACGCTGAGCTGATAGGATGTTAATGTTTAGGCACCAGTGAACCAGGAAAGATGGGGCAGGGGTACACATGGCCCTTATCCCCAGTCGGTTCCAGGAGAGGAAGAGGTTGGTCTCTGACCCTACAGAATGAGACTGTCAGAGATGCCCTCCTATCTTTTGTCTCTCGGGCATGGAAATGGTGTATAAGCGGCAGTAGTTTTGGACATTTCTTGTGGGGTCAGGGAACATTCCCTCTTCCTTGCTGTTTTCCACTGCTCTTCTTTGTAAGAGTAGGAAGGACATTAGATGCTAAGTCAAGAGAGCTGAATTCTTATTCTGACTCTCTGTTTAGTTAGCTCCATGACCTCAGGCAGCTCATTCAACATCTCTATGAATTTTCTCTTCTATAAAATGAAGAGAAGGAATCAAGGAATTTATGGGATCCTTGAAACTCTAATATTGTTATAAAGGCTGCTGGTGACCTCCGCTGCCTCCAAGAAATCCTGACTGTCTGGAACAATAGACTATCCTGTGAGGAACCATTTCTTAGTGAAATACTTTAGTACATATTTAAAGATGATAATTTAAAGGAAGGAGTCCTGGGTTTGTCAGTGGGCTTTTTGTAGAGGCAAAGGACAGGTGTCTTGAATTGTTTAACCAGGAAGTGAAAAGGTTATGTAATCTACATCAGAGGGCAATTGGAAAATTTCCTGATGATATGTAGAATAATATGCCTCTTTTCCAGTATTCCAGAGAACATGGGGAGGGCAGTCAGGAGCAATTCCTGTGATGTGAGGTGGCAAGATTGCTTTCAGAGCACCAGCTACAGCTATTTGATCCATCACCCTCCCACCTCTTGAAAAGTGTTAAAACTCCAGGCTATCTTTTCTTCCACTAAGTAAGTAATGTTTCAAAGAGAACTGAGGAATGTCTATTAGCTCTCAAGTATCTGAGGCTGACTCAGAGGTGAAATGTACCCAGAACCCAGAGGCAGACATGAGAATGGTACAGAATGAGTTCTGAACAGAAACCTGATGTAGCACCAAGGTATATATTTACAAGCATGGAGCACATTCACAGCTGCCTGGATCTTGGCCAAAAGGCCAAGTTACTGTGGAGCATTTTGACATTGAAAAACTATGTTTTCAGTGTCATTTTTAAGCTGTTAAACAGAGACTAAGTTGATAAAGTTACTCAATTGAATATTTGCAGATGGCTATGAATGGAGTGAGTCTGGGTTTCAGCCAGGCATTTGGCAAGGTCTTCTGTGTTACCTGCAAAACCAGATGCAGTGCTGTGGGCCAGCAAGGATGTAGGTAGGTAATTTAGTAACTGGTTGAATGAGACCAAAATGATTAATTAATGCATCTGTGTTAATCTAGTTTCTTTGCCACAGAGTTTTTATCTTTGACACTGTCCAGTTTATAATTTTTATTAATGACTTGGATGACAACATCAAATGGCAAACTGAAAATATAAGTCAAATCCAGTGAGATAAAATTTCACAGAGGTAAATACAAAGTCCTACACTTGGGATCAGGATATTAGCTGCCTAAGAACGTCGTAAAGGAGGCATCATTTAACAGCAGGATGTTAAACACTTTAACATCCTGTTAGAGTGAGTTGTAAGCTCAGTTCGAATCAGCAGTATGATATGACTGCCAAAAAGGCTAATGAGGTTCAGGATAACACTAACAGAACCTCTACTCTGCTCTGGACAGAGCACACTTGAGGAGGAGTAGGCTGTTTCCCCAGATTGAATGACAGAAGCTGGCAAACTGGGAATGAATGTGGACATGCAGAAGGAATCGAAGGGATTTATGTCATATAAGGAAACGATTTAGGGGTGGATAATTCTCTCACTAAATCTGAAGCGTTTATTTTGGAAGAGCAGTTTCAGACTTATTCTGGCTCCAGAGTACAGGACTAAAGCTAATAAGGAAAAAATACAGTGTAACAGTTTGCAGCCCAGCACATGGGAGAATTGTCTAATAATCTACCTAAAAACTAAATACACTAGCCTAGGAGGTAGTGAATTTCCTAAATCTACATGTCCAAGCAGAAACAAGCAATTACAATGCAAACAAAATTTGATGAATGCTTCATGAGCAAATCATAGAAGGAAATTTAAGCATCATATAGATGATAATGTCTAATCTTAGCATACAGTGCTCAGTGGCTAAGGTATAAGAGCTGCAGAGAAGCTTATAGATAGTATACTCTTGGACAAAATTGGCCTTGACTTTGTTTCAGCTTGTTGGATAATGCTTGAATGGTATTATATTGGTTAATGAGTAGAGGCTGATGAACCCTCTAGAAGGTTTTAGGAGAGTTTTAAGAAACTATTGCTAGAACATAGGAAGAGCTCTGGAATGGGAATTAGGAAGCAGGAGTGTGATTTTTGGTGTCAGAATTAATCTTCGGGAGTTACCAGGCAGGTTGCTATGACTCAAGTGTCCTTAACTATAGAACAAGATTCAACTTTTATTTATTCTTAGAGACTTTGAATTGCATGTTGGACTTCTAATAGCCCCAGGGCAGAGATATAGTAACTTATAAAAACACTCTGTGGGCCTGTGGTGTGTATTACTAAAGAGGAGTTCCTTCTGAGCTCAGATTTCTTTGTTGAACAGATCTCTGTATGAATACAAATAATCATTAGGGAGACAGCTGGCTGTTGCTGTGTATCACCGATAAAACACTCTTTTCACATTCCTGTCTTTTCTTCCTGGGAATTTTGCCAGAAGGGCTGAGAGCAAGTGTTTGGGTAAGCAAGTGGGGTTTTCTCTCTGCTTCTGTAAGGTCCCGTGGGATGTATTGATTCTCCTACATCTGTAGCATCAGGGACGAACACGCATCTAACAGACCAGGATAAATAGACTATGCAGGGCCAGTTCTCCTGAGCTGATTTTGTTGACAGGGAGGCCAATGATATTAAAGTGGCAAGGCCATTTGCACTGTCAAGAGTTGAAGGTTTCTGGGACTTCTGCCTATTGCAGTTGTTGGGAGGAGCAGATACTAGAGAGGAAGATCTGGGACACCAGTTTGTCCTTTTCTGTTCTTATGCTGTACCTACCCAGGACACTTAGCTATTTTCATAATTTCAGCTATCACATATAAGCAAATGACCTTCATCTCTATATCCTTGCCCTTTGTTTTAGATCTGTATGACCAAATTTCTGTTTGACATCTTTATCTGAATATCACACGGGAACTTCAAACTCAACATATTCAAAGATGAACTTATGATTCCTCTAAAATTACTCCTGCTTTTGCATTTTATTTACAAGTGAATGGCTGCACAGTCCACCCAGTCATTCCAGAAAGAATCTTTTATTCATTCACTCACTGATCTGAAATATATTTATTTGACTGCATACTCTGTATCAGGCAATGTTTGCTTCTTGTCTGTATAGTTAAAAGACAAAATCCCCATCCTCTAGACAGTGCATTTTAGTGGGAAGATATTGACTTTGAGTGTGGCAAGAATAACAATAAAAATCAAATAAAATGGGCACACTAATAAAAGAATTTCAAGCAATAATAAGATCTAAAAAGAACAAGGAATAGAATAGAAGGTGGGAGTTTCAGGAGGACAGTCAGAAGCTACTCTACCAGGGTGGTCAGGGAAAGAAGTTAAGGAGCTGACATTTAAGTAAATAATTAAAATCTGCTGCTGTAGGAAGATTTGAAGAAACAATAAATGCAAAGTTTCTACATCTATGTGTGCAAATTATGTATGTGTGTATGTATGTATACATATTACACATATAATTCTATATATTACAGATACACATGTCTGTATATATATAGATATATACATAAATATGTATTATATACATTATATATATTTTTACACATATATACATATATGTGTGTGTACATATGTGTGTGTATGTTTCTATATATGTATATATGTAAATTTCTTGTCCAAAACTAGAGTTCAAAAGTACAATATAAAGGATTAAATAATATAAAAACCTTATACAGGGTTAAGTAAATGAATACCCATATAAATGGGAAAAGATGAAGGTAAACCAACAGTGATTTATATTCAAAAATAAGAATAGCAAAAATTTCAAACCATGCCCAACTCAAGACCACGTTAGTGACATGTTCACTAATGCAAGAGTCCTTTCTGAAAAGTGTTGGAAGTTTGACCACTGGCACATGCACCTGAAGAGAAAGAGTTTGTAGTTTTATCAAGCACTTTGCAGCTACCAGTTTTCTCAACTAATCACTGAATTGAGAAACGTTGATAAAGTCAAGGGACCTGCTAATTTTAAGTTTAAGATGTTTATAGATGCAAAAATTCTCAACAAAATCTAGCAAACCAAATCCAGCAGCACATCAAAAAGCTAATCTACCGTGATCAAGTAGGCTTTATCCTTGGGATGCAAGGTTGGTTCAACATATGCAAATCAATAAATGTGATTCATCACATAAAAAGAGCTAAAAACAACCATATGATCATGTCAATAGATGCAGGAAAGGCTTTTGATAAAATTCAGCATGTCTTTATATTAAAAACTCTCAACACACTCATTGAAGGAACATACTTCAAAATAATAAGAGCCATCTGTGAAAAACCCACAGCCCACATCATACTAAATGGGCAAAAGCTGGAAGCATAACCTTTGAAAACCAGAACAAGACAAGGATACCCTCTCTCACCTCTCTCAACACTCCTATTCAACATAGTACTGGAATTCCTGGCCAGAGCAATCAGGCAACATGGAGAAATAAAGGGCATCCAAATAGGAAGAGAGGAAGTCAAACTATCCATGTGTGCAGATGACATGATTCTATACCAGAAAGCCCCATAGTCTCTGCCCCAAAGCTCCTTGATCTGATAAACTTAACAAAGTGTCAGGAAAAAAATCAATGTACAAAAATCAGTAGCACTCCTATACATCAACAACATCCAAGCTGAATGCAAATCAAGAATGCAATCCCATTCACAATAGCCCAAAAGGAGTAAAGTACCTACGAATACAGCTAATCAGGAAGGTGAAAGATCTCTAAAACAAGAGTTGCAAAACACTGTTCAAATAAATCAGAGATGACACAAATGGAAAAAGATTCCATGCTCACAGATAGGAAGAATCAATATTGTTAAAATGGCCATGCTGCCCTAGGCAATTTATAGCTTCAATGCTATTCCCATCAAACTACCAATGATATTCTTCACAGAATTAGAAAACACTATTTTAAGATTCATATGGAACCGAAAAAGAGCCCCAATAGCCAAAGCAATCTTAAGTAAAAAGAACAAAGCTGGAGACATCACATTATCCTACTTCAAACTATACTATGAGGCTGCAGTCACCAAAAGAGCATGATACTGGTACAAAAACAGACACATAAACCAATGTAACAGAAGAGAGAGCCCAGAAATAATTCTGCACACTGATGAGAATCTGATTTTTGACACAGTAGACAAAAACAAGCAATGGGGAAATGATTTCCTATTCAATAAATAGTGCTGGGGCCAGGCGCGGTGGCTCACGCCTGTAATCCCAGCACTTTGGGAGGCCGAGGCGGGCGGATCATGAGGTCAGGAGATCGAGACCATCCTAGCTAACATGGTGAAACCCCATCTCTACTAAAAATAGAAAAAAATAGCCGGGCATGGTGGTGGGTGCCTGTAGTCCCAGCTACTCAGGAGGCTGAGGCAGTAGAATGGCATGAACCTGGGAGGCGGAGCTTGCAGTGAGCCGAGATCGGGCCAGTGCACTCCAGCCTGGGTGACAGAACGAGACTCCATCTCAAAATAAATAAATAAATAAATAAATAGTGCTGGGATAACTGGCTAGCCATATGCAAAAGATTGAAACTGGACCCCTTCCTTACACCAAATACAAAAATCAACACAAGATGGATTAAAGACTTAAATATAAAACCTAAAACTATAAAGGCCCTGGAAGATAATCTAGAAAACACCATTCTGGACATAGGACCTGGCAAAAATTTCATGACAAAGATGCCAAAAGCAATTACAATGAAAACAATAATTGATGAATGGGACCTAACTAAACCAAAGAGCTTCTGTACAGCAAAAGAAATTACCAACAGAGTAAATATACAACCTACAGTATAGGAGAAAATGTTTGCGAACTATGCGTCTGACAAAGGCAAAATATCAAGAATCTATAAGGAGCTTTAACAAATTAACAAGCAAAAAAAAAAAAACAAAAAAACAAAAAACAAAACCAAAAAGTGGGCAAGGGACATTAATAGACATTTTTCAAAAGAAGACACACAAATGGCCAACAAGCATATGAAAAAATGCTCAACATCACTAATCATTAGAGAATTGCAAACCAAAACCACAATGAGATACCATCTCACACCTGTCAGAATGGCTGTTATTAAAAGTCAAAAAGTAACAGACACTTATACACTGTTGGTTGGAATGTAAATTAGTTCAGCCAATATGAAAAGCAGTTTGGTGATTTCTCAAAGAACTTAAAACAAAATACCATTCAACCCCGAAATCCCATTACTGGCTATGTACCCAAGGAAATATAAATTGTTCTACCATAAAGACATGTGCACATGTATGTTCATTGCAGCACTATTCACAATAGTAAAGACATGGAATCAAACTAAATGCCTATTAACAGTAGGCCGAATAAAGAAAATGTGGTATATACTGCATGGAATACTAAGCAGTCATAAAGAAGAATGAGGTTATGTCCTTTGCAGCAACATAGACGGAGCTGGAGGTCATAATCCTAAGTGAACTAACACAGGAACAGAAGAGCAAATACCGTACGTTCTCACTTATAAGTTGGAGCTAAACATTGAGTACCTATGGATAAAAAGAAGGGAACACCAGATACCTACTTAAGGGCGAAGGGTTGGGGGAAGGTGAGGATTGAAAAAACTACATATCAAGTACTATGCTTATTATCTGGGTGATGAAATAATATGTACACCAAGCCCTTATGACATGCAATTTACCTATATAACAAACGTGCACGTGTACCCTGAACCTAAAACAAAAGTTTTTTTAAAGTTTAGCATGTTTAAAAATTTAATTATTATTAACACTATTGAGTTTCAAGTAAATCTTGGTATTATGCAAAAATGAATGTCTATAAGTTAGGACTTATATATGTTTTTCACTCGAGCAACATTTATCTCAAGTTTAATATACAAGGCACTGGACTAAGCCCTGTAAAGTATATGAACACAAATCAGATACAGAGCTTTCCCTGAAGAAGCTCACAATTCAAATGAAAGAGAGAAAAATGTACATAAGTGACTGTAAATCAAGACAGAAAGAAATTACTCTCTTAGTAAAGATTTTAAGGGGGGTCAGAAGATGATGAAATAAATTCCATTTGGAGGAAATAAGAAACAACTTCAGAAAAGACATGACCTTTGAAGCATTGGTTGAATTTGAACATGAAGAACTAGAAGGAGAGCCTTCCAGTAGCATGAAGCTGCGAGAAATGGTGAGATAGCACAGGGATGTGGTAGCCATTGGCCTTTCATGTATATTTTGACTCTCCCTTCCTGCCAGGCATGTGGTAGGATTGTACATCCCTTCTCACTTGAAATTTGTTATGACAACATGGGTCATTTTGATAAATGAAATATGAACAGAAGGGATGTACATTATTTGTGGGCAGAATGAGCACACACTTCACCAAATTGCCTGAACTGTCACAGTGCTTATGGAAACATGAGTCAATATGGAGCTTCCAACAACCTGGGTCGCTAAGCATTGAAATGAGCAGGATGCTGCCACCCCTAACAAACTTAAAAAATATATATTCCTTTTGTGTGTGTGTGTGAAGCAACTGAGATATTGGACTATTTGGTAACACAGCATACACTAGTTCATTCTAATACAAGAATTGTGTACAGTTCAGCCCGGCAGAAGCTTCAAATATAGGAAAGGCAGTGGTGGGAGAGGAGTGACAGATACATAATTATACAATTACAGCAAAATGTGAGAAGTATTCTCATCAAGGTTAACATTCTCAATATATAAAGATGTATATAGATCAATAAGAGAAAGCCTTAGATAACAGCAGGCAAATGGAAATAGGCACAGAGGTTGACAAAATATAACTAATAAGCATATAAAAATGTTAAACATTATTGGTAATTAATGAAATTCAAATGTAAAGAATGAAATGGTACTATCTGCCTTTAAATTTGGCAAAAATATTAAAAATAATAGGATCCTCCCTTGTGTTTTCTGATGGGAATGCAAACTATAGAAATTTCCAGGGAACAACTTGGCAACATGCATGAATGACCTTAAATTTAACCAAGTAATACCTCTTCAAGAAACATTACTTTCTTTTTCACTAATTAAGTCTCTTTAATTTAAAGTTTCCGAAACCAACCAGACATGGTGTGTCCAAATAAGGGTATTTATTGAAAAGATACTGGTGAATCTGGGGATATACAAGGAATGGGTAAAATTCCAGGCTTTGGGAAGGTCAGGAACCAGGGCAGCTTTGGCGATCTTATCAGCAGGATCATTCTTCCTCTGGAATGTTGCCAGTATGTGACTTGGCTAGAAATAACACTCAGTGTCTATGTCTCTCGGGTTAAAATGCCAAATTCCAAAACTAAATAGACTAGTTTGGGTCTGGCATACAACACTGCACACATTAGGTATGGTTAGAAAGGCAGGATTCCACAGCTTGAATATAAATATAGAAAACACCTGCGGGAGGAGCAGGTGGTTCCCAGAGAAGAGATGTTTAACAGGCCACTTGATATGTATCTTAAGGAAATGATCAGAAGTGGGAACAAAGGTTTCTGTGTAAGAGGTTCATCCTAGTGATATTTAAAACAGCAGAAAAAAAGAAACCCAAAAGTCCAGGGGGATGTTGTTTACTTAAATTATTATGAACTATTATTTTCAGTTAAAATTTGTATTCATGAAGAATTCAGTGTTGTGGGAAAAGTGCAAATAATATTATATCCAGTAAAACATTTTTTATAAAAGTTTTTAAAATGCCACAAAACATAAAAATATTAACCAAGGTCTAGTGTGACTGGTAGAGAAGGTTATGAAGAATGAGTACTTTTAAAATTTTTCTTGATTTAAGCAAATTACCTATGATGGTCATGCATGACTTTTATAATCAGAAATTTATGCTATTTTAAAGAAGATGTGCTTGATAGAGGCAGTATTTAGCAGTAGTTGAAATTCCAGAGTTAATCATTCTGTGTTTATATTTTGGTTCTGCCATTTATTAGCTGAGCAATCTTGATCACATGGATTGACCTCGTTCAGGCTGAGTTTTTGTATCTGAACGTGGAGAAATAATAATTCTTACAGCCTTGGGCTTTGTGAGCATTAAGTGTATGTAAAACACTTAGCCCGCTGATGTTTCTCACATCTGATGAAAGGTAGCTATTGTTATAATAACTGAGGAGCACAGATAAGGAACAACTAATCCTACCCGGAAGAGCAAGAAAATGTGATATTTTAACTAGATCTTCTTTCATTTGTATTTATTTCTTGATATAGGGTGCTACTATAAATTGGGTCATTTTGAAAGGAAGTTGGCGATAAATCAAATCCATTAATATAAACATTCCCATAATGTATGGCTCCTCTTCACTTTAAAAGTGCGCCAGGTAGCTTCTGAACTGTGCTCACACAGGGAGACGCATGGGTCTAAGCAATGCAACGAAAAGGCTTGATTCTCCCAGAGCCCTCTGGGGCTTGAACATCTGCAGTGGGGCAAGTTAGACCAACTTCAATAAAGAGTCAGTGCAACCTCCAGCCTCTGGTGCAAAGAAGCCATGAGCTTTGCTTCTCCTTGGCACAGAGGGTGACCTAGAAGCTGCAAAGCCAGGACCAAGTGGCAACTGCCATCTGTACAAAGCAGTGTTGTAATGGGGCTGGGGCTGGTAGGGGTGTGCAGTCCTTGCCCTAATTCTGCCTTTATGTTTCCTTTCTTGCCTCTCCCTCCCTGTCTGAAGCTAAAATTGAAAATAGAGTTTAGAATCTGAAGCTCTCTTACAACCCTCTTTTCTTTCCAATAGGCAAATAGTTCTCATCCATTTTCCACATAAGCCTTACTGTCTTGCTTGGCTAAAGTTTTTCTGACCCTCAAGGTACTTCAGATCATTTGTAGATAATGGGAAAAGCAGTGCCGTTTTATTAATAATAAAGGCCCAAAGCATAAACACATAGTGCCACTCAGCAATATTTATTTTTTAAAAAACCCAAACACGAAACTTTCATGTATGCTGAAATTAAAAGAGCCTTTTCTTTCCTGCTTTTTTGACTTTCTAGCTCCACCCAACCACATTTTTGCTTTTCCTTAAAATATGTACTAAGTGTACATTTAAGTGCAATAGATCATTCAGTACAGGCCAGGAGAGAGCTGATTTTGACTGGCCATCCTACCCTCTTCCCTTCTAAGACTCTTCAAATCAAAACTGTGATAATGGCCTTAGAAATCATCTTGCCTATACGTTTCCATTTTGCAGGTGTGGAAACAGACCCAGATATGCTATGAGATTTAAGATGCCAAGAGATATTAAGGCCTAACAGTTAGAATTATAGCCAGGTCTTCAGGAATTTATTTACCTCCTGAGCTCCCATTTATTTCATCACTCTCACTGTCTTAAGAGTAAAATGCAGCTGAACTGTGCCTGTCATGATAGCTAATTTTCATCTTGAAGATTTCTTAGAGCCTATAGTCCAAGTAAACTACGAGATGGGACAAAAGTAATTTACCTCACTCCACATGCCACTCCATTTCTCCTCTGTACCTCTAAGACCACCTGGGACTTTTTAAAAATACCAATATCAGGTCTTATTCTAGGCCTATTAGTTGAGAATCTCTCAGGGTTGAGCCCAAGTATTAGTATTTTTTAAAATCTCCCCAGGTGATTCTAACGTGTAGCCAGTGTTGAGAACCACTAGGCTGAGACTGCTTCCTTGTTTTTAGTTTCATTTTGTTCTAGCCTCCTTTTTTTTCCATTTCCTCCTCTCTTCCTTTATTATTCTCGTTCATTCCCTTTGCTACTTCTCTCTTATCTGGCTATAATAGGGAATTGAAGTTTATTGTTACATGTTTGCTATATATATTAATTTTTGTTTGCTGCTTGGGCATAATTTTTAAATCAGGTGATTTGAATCTTTTTTTCTCCTTCAAAATATCTTTTCTTCACCCTTCACAAAATTTAATTAGGTTTTTGCTAACATATAGCCTTCGGTTAACTTATTTTCCTGTGTGAAATGGACCTCTGTAGAAAAAAAAAAGGTGACAGAACTCTATCATTTAATGGTTATTAACATACCTTGGACACTATTGACCACCTTTTCTTTTCAAAACCCTTGACATTGCATTGTTCTGGCCTCTGACCACATCCTGACTGATGTTTCATGGCATCTATTTCTCTTCCAGCTCTAACAACCCATTTCTGCTCTCACTGTACACAGTCTTCCTTGGTGATCTCACCTACTTCACAGCATCTGTCTCCCATCGGTGTCTCTTTCACTCTTAACTTTCACTCTTACTCTCTTTCTGCAACTTTATAATTATTAGCTGAATAATCTCTATCCTTACCTTCCTTAGTTCTTCAAAATCAACATAAACTCATCTTTTCCTCTTCTTTTTGCATCTCCACAAAAGGTTCTTTCTCCATTTATCAATGCATATAGTTGTTCATTTATATCCTAATTTGTTCAAATGATAAATAAGTGTTTGCTATCTACAATATACCAGGTAGAATGATAGGTAAGGAAAAGCAATTTTGAGAAATTGAGTTATTGTTAACAATTACTCACTTCTTCCTTCTCCTGGAGAAGGTACTATATCCCCGCTCATTGCTGTGTGATTTATGGTGTTTTCCGTGTGGAAAGTAATACTTTTCTGCTTCATTGACTTTGGGTTTGGTTGGCCATGTGACATATTTTGGGCAAAGGAATATGGGCTGTGATATACACCATGAGTGAGCAAAGGCTTTCAAAAAGCATTGCAAGTTTGGCCAATGCTCTGGCCCTGCCTTCCCTTGCCTGAGAGCAGTATTCCCAGAGAGGGCTTGCCCCTTCTTCCTGGCTTCTGGAACGAGAGGCCATAGGCAAGAGAGCTGCAGCCTGAAGCAGAGCTGCAGCTGACTCACAGTCTACATATCATATGAGCAAGAAATAAATGATAGTTGAAAGCAAATGGTGCTTCGGAATTATTACAGCAGCTAAACTGTGTAATGCAGCAATGATGAATTAAACACTGTCCTTACCAGCCAGGGCTCAGAGTTCAGCAGAGATCTCCAATTCCTAAGATTTGTCTCTTCAGACATTTTCAATTTTCCCTCTTCCAATCTTCTAGATTCAGCATCCACATTGCCAACTCCTTTTCACTGCCTGTCATTCTCTCAATTATTGTCATAGCCTTTATTTCGTTTCCCTGCTCTCAACCTGCTTTCTTAACTCAATTTTTCCTGATAAGTCATTGCCACAGTATATGTTCGTTATGAATCCAAGTATGTTGCAAGTAATCCAAATCTCAACTCAAATTGATTTAAACAATGGAGATATTTATCTGGTTCATGTAACTGAGAGTGTTGAGGCAGAAATGACTTTAGGCAAGGCATGGTCCAATAATTCAAACAATACCAAGGACTTGTTTTCTCTCCATCATTTCTTTTTGACTTTTTTTTTTAAATAAAAAAAACCACAGCTTTATTGAGATATATATCACATACCGTAAAATTCACCTGTTGAAAATATACAATTTAAGGGTTTTAAGTATATTCAGAGTCAAGCAATCATCACCACAAACAATTTTAGAACATTTTTCATCACCTCAGAAAGAAACCCGTTAACCTTTAGGTATTACCCCCTAGTATCTCCATCCCCTCTTCCCCACAGGCCTAAGCAACAACTAATCTACTAGTATCTCCATCTCCCTCCCCCGCAGCCCTAAGCAACCACTAATCCACTTCCTGTGTCTCTAAATTGTCCTATTCTGGACATTTTATGCAAATAAAATCATGTACTACATGGTCCTTTGTGACTGGCATTTTTTCCCTTAGTATAATATTTTAAGGTTCATACATGTTATGGCATGTATCAATATTACATTGCTTTTCATGGCTGAGTAACATTCCATTGTATGACTATACCACATTTTGTTTTTTAATTAGTTGATAGATATTTGGGTTGTTACATCTTTTGTCTGTTATGAATAATGCTGCTATGAACATTTGTGTATTTTTTTGTGAACATATGTTTTCAATTGTCTTGGAATGAAATTGCTGACCCATATGGTAATTCTGTTTAACTTTTTGAGGAATTGCCAGATTGTTTTCCAAAGTATCTGCACCATTTCACAACCCCAACAGCAAGGTAGGCGGGTTTCAATTTCTCTAAATCTTCACCAACAACTATTATTGTCTGTCATTTTGATTATAGCCATCCTAGTGGCTGTGAAGTGGTATCTCGTTGTGGTTTTTACTGGCATTTTCCTAATGACTAATAATGTGAGCATTTTTTTTTCATGCACTATTGGCTATTTATATATCTTTTCTAGAGATGTGTCTATTCACATCATTTGTAGGTTTCTAAATCAAGTTCTCATTTTATTATTGAGTTGTAACAGCTCTTTATATATTCTTTATATATTCTGGATACAAGTCTCTTTCTCAGATATATGATTTGCAAGTATTTTCTTCCACCTCGTGAATTGTCTTTTTATTTTTTATATTTATATTTATATATTATTTATTTATTTTATTACTATTTATTTATTTTATTCATTTATTTTATATTTTTTGTATTTTTATTTTTGTGATTTTGTGTCTTTTGAAGCACAAAAGTTTTTAATTTTGATGAAGTCTAATTTATCTATTTTTTCTTTTGTCGTGTGCTTTTTGTGCCACATAAAAGAATCTGTTGCCAAATATGAGGTCATAAAGATTTACTGCTATGTTTTCTTAGAGTTTTGTAGTTTTAGCTCTTGCATCAAGATCTTTAATCCATTTTCAGTTATTTTTGCATATTGTATGAGGTTAAAAATATAACTTTACTCTTTTGCATGTGGCTATCTAATTGTTCTAACACTATTTGTTGAAAGGACTATTCTTTATCTATTCAATGGTCTTGGCATTGCATTGAAAATACAAATCAATTTGGGAGTCTAAATATTTGGAATTATATAGTGGTGATGGTTGCAGAACTTCGTGAATGTATTAAAAACCACTAAATAGGCCGGGTGCAGTGGCTCACGCCTGTAATCCCAACACTTTGGTAGGCCAAGATGGGCAGATCACAAGGTCAGAAGATCGAGACCATCCTGGCTAACATGGTGAAACCCTGTCTCTACTAAAAAATAACAAACAAACAAAAAAAATTAAACAGCCATGGTGGTGGGCACCTGTAGTCCCAGCTACTTGGGAGGCTGAGGCAGGAGAATGGCGTGAACTCGGGAGGCAGAGCTTGCAGTGAGCTGAGATTGTGCCACTGCACTTCAGCCTGGGTGACAGAGCAAGACTCTGTCTTAAAAAAAAAAAAAAAAAACCACTAAATCATACACTAAAAAAAGGTAGATTTTATGCTATTTGAATTCTTTTTCAATTAAAAAAAGTCTACCCATTCTCTAAGTTTTACTGATCTTCCTGAGCATATCTCCCAATCTGATCTGTTTGACTCTTCCTTTGAATATTTATCTTAGGCAGACCACTTTTATGCAACTGCCATGGCCTTCTCATATTTGTGTGACTTTCAAAGGTTTAAATGGGATGTATATTGAGATGGATATTACCACTAGAGACTGGTTGGTTATCCATAAAGAAACTATATAGGTAGCATTATAGTAGAGAAACTGCTGTGGTCCAACCCGTAATTCTAGCCTCACTATTCAAAAATTCTATCTTGTCAGTGTTCCACGTCAATCACATCTAGCTCACAATTCTTAAATGCACAAAAGTATGAACATGAGCCAAGAATGAAATTATGTTAATTTAGAATGAGATCAACTGTCTAGTAAACTGGTCATACTAGTGGATGGTCGTTCTCTGGCTATACAACAAATGCAATAGCAAAAGCCAGAAATTTGCTTGGTAGGCATGTAATCAGAGCGATGCTGTGATTCAAAAGCTTGGTACAAAAGATACTCTAGTCAAAAGCAGCTTCACAGTAGGGCTAAACCAGACAACAGAATTCAATAGTGTTTATCTCTGTGGCTCTCCTTTATCCAAGGATCACCTGATTCTTGTCCATCTTGCTTCTAGTCCAGGAAATATTCTATCTCCATGCTGCCGTTTTACAGACTTCTGATCATTCCTTATTCTCTGATTTCATAATTTGAATCCTAGAAAGAAGCCTTGCAGTAGTCCCAGCCAATGCTTGTTTTTTTCCCTCCTTGAGATTGTAAATTCCATAAGACAAAGACTGACTAGAGATTTGTATCTCTTGCAGTACCTACCATAGATCTGAGTGTTATAAGTATGATTAAAATGAACTGAATCTTGAGGAAATGTGCTATCTTCAAAACACATTTATTGGTAACTTTCTTTTCCTTCATGATATTGTGTATGACAATAGCAGAAATTTAAAATTCTGTCAATGTGGCTAATGTCAATTTCCTGCATTATATTGCTTCTCTATATTGAATAGATTTATTCTGAGGAATCCATGCCTTGTTTTATGTGAAGTCACTCAAGTAATTTTAACTCAAAAATAGCTATTACAAGTGCACTATCTTCTATTTCAGTGATTCTCAAACTTAGCTGTGAATCAGAATCACTGGGAGGGCTTGCTAAAACATAGATTGCTGATCCCCACCCCAGAACTTCTGATTAAGTAGGTCTGGGTTAGGGACCCAGAATTTGCATTTGTAACAGTCTTGTCCTCAGGT
This sequence comes from Homo sapiens, assembly GCF_000001405.40. Lineage (NCBI taxonomy): Eukaryota > Metazoa > Chordata > Mammalia > Primates > Hominidae > Homo > Homo sapiens. The sequence goes on from NC_000003.12 coordinate 111,329,282, forward strand.
GGTGCTGATGCTGCTGGTTAAGAACTAAGTATGCTTGGAGAACCATTGCTCTCCTTCATCCCTCTTGGTCTTCAATGTTTGAATTGAAGCCTCAAAGTGTGGTCTGTGGGCCCAAAAACCTTCAGTACCCAAGAATTTATTAGAAGTCAAAGAGTTCGGGCCCCACTCGTGACCTCTGAGTCAGAATCTGGATTGTAACAAGATCGCTCAGGTGATGTGTATGCAAGTCATTAAAATTAGAGAAGCATTGACTTAGAGCACCAAGAGAGGTCACTTGCAAGCAGGCTAGAGAGGTGTCAAGTGAACAATGATCTAATTAAAAGTAACAGGAACCTGCAAGTGTGCTACATTGTGCATATTTAAGACTAAGCTGAGAGCAAAGAAAACAATGTGACTAAATCAGTCAGGGTCTTGGCAGGACACAGATGGGACTGAGTACTCAAAGAGGGAATTAAAGAGACTTTATTAAAGACATTATGTTAAAAGATATGGGCAGGATCAAGCTTACCTATAATAGATGATAAAACACTTATTAATATCAGCAAGAAGCTCTTACCACCAGTAGGCCTAAATGGCAAGGAGATCTGAAGGGAAGTGGAAGGCAGAAAAACACCCAGACTTCTTCTTCTTCTCATCCTTTAGTATCCTCATGCCTTCCACTGGCCAAATCCACCTAGAAGGCCAAGGGCACCCCAACCTAGCTAATACAGCCTCTAGAAGTCAGCCTCCTAGGGGCACAGAGAAGAATGCAGCAGGGTGGAGAGCTCTCCCTTAAAAGAGTCATTTATTGTCCAGGTACCAGTCAGAGTAGGTCAGATTGAAAGTTATACCCTTATTTTTTTAATATCCAAATAAAAGTATATGGGGGAAATGTTAATAATGTTGATATAGAATCAAAAAAATTAATAATGTTGATAGAGAAAATCCAAATATTCCTTCTTCACCTGCAACTGAGAAAATCCTAATGTCTGCCACCAAAGGAGAAAGCCTACAAGGTGGCATGTAATAATAACTTAGATACCGGTCAGTGAGTCAGCTGGCCATTCTTGCTGACCAAGATTGTCTGTAGAGCTCATATTGTAAATGAGGAATGGAAAAGTGAATAGGTAGCTGATCATCTCAGTGACTACAGGAACTGTGCAAAGGCTGGGTAAGCTTTGTTGGGATGAGCATGATGATAGAAGGTTCAAGCCAGGTCTCATGTGGAAACAAGAGTGAATGGGCAATTATTCTCTGGAGTGATTTTAAAATGTCTTAGGGTGAATTCTCTTGAAGGATGACACTCTGTGTATTGCTTATCCTAGGTCATAGCTTCCCATGTTATCATGAGTGCATATAAATTTCCCAGGGATCGTGTTAAAATACAGATTCTCCTTTAGTAAGTCTGGGCTAGGCCCTGAGATTTTGCAACTCTAACAAGCTCCTATGCGATACTAATGTTGTTGACCTTAGGAATACACTTTGAGTAGCAAGGTCCTAAGGCACAGAAAATCAAGAACAATCTTGATTCCACTGAAATTGGGATTTTCCTGTCTTTGGCCTTTGGAAAATGGGTGGTAAATTAAAGTAGATCCATGGGAGGAAGACAGGATGGGTTGTGGAGGCAGTACAAGATCATAACTTTTTGTAGCCCATAACTTATTCTCTTCTTTTCCCCAGCAGGGAAAAGCTATAGAATTTGTTCTTTTTGTTTTCAACTTTTCTTGTCTTAGTCCCTAACATACTCCTTAGCCCCTAACATATCCCTACAGCAATCCCTTTGATCTTCAAATAAACCTTGTTTTATCCCATTACAAATGTTGAAGCAGGAACCACAGTTGCATGTAATTTGTGTTCCATACCTTCTTGGAGTTGGCTTTTTATGTACATAGGTCTAAGATGAGGTAAAGAAGTGAGTTCGATTCCACTGTCTTTGATAATAAAGCATATTTGACAGTCTATAAAGTGTCATTGTCCAACATTTCCAAGGACATAGAATCCTTGTGAACTAGTCATCACCACTGTAAAGGTAAAAACTATGCCTAAGAGACAAGTCACTAACTTACACTGCCCCCTTGAAGAAGTTACAAATCTATAGGCAATGAGTCAATCAGCAACACTCACTGAACACCTACTACATGCCTTGCATTATGGTAGAGATTGTGATAATATAGAAAAACAAGGACTCTGGATCTAGAGGTGACAACTAAGATGAAAGGCAAAAATCAATATGTGAAGCAATAACAAATTGTGATCAGTCAGGGTGGACTTTGCCATCTCGCATTGGCTCTACACCATACACTACATATATAAAGGATATTTCAACAGTGATTTACAACTTCAGAAATAAAAAAATCATTCTCAGCTAATGATCTTAAAACTTACTCCATTCTTATTTGCCATTTTACCTGGTAATGAGTTATCTCCCCAATCCCAACCTTAGATTACTCTTTCAATCATTTTAATTTTCTACCCACTCATACTGGGTTAGGCTACCTTAACTAATTCCATTCTCTGAATCCCACCCTATCGTGGGGTCAGGGCTCCTACAGGGTAGACCCAAGGGCCATGGGAATACTGAATAGATGTGATATTTGAGTTGTGTCTTCAAAAAAAGTCAGAGTTTGTCAAGTGAAAAAGTTGAGGAAAACATTTATGGTGGTTTCCAAGCAGTAATAACATGGTGCAAAGGCATGTAACAATATCAGATCTATGCCAGGGAATACTAGGAATAAGCTTGAAAATCCATTTACAAAGAGCTGTGATGTGCATCCTTTTTCAGTAGAATGATACAGATTGCTCTTCCATATGTTGTAAGGCCATTAGTACAATTCAGCTTGCCGTGAAGGCTGGCGCAAGATGAACCTTTGATCTTACTGCACTAGTACTTCTTTGAAGTAAATGTGACCCTTATTTTAGGTCCTGATGATTATCAAGAACTAGAAGGTCCTAGTTATTTTCCAAGCTTAAAACTTCCCCTAGGCATTCCACTAAATACACTGGTCTTAATGTGGTATTAGGCACATTTGGGACAGATAAGCAGACATTCAAAAAAAAAAAATAAACAGTTTAGTAAATATTTTACTAAAATGTTATAATTTTGGTCACAGAGCCTCATATGCTTTTTGACCTTTGCTTATTTTCTCAAAATACCACTAAGACCACCAACACTGTCAAAGAAAGTGATGGATAGTTTAGCAAGATTCAAACTTAGAATGGAATACCACTAAAATGTCATGTTGTTCAATATACTGGGGCAAAATAAACCCAGGATATTTGGTTCATATGGAAACCAAAAACAAAACAAAACAAAAAACAAACAGAGAAATCCATGCAGTGACCCATGGAGAGTTGACACATGTGCTGATGCTCTATATCCATCAAAATGATTGAGGGGAACTCCCAGGTTGATCCTATACATAGTTCATCAGAAGCCACATCTGTTCTCTTTCGCCAATATGTAAGTGTGCTGTGTCTTGATCAGCTGTCTCAAGATTTTAAGTCCCTTTTGTCCTTTCCCAATATAAATAGCAAGGCAAGGCCTTTTGAATTCACTTTGGAACACTCTCAAAACCCAACAGGTGTTGGCCTTTGCTGACCTCTGGGGGCCTTTCCCCTCTTTGAGGGGGGACTGTCTGCTCTTCCCCAAAGGGATAGCCCCACCAGACAACCACAGGGTGACAGCTGGCATCCTCACACAACACATACCAGCAAGGAGGAGAGCTCAGGAGCGACAGCCAAGAATATTCGGCACTAGCCCCTCTTCCTTGTAAACCACCCATTGGGGAAAAAGTGGAAAACAGAATTGCTGAGAATCTTATGTTTCTTAGAAATGCAATTACCACAGATGTAAACGATATGGGAAGTTACAGGCTTACAGGCTGCCATCAGGAAAAACTAGCTACTTAGAGGTGAAAGCAATGTCTTTGGAACATGGTAAATGAAAACGCAAATGAAAGTTGTTCAAAAAGGATTCTCAGGGAGGGGATGAGAATGGTGATACTGCAGAGCTTTTTTTTTTTTTTTCTTTTTTTTGGTTGTGAGGATTTGGCCCTCAAATTAGGGTTGCTAGATTATGCAAATAAAAAGAGAGGATGTCTATTAAATCTTAATTTCAGGTGAATTAACAAAGGTTTTTGGATAAATATATTCTATGTAATATTTGGGACATATTTATACTAAAAAGTTATTTGTTGTTTTACCTGAAATGCAAATTTAACTGGATGCTTTGTATTTTTCTGATAATGTGCCTCAAAATCTAACAATCTGTTTATTCTTCTGATTCCTGATTGTTCTCCTCCAGAGACCAATAGTGACACTTCCACGCCAAAATGAAACTTTATTGCAAGCTTTTGAGATAAATGGAAAACCTCAGTCATAGAGTCTCAATTGTATAACTGGAATGGACTCTCTGTATGATGCTGCTCACTTCTTTCTGCTCGCTCCAATTTTCATATAAATTTAAAGAACGTGTCTTTTGTTTTAGATTATTGTATAATTAACTTCTTTGTCAGAAGAAATGAGACAAGCATATTAAATGAAATTTAATTTAATTTGACTAATAGTTGTTCCATGCTGAGCTAGGCATGATCTGGCAAAGGAGGGGCTGGTGATGTAGTCTGTCAGGAATGTTCTGCTTATTCTGCCTCTGATGGGCTACACACAAAAAAAATTTTCAATAAGATCAATGTGGCCTGCCATTCAGCAGAGTTAAATAAATACTCAATGCTCACTATCTACCATTTTCTGGATCAGACGCTGAAGATGTAGAGATGTATAAACCGTTGCCTCCACATGCTGACTCCCTGATAGGTGATATATAATGGAGAAAAGATTAATTTTATTTGGTAGCATCAAGGAAGGCTTCACAGAAGATGTGATGGAAAGAGAAAATCTCCGTTTTAGAAAAAGTGCAGCAGGGGCAAGAAATTTGGGGAAAATGTAAAAGGTATCCTATTATCTTGGGATTTTCCTAGGCTTTCTGGTCATCCCATGAATGTTTGTGGGATTACTTGCTTCATTCTGTCAGAAACACTTGTATTTCCTGCATATTAATAGCATTTATTGGTAAATTTTAAAAAGCTGACCAAGTTGTCACTACAGGGCAGAGAATTCATATAAGGAATTGGAGGTCTGTGAACCTCTTGAGATTATATATACCAATTTATGTGTACAGATAATGTGAATTTTTCTAAGAAAGAGGGGCTTATAGTTTTTTTAATTAACAAAGTATTCTATAAGCTTTCAAACATTAAAAATCTCTGTCATCTAGAAATCAGAATGTTCATCAAAATAACATTATGTAATAATTAAATATATAGTAAAAAACTTTCTGCAAAGACATTATACAAGCTTTGGGGAACAAAACAAGGGGAGTCACTAAGCTTATGTAAAAACATCAATCTTTGTAGGAAAAAAGTGGGAATCATGTGATTGAAATAATGTTATTATTATAGAATCATAGTACTGAAGGGGCACTGAGAGATTTCTATTTTATTAACACTGATCTTCCAGTCACCAGTGAGGATCTCCTTGTCTCCATGGGTCTCACCTAGATGATCTGACAATTGTCTCAACATTTCCTCCATGTATAATATTTATACTTATAAACATTGATTCATGAAACCAAGGCATAATGAAATTCAGAGCAGTTCCCTAAATGTATTCGCATCTACCCTTTCTCCTACTTTAAGTTTTTCCATTTTGTTTAGAATCTGTTTCTAAGAGGGGAATATTTATTGACTATTCTGTCACTATGACAATCTTATGAGGCATAGTTTCTAAATTCCCATTTTACCCATGAAGACACTGAGACTCAACAAAGCTAAGTTACTTACCTAAGCCAGGAAAGCTAGAAAGGGTGTTCTGAATGTTGGTTATCAAAGAGGATGGAAGGAGGTGAGTATGCAACTAAGTGAAGGGATCCAGTCTGAACAGAGGACTTGAAGTGAATTGTGTTATATTTGATGATTCTGCTTACCTGCTCTCTGGATTTGCAAGCCCACCATTATTTCCATGATACACTTATTGGGAATTTCCTGCTTTTAGTATTTTTATTCCAAATACAAATATGTTATTGAATGCAAATGTTATAATTCAACATAATATAACTTTATATAGAATATAATAATGGATCATATTATCATGCTTCCTGGGGTTCATATAGTCGACAAAATAATGACTCTATGCAGCCAAGTGAATCAAAGAGGAAGGGATTTTATTCTGGTGGCATGGTGTAGTTTAGACTAAAACACAATTAGCAAACAAAGATAAAACCAAGCATTTATCCATTAGATATTTTAAAATTTTAACTATTTAGGTCCAACAGTAGATCCCTGTGGCAGACGCCACTAACACCAAATTTACATGAGCTTCTCTATATTACTCAGCCTCCTTTGCAGTTAATTTAGGGCCACATGCCTAGTACTGGTAAATGTCATGCATTGTTTCTAGATTGAGGCACTTAAGAGCCACAGTACCAACCTCCATCCCTTTCATCTCCTATTCTGGTAACTTTGGAGGCCAAAGGTTTCAAATGTCATAGCTATGAGGTGCAGAAGAAGCAACCAATCCACACCAGGCTTTCCATGAGTGAGAAGCAAGCATTCAGTGTGTTCAGTCTCTGAGATTTTGCGGGCTTAGTCTACTGTGTAGCTACTCTCAAAGTGTAAAAACTAACAATGTCAGCATCCTTTGGAAATTTGTTAGAAATGCAGAATCTATTCTCAATCCCAGAGATACTAACCAGAATCTACATTTTAACAATATTCCTGGATGAATAATGTGCATATTAATTATAGAAGCTCTGTTTTAAACTATATTTGCAATTCTGGTAACTTGGAATGCTAGTAGTGATATTCAGAGAATACCAAACCTGATTTGTATGAAAGTCAATAGCTTAGATTTTCAAAAACACAGAGATCTGTGACCTACTGCAGAAGAATTTCTGGAAGTAAGCCTAGAAATTTCTACTAAAATTTCCTAGTGATTCTGATAATTGGCTACATTTAAATCTTTGTCAGTTCCAACTGGGAATATAGATAGATACACATGATCACGTTAAATTTTGCTATTTTAGAATAATTATGAATTACATAAATAATAAAAATTTAGTTAACAAATGTTCTGTGAAGAGTTCCTGGTACTTATATACAGAGTCCATGAAATTAATGTTTATGTCACTTGTTATCTAATTTGAGGTGCAAAGTGATTTTCAACTTTTATTAGCCTCAGAAACTCTGGGCAAACAGAAAATCTGAACAGGGAGGGGTGGAGAATGCATTGCCTTCATTTGCACTGCTTTTTCCAACTAGCTGTCTTGCTTCAGTCCTTTCCAGGCTACACGTATCTTTGAGTTTAAAAGAGCCTGCAGCTGTCTTCATTTAGCAGTTTCCTTATCAGAATGAGGCAGTTCCACATCCTTTTGCAGACAGACATCAAAATACTGGCTCTTCCCTTCTTTATTTCTGACTGTCTCCCCTGTGAGTCAAAACCACAGTAAAAAAGGATTGTCACACAGTAAGCTCACCACCGAAGAGTGGAGAGTACCTGGCTGCCTTATGAAAAGTCAGTTAGAGTCCCTCTTTTTAAGGTTCTCACTGGGATGGTTTTTATTTTGCATAAAATTTGTTTTAAAAATCCTCTCTGTCCCTTTTGAACTGGATCAGCAGCTTTCAGCTCCTTTCAGAAACCCCTTGGCTGCTGGCCTTTTCTCTCTGAATACCCGTTAAGCAGGCAACACTATAGGAAAATCTTTAAACATGGTTTTGCAGAGTTGTTTTCTCATAACAACTCCAATTTTAAATTACAAAAAAAATCTCATTTTTTATCAACATGCTAAGTCTAAGACAATATTCAGCTGACATAGCTGAATGGGCATTTGCCTGATTTCATGGAGGCTCCTAGCCATGGGTAGAATAAAGTATTTCCAACAAGGACCTAAGTAAGGTCCAACCCCTAACGAAGAAATGCCATTTATTTCAAGGACTTACAAAACAGGGAATGTGGCTGGAAGAGAGGAGGGGGCAGAAGTCACCAGATATTGTAGGAACTTGGGCATCAAGGGAAGGAGAAGGGGAACAGAAAGGGTGGGATGGAGGAGGTGGCAAAAAACAGATCCTGGGGAGGAAAGAGGAAGACAAAAGAGGGAGGCATGTTGAAAGTAAGGCTATTGTTTTTCACAGTTTAAGCAGTAAATCTTTTTCAAGAAAACAAACAAAATGAGGTCAGGAGATTGAGACCATCCTGGCTAACACGGTGAAACCCCGTCTCTACTAAAAATACAAAAACAATTAGCTGGGCGCGGTGGCGGGCGCCTGTAGTCCCAGCTACTCGGGAGGCTGAGGCAGGAGAATGGCGTGAACCCGGGAGGTGGAGCTTGCAGTGAGCCGAGATCGTGCCACTGCACTCCAGCCTGGGCGACAGAGCGAGACTCGGTCTCAAACAAAACAAAACAAAAGACAAAACAAAACAAAAAATGCCCCCCACCCCATAGCAAAAACTCTATGATTTGTTTTTCAGTACCCATAAGAGTAGATATACACAAATCAAACTGAACTGAAGATAAATAAAAATGTATTTCAATTCAAACAACCGGTTAATAATTGGCTAGTATCTGTGTGGTGTTAACAGGTTCATTTGTAGATATTCTCTTAAATAATTATTTATTCCTCCTACACAGGATAATCAGGCTGGTTGAATGTGTGAACTATTCACACATTCAAAGATCCACACTCAATGAAGAGACTTATGAAGTAACGTTTCTCTCTCTCTCATGACTTTTGGGTTTTATTACCATTTCAGCTCTGAATCTCCTCTGACTTAGGATCACCCTAACCTGAGGATGCCTTTTGGCTCTGTTTTTGTCTCTTTCTTTAAACTACTTTCTCTCATTCTTCCTTGCCCTCCAGTCTGTACTTTCCCTTCATGTTATCTGCTTCTCCCTGGAGGCAATATTCCTTGCCTGCCTTGTATTTTAAAGGGCCAATCCAGAGCGCCACCTAGTGCTTCTGTTTGAGGCCTTAGAAGGGACTGATAATTTTGCAAGAGAATATGTATATCTGAACTCCCTCCATGAGCAATATTGAATTCCTGGGAACTCTATATGAACAGTGAGTCCTGTGAGTCATCAAGGGAAGATATCAAATAGTTCTTCCCACTAAGAGGGACACCTAGGTTGGAAGCTCCAAAACAGGATTCTTCGGTGCCTGGAAGCTACTGAGAGAAATGAGAGAGACCATGAGGTTGAGATTCCAGAGAGTTTGATTCTCAGAAGAAATCATGACCAGACTTTTGTAAGAAAGGTGGCAAGCTAACCAGGAAATGCAAGGTGGAAATGCATGTCTGACTTACCTAATGCATTAGCGAAAATGGATCCCAACAGTCTTGGTTTCCGGTTCTTATAAACAGAAGGAAAGAAGGAAGGAAAGGAAGATGGAGAAGAAAAAAATAATATGAAAAATCATGACAAAAGTCATCTGCTTAGAAAAATGTTAGCATAGCAGTCTTTCCAATCATTGAAGTCCTGCTTATAAAGTTAGCCTTTGCCTAAAGCATGGAAACTTAGGTTTTTGGAAGATTCCTATCATTTCTGATAAGAAAGCCTCACTGTGCCTAAACTGTGCAAATAATGTAATTTATGTTGAATGTCTGTGTGCCTTCTGGGAGTCTGGAATTTTGATATGTGTTTAGTAGATGGAGTCTAAGTGGCCAGCTCTAGGTAAAAACTTTGGGCACTGGATCTCTAATGAACTTCTCTGATAGGCAACATTTCATGTGCATTGTCATAATTTGTTGCTAGAGGAATTCAGTGTATCAAGCATCATTCTCCTGGGAGGAGGAGACTCTTGGAAGCTTGAATCTGTTTTTCTCTGGACTTCATGCACATTTTCACTTGGCTGATATTTTTGTATCCTTCCTCTACAATAAAGCATAGCCATGAGTACAACTTTATGCTGAGTCATATAAGTTCTAGCAGGTCACTTAACCTGGCTGTGATCTTGGGAACCCATAACACATCACTTTCCTGCCATTATTTAATAACTTCAGTTTTTAAAATTATGGGTAGATTTTATAAACCACCCAGGAGAAATTCATATTCATCTTTTCTGTACCCACTAATTTTGAATTTTGCTTGGAAAATGAGATCAAAAGAAATACTCTTTTGAAATGTTTGGAAGGTGATGCCAATGAGAAATGCTAATATCTCTTGTATTATACATAACTAATTAAACAACCAAAATGTTGGAAATGAAGTGTTAAGTGAGAAGCAGTTTGACACAGAGTAAAAAACTTGAGTATGAGGTTTGACTTCACCATTTACTTGCCCTGTAACTTTGCAAAAGTTAACTTTTCTGAGCTTGAATTAAAAAAATATATAAAAGGGGATGTTCATACTCATTTTTGAATATAGTTCACAAGCTACATTTCATACTCATTTGTGAATGTATTTTTGTGAATTAACTTGAGATAATATATGTAATAGACTTAACACAGCGACTAGCACATTCTAAGTATTCAGTCAATGGTATAAGTAGATGTTGTTAATCAGCATTACAACAGAAATGGCTCAAAGATACTGTCAAAATCCCTTTTAGGACAATACAAGAAGCAGAAGCCTGCACCAGACTGAGCCTTGGAGGCTCCAGTCACATCTAGAGTGGCCCTAAGAGGTGTCATTTTAAGACCATTGTGGCCTATTCAAGGGTGGGCCTGTATCTCAGAGGTCTGCACTAAGCTCTCCTTGTGACCACTCAGCATCTCTCCATGCTGACTTCAGTCTCTTGCAGCTACCTACAGGGAGAAGATGACTTTGGGAGTTTTCCTTAAATTCTTTCCTCTGAATTTTAGTAGCCATCCAAGCAGTATAGAGTAATTGAGGTAGGAAGACACATGGCCCTATCTTTGTTTGATTCACCATCTACGTGGCCTTGGAAAAGTTACTTCTCTGAGTCTTAGTGATATGGTTTGGCTGTGTCCCCACCCAAACCTCACCTTGAATTGCAACTTCCACAATTCCCACATGTCGCAAGAGGACCCCAGTAGGATGTGATTGAATTATGGGAGTGGGTCTTTCCTGTGCTATTCTCATGATAGTGAATCTCATGAGATCTGATGGCTTTAAAAAGAGGAGTTTCCCTGCACAAGCTCTCTTCTCTTGTCTGCCACCATGTGAGATGTGCCTTTCACCTTCCACCATGATTGTGAGGCCTTCTCAGCCACATGGAACTGTAAGTCCAAAAAACCTCTTTCTTTTGTAAATTTCCTAGTCTCGGGTATGTCTTTATCAGCAGCATGAAAACAGTCCAGTACAGTAAATTCCTACCAGTAGAGTGGGGCATTGCTGAAACGATACCCAAAAATGTGGAAGTGACTTTGGAACTAGGTAACAGGCAGAGGTTGGAACAGTTTGAAGGGCTCAAAAGAAGACAGGAAATTGTGGGAAAGTTTGGAACTTCCTAGAGACTTGTTAAGGGCTTTGACAAAAATGCTGATAGTGTTATCAACAAAAAGTTCCAGACTGAGGTAGTCTCAAATGGAGATGACGAACTTGTTGGGAACTGGAGCAAAGGTGACTCTTGTTATGTTTTAGCAAAGAGCCTGGTGGCATTTTGCCCCTGCCCTAAAGATTTGTGGAACTTTGAACTCAAGAGAGATGATTTAAAGTATCTAGTGGAAGAAATTTCCAAGCAGCAAAGCATTCAAGAGGTGACTTGGGTGCTGTTAAAGGCATTCAGTTTTATAAGGAAAGCAGAACATGAGACTTTGGAAAATTTACAGCCTGACAATGTGATAGAAAAGAAAACCCCATTTTCTGGGGAGGAATTCAAGTTGGCTGCAGAAATTTGCATAAGTAATAAGGAACTGAATGCCAATCCCCAAGACAATGGGGAAAATGTCTCCAGGGCATGTCAGAGGTCTTTACAGCAGCCTCTCCATCAAAGGCCTGAGGCCTAGGAGAAAATGGTTTTGTGGGCCTGGCCCAGGGTCCCCATGCTGTGTACAGCCTAGAGACTTGGTATCCTGCATCCTAGCTGCTCCAGCCATGGCTGAAAGGGGCCAATGTAGAGTTCAAGCTGTTGCTTCTGAGGGTGCAAGCCCCAGGCCTTGGCAGCCTCCATGTGATGTTGAGCCTGTAAGTGCACAGAAGTCCAGAATTGAGGCTTGGGAACCTCTGCCTAGATTTCAGAAGATCTATGGAAACACCTGAATGTCCAGGAAGAAGTTTGCTGCAGGGGTGGGGCCTTCATGGAGAACCTCTGCTAGGGAAATGGGAAAGGGAAATGTGGGGTGAGAATCCCTACTGGGGCACCACCTATTAAAGCTGTGAGAAGAGGGCAACCATCCTCCAGACCCCAGAATGGTAGATCCACTGTGAGCTTGCATCGTGCACCCAGAAAAGCTGCAGACACTCAACAGCAGCCTGTGCAAGCAGCCGGGAGGGAGGCTGTACCCTGCAAAGCCATAGGGGTGGAGATGCCCAAGAACATGGGAACCAACCTATTGCATCAGCATGACCTGGATGTGAGACTTGGAGTCAAAGGAGATCATTTTGAATCTTTAAGATTTGGCTGCTCCACTGGATTTCAGAATTGCATGGGACCTGTAGCGCTTTGTTTTGGCCAATTTCTCCCATTTGGAACAGTAGTATTTACCCAATCTCTGTACCCCCATTGTATCTAGGAAGTAACTAACTTGCTTTTTATTTTACAGGTTCATAGGCAGAAGGGACCTTCCTTGTCTCAGATGAGACATTAGACTGTGGACTTTTGAGTTAATGCTGAAATTAGTTAAGATTTTGGGGGACTGTTGGGAAGGCATGATTGGTTTTGAAATGTGAGGAAATGTGAGATTTGGGAGAGAATAGGGCAGAATGATGTGGTTTGGTATGGTTTGGCTGTGTCTTCACCCAAATCTCATCTTGACTTGTAACTCCCACAATTCCCATGTGTCATGTGAGGAACCCAGTGGGAGATGATTCTATTATTAGGGCAGGTCTTTCCTGCACTGTTCTCATGATAGTGAGTCTCAGGAGATCTGATGATTTTAAAGAGGAGTGTCCCTTCACAAGCTGTCTTCCCTTGTCTGCCACCATGTGAGATGTGCCTTTCACCTTCCACCATGATTGTGAGGCCTCCCCAGCCACATGGAACTGTTTAAGTCCAATAAAACTTTCTCTTGTAAATTTCCCAGTCTCAGGTATGTCTTTATCAGCAGCATGAAAACAGACCAATACACTCAGTATGCCTCTCTGTAAAACAGATAAATTAAAAATATATACTTTTGCTACCTCCCTTGAAACTTGTCTAGAAAATCCATAGATAATATGGCAAAATGCTTTGGAAGTTGTAAAATACAATACAGAGAACCCCTGACTTTTTTTCTAGGCTGAGCATGAAGTCTATTACCCAAGGTTGTTTGAGTGTCTGGCAGAAGAAAGTAGGAGGAACTTGAGGCTTATTGAAAAAGGAGATTTGGTTTGGCATTAGTCTTAAACATCTAAATTGAATCCTGAGTATTTATTTAAATTCCACAAAGGCTGGCAAAAATTATGTCCTTCTCCAGTTTGAGCTGGAATTACAGACAATGAAAACATTGCTTTAGTATTTAATTGCAATAACTGGTATCATACCACTTTTTTGTACAATGATGCATCACGGTTATCTGAAATTGATTTATTGCTTTGTTGTGAAAACTTGTTTTTCATTGATGTTTCCCCCTCAGTGCTCTTTTTCACTAATTGATTGATTTGATTGTTAGAGCTTCAACTCCATCTCTGAAGATGGATTGGAATAATTATTGCAGCCTGCTGTTTAATCATTCTGCCACACAATTACTGCTGCTATGTGCTCTTCAGTTGCACTTTATTAGCTGTAGTAATTGTAGTTGAGTTTAATAATTTCATAAGATACTTAGATATGATAACTTGGTCATTATTCAGGGGGCACTTTTATGGAAACTGCGGGCTCCTGAACAAGTGAGAAACTCATGCTAATTTCTCCTTTTGGTTACCTGTTAAGAAGTTCTTGAACATTACACCTCCCAGTCAATTATAGTCATAAATGCCCAACCTGGAGAGGTAGAACAAGGCATTCCATAGCTCAGAGAATACCAGTTGTTTAAGAACCTGAGCCTGAAAGAGGGTAATACATTTTCCTTGATTGCCACCATCCCCAAGCCTGGGAATATTATGTGGCTATGCTACAGAGGAAGAAAATAATATTGTTGTTTGTTAATTATGTTTTATAGTATTTTTTGATAAGCCTGTAATGACCTTTCCCCAAGGTTGCTTTTTCTCTGGAATCTGCATATGCAGAACAGGGTAATCTTCTAAAGTAGAACACAAAGTTTTAGCAGTGTGAGGTGAAGTATCCTTTTCTACCTTCCCTTTGTTACACTGACTTGGGTGAATTCTCCCTACCACCCCTGGACCCTGCACTGAACTTGTCCCTTCCACCTCCTTGAGAAAGAGTGTGGGGCAAGGGACCAGGACAAATGCCAGGGGCTGCTCTGGATTGATATAATTTTATTTCAAAACTCAAGATGTGGGCTCATTCCTAATTCAACTGCACGTGTAATTATTTACTCAGTGTATTGCTTTCCATACATTGAAGACAGTCACACTTATTTGTGATGTTTGAGATTATTATAGAAGAGCATTGCTCTAGTGTCAAGTTATATTAATAGTCTGCTGTGTCAGAGTTGCCTAGACTGGACGCAAAACACTTTGGAAGCTAATTCTGATTTCCTCTTTTGTTTTTTACTTTAATCACAATTATAGTATTCACTAAATCATTTGGGAAGAAAATGGGTTTTTAAAAAGCACTTGCTTTTAAATAATTCTTTCTTTCCCCCATCTCTTTTTTCTTTTTTTCCTAATTCTCTCTCTCTCTCTCTGTCACACACACACACACACACACACACACACACAGACACACACACACACCATTGACTGCATTACTTGCTCTGATTATCTCATATGTCAATATCCCCAATTTTGGAGTTTATAATTTGAACAAATGATAATCTGCATGTCATGATGAAGAAAACTTTCCAGACTTGTTTTGAAATTCAGAAATGTACAGTTTCCTTCCAATTTTTGGTTGTTTGTTTTTTCTTTGAGCTATAGGAAAAAAATTGGAATGTAGAGGCTTTATGTAAAAATACTGTTTAATGACATGCTTAGAGGAATACACTCTGCAGAACTGTTTGCAATTATAATTTCTCTTATTAATTTTTCATATGCTTCAGAATTATTTTCCAATCCCACTGCCCCTCAATCAAGGAAGTCATGTTGGATGGAAAATAAATGGCAAAATTTGCCAGCAAATGCAAAACATAGAGATCTGGCGAAGATCTGTAAGATAACAGCAGACCTTTTGTGTTTCTTTCAATAGAGCACATTGACAAATTTAAGAAGTGGCATCTAGGTTTGAAATAAACCTAATGTCTCCCAACTTACCTTCATTGGTAGCTTCAAACACAGCTAGATCTTGCTGTGATTTTGCATGGTAGAAGAGAAAGGATGCAACCATGTCTGACCATGTCAGTTAAAGAATCAATAGCTGCTCACTTCTGTAAGGTAAGCTATCATCTTTGGACCTTCTTGAGCGCTTTCACTTATCTTCAGAAAATATAATCTGACTCAACTTGTTTCCTGGAAAGCGCAAGGGATTTTTTCCCTTTGAGTTAAATAGAAGTTAGGATTCTGTAGTCCTTTTTCATCAAGTGTGTAAGTTTAGTAGAAGCTTAACCTATAAGGATTTTTTGATCTGCAGTAGTAGATTGTAAGCACTATGCATTTTTCAGAGATACTATATACATTGATTGGGTATTTATTTTTGTATATAACCACCAATTATCTATTTTAACCATCAACTTTAATAATAATAATAATAATAGCAGCGTGGTCAGCTGAATAATAGCTCCCTAAAATATCCAGGGTCCTAATCCCTGGAACCATGAAAATTACCTTATATAGCAAAAGACACTTTGCAGATGTAATTAAGTTAAATGTCTTGAAACTAGGAGATTATTCTGGTTTATTTAGGTGGACCCTAAATGCAACGACAAGCATCCTTATGAGAAGCAGGCAAAGGGAAATTTGACATAGAAGAGAAGGCTATTTGAAGAAAGTGGAGGGAAGCAGAGAGAGAGGAATCCTATGCCACTGACTTTGAAAATGGAGAAAGGAGCTACAAACCTAAAAATACAACCAGTCACTAACAGCTGTGAAATATAAGGAAATGGATTCTCAATTGGAGTCTCCTGGGCTATGTCCTACCAACACCTGATTTTAGCCCAGTGAAACCCATTATAAACTTCTGGCCTCTGAAACTCTAAGAAAATAAATGTATGCTGCTTTTAGCCACGGCATTTATGATAATTTGTTATGGCAGCCAATAGGAAACTAATATAAGTGCTATCAATTATAGCTAACATTTATTGACCATGTGTGCTTTTAGTTATTAGTCAAGAACTGTGCTAGGAATTCTACATAGATTTTTCTAATTTTGTACTCATAAAGTGATGTAAGGTAAGTATTAAAATTACTCTCATTTTATAGGTGATGAAACTGAGACTCAGAGAAGAGCTGAGATTAATCCCATATCTGTCCAACTTCAAAATCCCTTCTCTGAAGCTGTACAGGAATGTTGTGTCCCCAAGGGGTCAATATTCCAGGAAAGAACCACTGCTGCTATAGAGAATCGCCACTCCATAGGCAGGGCAGTGCCTTGAGCTGCTCAACTAAGGATACTTATTGTTACTTCTTGATTATATGCTAAACAAGGGGTGGATTAATGAGTTTTCTGGGAATTAATAGGCAATTCCCAGAACTGAGTGTTCCTCCCCTTTTTAGACCATATATAGTAACTTCCTGATGTGTTCATGGCATCTGTAAACTGTCATGATGCTGGAGGGAGTATTTTTTAGTATGCTAACGCATTATAATTCACGTATAATGAGCAGTGAGGATGTACAGAGGTCACTTTTGTCACCATCTTCGTGTTGATGGGTTTTGGCTGGCTTCTTTACCACATGCTGTTTTATCAGCAAGGACTTTGTGACCTGTATCTTGTGCCAACCTCCTAGCTCATCCTATGACTTAGAATGCCTAACCTTCTGGGAATGCAGCCCAGTCGGTCTCAGCCTCATTTTACCCAGCCCCTATTGAAGATGGAGTTGCTCTGATTCAAATGCCTCTGATGTATCTCCCCACCCCATTTTATAAGAAAACCCTTAATCCTGAGAGTTATAGAGGGACAAAGACCCATCTTCTGTAACTTCTTCAGACTGAATAGGAGCAATGATATTCCTGCCTAACTGTTAGGGTCTCTTGTATTCAGGGTAGGGAGGAGCTCAGTCAGAAAGCATTGGTATGCTGATGGCCATTCATAACTCTTGAATTCCAACAAAAGGTAATATCCGGAAGATTAATAAGTGTTAAATTTTAAAAATATTCAGTAAGTTATCCTGCATTCCCAAACAAAGAGTATAGCAGCAATATATTCCACAACAGTAAAGCAAAATAAGCAAAATTATCCCAAGTAAACTAAACAAGAAGGCTTTCCATGAACTGGGCAACTGCTGGAACCAAGCTCATATGGGGTTCCTAACTGATTCCAATATGTGTCCAGAATTAGAATAGTGATCTGGATTTTTACATTACCCATCTCTCTTGTTTCTACTGAGCTACGGTGAGAGATCACTGGCTTGTTCACAGGACAAGCAGTCATTCTAAATTGCAGGAAAAATCTTAGAAACAACTGATGAGACTGGAATCCAATAACAAATATACCATAGTTCTTGAAGCATAATTTTTCTCTTCCCAGCTTTCCATTTTTACTAAAGACAAATCATGGTAAGACTGATTTGTTTTATTATACTTGGCCTGATTATTTGTATAAAGTGCAGCAAGAATAATTATTTTTCACATAGGATTTTAAAATTGACTTAGATGGAACTTTGTTCCATAGAAGGAATCTCAGATAAGACTTTTTTAGAGCCAAGCTCAGACATGGACTTATACCTTCAAATACCTATGAGTTACGTAAATTCTCTCCTCTTGAGGTCCCAAGATAACTTAGAGCTCCTGGGCCTGTCATAAAGTGACATTCTGTACTTACCACAGGTTGGAAACCCTGCACAAGGTCTGTGTAGACAAGGTATGAGGCTAGTTTTCCCAAGGGAATTTTATTGGCTCTGTAAGTCAAGTGTAATGCATTAAAGGAAAACATGCCATTCTAGTCAAAGCCTTGGTAAAATAACCAGTTTCTTGAATTGTGTCCTGTTACAAAAGAAAACATCCTTATTGTACTTATCCAAATAACTATATTGACCTAAGAATATTGATAACTAGTTTTCAAATTCTGGAGAAATCAGGTAGAGAGAAACAAATATGCTCCAAATTTTGTTTACAGGAGTGTACTTTACTTAACTGTTAAAAGCTATACATAGCTCAAAAGTTTTTTGACTCTGAAAATCAATCAGCAACATTTTAAGTAAAGTCAAAAAGATTTCTTCAATCTTCTATTAGCTCAGTCTATGCACTTAACACCATCCTGTTTGATATTCACAAATATTTTAGTTGTCCATGAGTCCTGAAAGTCTTTCCTCTATTCTGATGTTACAATCTTCAATCTTATCAGAAACCTGCATTCAAGAGCACCTGCCAAATTCCTGTAGTGATTATAAGCCATCTTCTAAAGAGGATCAAAACAAGACAACAATTGCCTGTGGATGACAAAAGTCTTAGGGCAGCCATATTAAAACTGCAATTGAAAGGGAAATTTCAGTTATTTCTGTGGCATATAAAAATTTTACATAACAATTATAACTATTAACAACATACACTAAGTCTAGAATTGTAGGAGTTTTTCATCATTTTGGAACACATATTTATTTATAATATATTTGTACAAATATAACCCAATAACATATTTATGCAAATATAACCCAAAGAAAGCCAAACACTGTTTCATATTTGATGATGCTTCCTGTATGGATTTTATACCAAATAAGCCAAACTTCACCTTTACATTAGGGTACTACTAATGTTAAACCCAATTCTTAATAAAACCTTATAGACAAATTTACTCAATCTTAATCAGTTTGACCATAAGGTAAGATCTTTATAAACTTTTTTTCCTCACCTCCCCAGCAAAATGGATCAAAAACCTTTTATAATCCTTTACAATTTTTGTGAAAGAGCAGATCAGTGCTCTGAGAAAAACGTGCTGTGCTTTTATTCCAATGTTCAATTACAGAAAAAGTGAATACTCCTTTAACTTCAGCCAATATGTTCACACACAGAATTTCTTTTATGAGCTTAATTTTTCACAAACCTTCCACAACTTGCTCAAACATTCAGCTTTTCTTACACACCTTGCATGTAAAACTGTCTTTATTTCCCAAAGATTACTAATCATGTGAACTAAAAGACATTATAGTTTTCATTTTTCTGATAAAATAGTGATTTAAGCTCTTATTTTTAAACCAATTAATAAAAGGTCTTTTATATCACACACACACAGCATATATAAATACACTGACAGACACAAGATTTAGTAATTGTAAGGTTTTTTTATTTGTCAGTTTCTTAATTGGATTACTGGCTCCAGAGTGGAGTCCTTGGAGGAACAGGGTCAGGAAAGGATGCAGTTTCTACAGCCTAATAAGCAGGCACAGCTGGAAGGCAAAACAGAGCCACCAAAATTAAGGGTCCCATTTTATACCAGATCCTAAATCCCCCCACCCAAACAAGAAGGAATCAGCTCATCTTCCATGGGAGTCTTATGTCTCAGTTGAAGATAA
Organism: Homo sapiens; assembly: GCF_000001405.40. Classification (NCBI taxonomy): domain Eukaryota; kingdom Metazoa; phylum Chordata; class Mammalia; order Primates; family Hominidae; genus Homo; species Homo sapiens. Next base: position 111,349,073 of record NC_000003.12, read on the forward strand.
GAAGGTATTTCCATACCTTCAAGGTGGCCAAGAGCATGCTTCTCTAATCCAAACATGCAAAGAACTAAGTATTCACCCATAACTGCCATCAGCCATTCCTAAAAGGATATTTCCTACCTAGTTATTACACTCCAAATCTCTCCCATAAGCAAAGTTATTTCTGATACCAACAAAAGTAAAAAAAAAAAAAAATCAGATAATGCAATGCAAAACAGAATAAAGCCTTAGATTTTGAAAGGGATCTATTCGCTTTCAATTCCTAGGTTTCCAAGATGGAAACAGGGTTTTTTCCCAATATGTGGTCTCTGGCACCTCTGGCACCTCACTTTTTTCCCAAGGAGTCCCAGGCTCTTAAAGCTTGAATATCCACTTTTAGACTTTTAATCATAGCACTCTTCAAAAAAATTCTTTAAAATTTCTTATTACTCACCGTCAGCCATGCCAAACCACCAATATTTCTGGCTTTTGAATTTTACCACAGGTAAACTGCCAGGTGCTCACAGAAAGCAAAATTCAAGATAGTTTATGGAAAGGAAGAGAATCAACAAATGTTCATGCAGATATCAAATCAGAATGGACTCATTCCCTAAGCTGGGAATTGAACCCAGGCTGCCATTTTGAAAAGACAAAGCCCTAGCTGCTGAGCTACAGCATTGGGCAGTCTCCATTGCCCTTCCCATGAGGATCCTAGAGCAGACAATTTTGAGCTTGCAAATGATTTTAACTGCTCAAGGTAACTTTTAGGGCTAACTATGACATGGACCCCAAAATTCCTATTTGCTGGAGGTTGGAAATCAAGAGAAATCAAGAGAAAGTAACCACATGGTTACAAGGTCAAGTGTCCAAAGATATAAAACAAGACAAAAGGGGGCCAGGCGCAGTGGCTCAAGCCTGTAGTCCCAGCACTTTGGGAGGCCGAGGTGGGCAGATCACGAGGTCAGGAGATTGAGACCATCCTTGCTAACACGATGAAACCCCTTTTTTACTAAAAATACAAAAAAATTAGCCGGGCTTGGTGGTGGGTGCCTGTAGTCCCAGCTACTCAGGAGGCTGAGGCAGGAGAATGGCGTGAACCCAGGAAGTGGAGCTGGCAGTGAGCTGAGATCACACCACTGCACTCCAGCCTGGGCGACAGAGCAAGACTCCATCTCAAAAAAAAAAAAAAAAAAAGACAAAAGGAACACCTCATCCAGTTGTTTTTTTTTTCAGGGACCTGCAGGAAAGTTTACAACTGACCAGTTTGCTAGGCCATCTTGAACAGTGGGCTTACGGGTGTCCTAGGTCTGCATTCTATCCTAAGGTACCCCTTTTAATGACAGAACCATACAGAAAGACACACAAAGCACATCAGATTTGCTATAGCTTAAGACTGGCCTCTTTTTTCCCCATTAATCAACACTTTCCTGTGGTAGGGGAAGGCGAAGAGCTCAGGGAGGCCAGAGAAAGACCCAACCATCCCAGCTAAACTGAATCAAAAGTTCAGGCGGCTGCTTGTCGGTCAAGAAGGGAACCTTTCCAGCAGTCCCATTGGCTCTTTAGTTTCCCCTTTGGGGAGGAAAAAGCTCTCACGTTCCATGGTCCTGTACATTCCTAATTCTGTCACCCATAGCCATCAGCAAAGAAATGCAAGGCAGCTTAATCCAAAGATAATGATGGTTAACATTCCATAGTGCCAAATCCGTTTTTAGCCAAGAGGAACTTTACTGAGAGGGGCCTCTAACCCCCTAAATCTTAGGACTTTAATCCTCCTAAGTTGGGCCTTGAACCCAAGTTTAATCAGGCATCCTTCTCTTTCATTAAGAGGGGCCTTTAACCTGCTTTGTCTTAGGAAAAACTCTAGCTCCCCTAAGTTGGGTCTCTAACCCAATTCCATCTTTTTCCTGGGTACCCCACCACTTACCCAAAGTTAGCCAATTGATGCTGCAGTCTATTTCCTTTGGGTCAGGGATCTCCTCAGTATCATCCCTTTGGGGTTCACCAGGAAGGTGTTACCAGAAAGAAATCAAGACTCAGACCCCAAGAGAGGGTTCTTGGATCTCGTGCAAGAAAGAATTCAGTGCAAGTTCATAGAGTAAAGTGAAAGCAAGTCTATTAAGAAGGTAAAGGAATAGAGAATGGTGACTCCATAGACAGGTCAGCCGGAGACATAGCTTCTTATGTCACTGACAGCAGATTGAAATAATCATTCATTCTTCATAGATATTCTGAGTGCATAAAGTTCCTACTATCTTGCAACTTACAATCTTGTGGGAAAAATAGATAAGCAGATTCAAAGTTGAGTCTTTTGTAAGGATAACCTTAGGGGTATGAGTGGGATATTATGCACAAACATATAAAGAACATGGGCTTGTGATGGTGACACTAGTAGTATGAAGCTGGAGTGGGCATTACAAAAGCCTTCCTGAGGTAGTGACATTTGAGCTGACTGTTGAATGAGAAATAGGAACTGTCCAGCTAAGAGAAAGCTGAAGGCCCTTCAGGCAGAGAGAGCAGCATACTCTAAGGCTCTGAGGCAAAGGAAACTGCGGAAACTTGAGCAAATTACAAGTCATTTGTTGTGACAGTAAGGGCTGCATTTGGCAGGGAGGGAGGATACAGTAGGTAGGAGGTGATGAAAAAAGTAGCTGGAGAGGAGGCCAGGAGCCAGTCTAAATAAAAAGGCACTTGAAAGTTTCAGTTCTACTGCATCCTTTTTCTCAGATCATACTCTCTCTTTAGCTCAGTCTAATCTGTACTCTCCCTTAATTAGTTCAGGCAATCCACTCTTTCTAAGGTTGCCAATTACCTCCACTATATCCAAGGGATATTTTCTAGACCCTTGTTTTATTTGACCTCTCAGAAGAGTTTGACACAGCTGGCCACTCTCCTTGAAAGGCACTCTTTCTTAATTAAGCCTCTCTGGTACCATGCAAGGCTTCTCTGACTGCAATTCAGGTTTCCTTATAAGTCCATACTCCTCTACCCAATTTTTAAATGCTGGACTTCTCCAAGGTTGGGTCCTGAGTTTCTCTTATGTTCTCACTTTACTCTGTCATCCTCCATGTAGGTCAGGCACTTCTGCTATATACTTTCATAACATTAAAGCTTTTTCATCATAACATTCTGGTTTGTAATTTTGAACAGAATCAATGAAAATCAATTACCCACCACTCCCTCAATGTTTGGTTTAGTGTACACACTCATTACATATTGGCTGAATAATTAAATGAGTAAATTGTACAATAGCAGAGAAGAAACATTGAGGCATCTCAATTTGATCATATTTGCATGGGTATAATGTGATGAATAAATGAGAGCAAGGCAAGATTGGAGGCAATTAGAAAGCTGTTGTAATAACCCAAGTGAGAAATATGTGGATCAAAACTAAACAAGCAGCTGTGGAGGGGCAGAAATTAGACATATTTGAGAAATATTTATGAGGTAGAATTCATAAAATCTGGTGATCAACTTAATGTGAGGACCAAAGGAAAGATAACAAGAATTTTATAGGTTTATAGCTTAGGTGGTTATGCAATTCACTGACATAGATGCTATATGGGAGAAGAAGCTGGGTATAGATTAAATATTATAAATTTAGATTAAGATACATTAAGTTTGAGATCCCTATAGTGGACACATGCCCAGATTTTTGATATGTGGTTCTGGCCTGATGTGGTTTGGCTGTGTTCCCACCCAAACCTCATGTTGAATTGTAGCTTTCATAATTCGCACATGTTGTGGGAGGGACCCAGTGGTAAATATTTGAATCATGGGGGTGCTTTCCCGCATACTGTTCTCATGGTAGTGAATAAGTCTCATGAGATCTGATGGTTTTATAAGTGGAAACCCCTTTCTCTTGGTTCTAATTCTCTCTCTTGCCTGCCACCAATGTAAGATGTGACTTTCACCTTCTGCCATGATTGTGAGGCCACTCCAGCCATGTGAAACTGTGAGTCCATTAAACATCTTTTTCTTTATAAATTACCCAGTCTCAGGTATGTCTTTATCAGCAGCATGAAAATGGGCCAATATGCGCATTCAGGAGAGGAAACTGCAGATACAAATTTTTTATTAGGAGAAATTTGGATTTGTATTCACCTTCCCCTTCCACTTATTTTTTTCTTTTGTCGTCCCAAAGCAAACATTGAATAGTTGAAATACAAATAAATTTATTCATTTTTCTGCTTCCTATCTGAAAGGAATTGAGGCAACACTACAGGCCTTAATTAAATGCACTGTGGTGGAAGAGAACTTTTTATACCAACTACTATGGCTTGAGTGTTTATCCCCTCCAAAATTCATGTTGAAATTTAACTGCCATTGTGATGGTATTTGGAGGTGAGATCTTTAAATGGGGTTTAGGTCTTGAGGCCTCTGCCTTCATGAATGAACAAATGCCATTATCGTGAGAGTGGGATTGTTATTGTGGGAGAGGGTTTGTTATTGTGGGAGTGGATTTGCTTCCTTTTCCTCTCTCTCCCTCTTTCTCTTTGTCTTACCCTCTCATTGCCCTTTAGACATGTGATGACTTACACTGTGTTATGATGCAGCAAGAAGGCCCTCACCAGATGCCGGCTCCTTAGTCTTGGACTTCCCATTCTCCAGATCTATGAGTAATAAATTCTAATCATTATAAATTACCCAGTCTGTGGTATTATCTTCTTGCATTATAAAATGGACTAAGACATAAGCCTTGTTAGAAAAAAGCCAATATGGCCTTCTTTTTTGCCATCAAAATATATAGGTTTTCATAGTGGATGTACATTATACAGTAAGAAGTTCAGCCTCAAGTAGGTTTGTTGAGATTTGGCTGGAAAAGCTTTATTAATAAAACATATCAAAGTATTTTAAAATTATAGTATCAAAAAGCTATACCTGAACTGGGGTTTTGCAGTTTCAGCACTTGGCTATTATGGCGTGGCAGTAATGAACTCTGATTTGGGCTGTGAGAGAATGAGCTAAGAGAAGAAAAAGGCAATGTCATAATTTTCTGCTGATAAGCTCTCTCCACATTCTGGTAAGATTCACAAACAAGGCTTAGTGGATCTAGGTATATGTGTAAAGTGCTACGGTTGTTATATAGTCTTAATAAGTAGAATTCAAAATGAACTTCAACAGAAATTTTCAAATCTTCTAATCATCCAGAAATCCTTGCCTAAACTCTTCAGGGCAGGATGGTTTTGAATCATTATATATCTACACAATGACTTCATTTTGTCCTCATATCGAGCTCTTGAGAATGTAATAGCCCAAGGTCTCCTGGTTTATCTATTTTTTTCGTGTTATGGGTTGAATTATATACCCCACAAAAGATATGTTGAAGTCTTAACCCCCAGTACCTGTGTGTATGATCTTATGTTGAAATAGAGTCTTTGCCTATATAATCAAGTTAAGATAAGGTCATTACAGTGGATTCTAATTCAATATGACTGATCTATTCATAAGAAGAGGAAAATATCATGTGGAGACAAAAACACAGAGTAAGTGCCCTGTAATAAATGCAACTGAAACCAAAGAACACCAAAGATTGATAGTCACCACCAGAAGCTAGAAAGAGGCAAAGATGTTCTTAAAGGGAGCATGGCCCTGCCCGGCTGATACCTTGATTTTGGACTTCAAGCTTCCAGGACTGTGAGAGTATAAATTTCTATTTTTGTAAACCATCCAGCTGTGTCACTTTGTTATGGTAGCCCTAGGAATCTAATACAGCACGTGAAGAAAAGGTTGTCATTTGACAGCCAAAAGGACAAGAGGCAGGACATTATAAGAATCTCCCAAAATATTCTACTTCTCAATTTTTCTTAATTATTGGGAAGAATGGATTAAATACCCTTTAAGGCACTGTATAACCTTGTATTAGACTATTATTCAAAGCAATAATATGAAAGGAGGAGGATGGTATTTCTTTGACCAGGGAATATCCTGAAATTTCTAAAATGATGACGTTCAATGTGACACAGACTAGTGTCTGTAGCTTCAAAGTAAAGACATTTTAAGAGTTTGGAACCTGCCCTACAAAGATTTAATTGATTTCTAATTTATATAATGTATCACTTTTGTTGTCAAATTTGCTTAATTTCTGAAGAAAAGGCCTCTTCATCTTGTACAGGAATACTTTGTTTTATTGTGCTTTGTTTTACTGCACTTAGCAGATATTGTGGTGGTGTTTTTTTCACTAAAGTTTGTGACAACCCTACACTGAGAAAGTCTTTCTGTGCCATTTTTCCAATAGCATGTGCTTATTTCTGTGTCACATTTTGGTAATTCTCACAGTATTGCAAACTATATTATTATTATTATCATCATCATCATCATCATCATCATCATCAGTATAGTCGTCTGTGATCAGTGATCTTTGATGTTACAACCATAATTATTTTGGGCACAAAGAACCATGCCCACTGTAGATGGTGAACCTAATCAATAAATGTTGGGTATTCTCACTGCTCTAATGACAGGCCTTTCCCCATCTCTCTTTCTTTCCTTGGACCTTCCTATTCCCTGAGACAGAGCAATACTAAAAGTAAGCCAATTAATAACCCTATAATGGCTTCTAAGTGTTAAAGTGAAAGAAAGAGTCACATGTCTGTCACTTTAATTCAAAAGCTAGAAATGATGAAGCTTAGTGAGGAAGGCATGTTGAAAGCTGAGATAGGTTTCTTGCACCAAAAAGAGCCAAATTGTGAATTCAAAGGAAAAATTATAGAAGGAAATTGAAAGTACTACTCCAGTGAATGCACAAATGATAAAGTGCAACAGTCTTAATGCTAATATAAAGAAAGTTTTAGTGGCTTGAATAGATTAAAATATTCACAATATTCCCTTAATCCAAAGCAAGACCCTAACTCTCTTTAATTGTATGAAGGCTGAGAGAAGTGAGGAAACTATAGGAGAAATGTTTGAAGTTAGCAGATGTTGGTTCATCAGGTTTAAGGAAAGAAGCCATTTCCATAACATAAATATACAGGGAAAGCAGCAAGTTATACAGAAGATCTAGCTAAGATAATTGGTGAATGTGGCTGCACTAAACCACAGATTTTCAATGTTGACAAAACAGCCTTCTATTAGAGGAAGATGTCGTCTAGGATTTTCATGGCTAGAGAGGAGAAGTTAATGCTTGGCTTCAATGCTTCAAAGAATGGGCTGACTGTCTTGTTAGAGGTTAATGTAGCTAGTGACTTTAAGTTGAGGCCAATGCTCATTGACCATTCCAAAAATACTAGGGCCCTTAAGAATTATGCTAAATGTACTCTACCTATGTTCTATCAATGAAACAACAAAGGCCACATACTAGCACATCTTTTTACGGCATGATTTGCTGAATATTTTAAGTCCACTGTTGAGACTTACTGCTTAGAAGTTTCCTTTTAAATATTACTGCACATTGTAAATGCACCTTGTCACCCAAAAGCTCTTATGGAGATATACAAGGAGATGAATAATGTTTTCATGCCAGTTAACACAACATTTATTCTGCAGTCCATGGATCAAGGAGTAACTTTGACTTTCAAGTCCTACTATGTAAGAAATACATTTTGTAAGGCTATAACTGCCATAGATAGTGATTCCTCAGATGGATCCAGGCAAAGAAAATGGAAAACCTAGAAAGGATTTACCATTCTATGTGCCATAAAAAACCATTTTGTGGTTCATGAGAGAAGGTGGAAATATCAACACTAACAAGAGTTTGGAAAAAGTTGGTTGTAATCCTCATGGATGACTTTGAGGGGTTCAAGACTTCAGTGGAGGAAGTAACTGCAGACGTGGTGGAAATAGCAAGACAATTAGAATTAGAAGTGGATCCTGAAGATGTGAATGAACTTTTGTAATCTTATGATAAAACTTGAATAAATGAGGAGTGGCTCCTTACGGGTGAGCAAAGAAAGTTATTTTTCTTGAGATGGAATTTATTCCTGGTAAAGATGATGTGAACATTGTTGAAATGTCAGTGAAGGATTTAGAGTATTACATAAGCTTACTTGATAAAGCAGTGGCTAGGTTTGAGAGGATTGACTACAATTTTGGAAGAGCTTCTACTGTGGATAAAAAATTGTAGTGAAAGTAAGAGTTAATCAATGCAGCAAACTTCATTTTCATCTTATTTTAAAAAATTCCCCACAGCTACCTCAGCCTTCAGCAACCACCAACCTAATCAGCCAGCAGCCAGCAATATTTAGGCAAGATACCCCACCAGCAAAAAGATTATGGTTTGCTGAAGGCTCAGATGATTGTTAGAGTTTTTATTGGTATTCTTTAATTAGAGTATGTACAATTTTTAGACATAATGCTGTTGCACACTTGAGATTATAGTATAGTGTAAACATAACTTTTATATGCACTAGAAAATAAAAAAATGTGTAACTTGCTTTAATGCCATATTTGCTTTATTTAAATGGTCTGGAACTAAACAAGCAACATCACTGAGATTTTCCTCCATTATTAAAATATTAATAAATATTACAAAATATATAAATAATATTTTATGTAATGTCATATAAGATTGCTCTGTTTTAGCATATCAGAGTAACTAGTCCCAAGCTATCCCAGGTTATTGGATCTAAGGATAATAATCCTGGCCTTCATAAGTTTTAATCCAAACACTGAATATAATACCTCACATGAGTACTAACAGTAACCTTAGTATGTTTAAGTTAAACTGACACTTGTAATTTATCAACCACTGTTATATTTTTCTTGTTTTTTCAAATGTCAGAGGACATTTTTAAGAATGTGTAACAAATAGAACTAAGTGGAAAAAGTAATACCCCTGGTGAGGTGGTGGCTAGTAAGGGGACAGTTGCAAAGGTAATACAACTTATTGAAGAACAAAAGTAAACTGACACTTCTGACATCATATTGAATAACTTCCAGTCTTAACTCTTTACACAATTTGGAGTCTGTAAAAAAAATTATACTGTGTATTTGAAGGCACAATTATAATATCGGTTATTACCTCACTAGTAACAATTCTTCCCATATAGACTTGAAAATTCTATACCATAACTCATTAACATGAGTTTCATTTTCCCAAACATATAAAAGCAATTTTTTAAATTCCCGTGGTGGTTTCTACTCAGTCCTCTACATTAGGTTGTTGAGTAGTTGCAGCTCAGTGGAAGGCCTGCTTCCTACAGTGTCTCTTTCTTGTGCACCATGTTTCCTGGCTTCAGAAATGTCATTTAATCTTAGATAGTCTCAGAGCACTTTGGTGTAATCACCTGAAACTTATTTAGATTTAAGGAGAAAATCTATCTTTCCATGTCATAGTCTTCCAAGTCCTTCTGCTAAAAAGGTTCAAAGGTCAATGCCTTACCCTATGGAGCCCTCCAATTACATTAGATTCATTTTTCTGAACTTGGAGTGCGAAAAGGAGTTTCTCTGAGACTTCTGTTGTTCAGAATAACAGTGAACTGAATAGATTGCCCAATTACTAGAGACAGATTTATTTTACACTCTATTTTGCTGGAGATGCGCCATTATACTTTGTTTATACAATAATTCATACCTATGTGGACAAATTATGTCTATATAATGAAACCCTTTAGGCCAGCTTAGGGAAGGTCTAAACCAATTATTATAGTGTTTGTTTCAATGTATATATGACCTTCCTTGTTTACTACAATAGGATAGTTTCTCTTCTTCAGTTGTCTATATTCTCATGTAGCCTAGCTTCTTTCCCAAATATTGTTCAAGTGTATATGTTTTGTAATTTTATAAATCAGAGCTCCATACTCACTGGCCTCCCTATTCATACTGCACCATGACAAGGTGATGTGCTTTGGCTTTGTGTCCCTGCCCAAATCTCATGTTGAATTATAATCCCCAATGTGGGAGGTGGGGCCTGGTGGGAGGTGATTGGATCATGGGGACGAATTTCCCCCTTTGTTGCTGTTCTCACAACAGAGTTCTCACAATATTTGACTGTTTAAAAGTGTGTGGCAACTTCCCCTCTCTCTCTTCTGTGCTGGCCGTGTGAATGTGTGCCTGCTTCCCCTTCACCTTCTTCCATGATTGTAAGTTTCCTGAAGCCTCCCCAGCCATGCTGCCTGTACAGCCTGTGGAACCATGAGCGAATTAAACCCCTTTTCTTTATAAATCACCCAGTCTCAGGCATTTCTTTATAGCAGTGCAAGAACAAACTAATACAGAAAATTGGTACCAGGAGTGGGACATTGCTAAAAAGATACCTGAAAATCTAAAAGCAACTTTGGAACTGGGTAATGGCACAGGTTAGAACAGTTTGGAGGGCTCAGAAGAAGACAGGAAGATGAGGGAAAGTTTGGAACTTCCTAGAAACTTGTTGAATGGTTGTAACCAAAATGCTGATAGTGATATAAACAGTGAAGTCCAGACTGAGGAGGTCTCAGATAGAGATGAGAAACATATTGGGAAATGGAGCAAAGGTCATTTTTGTTAATCTCTAGCAAAAAAGTTGGTCGCATTGTGCCCCTGCTCTACAGATCTGTGGAACTTTGAACCTGAGAATGATGATTTAGGGTATCTGGCAGAAGAAATTTTTAAGCAGCAAAGGATTCAAGGAACGGCCTGGCTGCTTCTGGCAGCCTAATGCCCATATTCATGAACAAAAAAATAACCTGAAACTGGAACTTATATTTAAAAAGGAAGCAGAGCATAAAAGTTAGGAAAATTTGCAGCTCGGCTGCATGGTAGAAAAGAAAAGCCCATTTTCAAAGGAGCAATTGAAGCTGGCTGTAGGCTGTTGAAATCTGCATAACTAAAAGGAAGGCAAGTCCTAAAGCCAAGACAATTGGAAAAAGGCCTTGGAAGCATTTCAGAGACCTCTGTGGCAGCACCCTCCCCACCACAGCCCTGGAGGCCTAGAAGGAAAGAATAGTTTCATGGGCCAGGCCCAGGACCACACTGCTCTGTGCAGCATTGGGACACTGGTCCTGGCATCGTGGCCACTCCAGCACCACCCATGGCTAAATGGTACAGCTTGGGCCATTGCTTTAGAGGGTGCAAACAAAAAGCCTTGGTAGCTTTCATGTGGCATTAAACCTGTGGGTGCACAGGGTACAAGAGGTGAGGTTTGGGAGCCTCCACCTAGATTTCAGAAGATAATGGAATAGCCTGGGTGTCCAGGCAGAAGTCTGCTGCAGGAGCAAAGTCCTCATTGAGAACCTCTACAAGAGCCACGCAGAGGAGAAATGTGGGGTTGGAGCCCCCACACAGAGTCCCCACTGGGGCACTGCCTAGCAGAGTTGTGGGAAGGCCACTACCCTCCAGACCCCAGAATGGTAGATCCACCAACAGCTTGCACCATGCACTTGGAAAAGCCACATATACTCAATGCCAGCCGTGAAAGCAGCCACAGGTACTGAGCCCTGCAGAGACCCCGGGACAGAGCTGCCCAAGGCCTTGGGAACCCACCCCTTGCACCAGTATGTCCTGATTGTGAGATACGCAGTCAAAGGAGATTATTTTGGAGTTTTAAGATTTAATGACTGTCCTGCTGGTTTTCAGACTGGCATGGGGACTGTACTTATATCCCCATTGTATCTTGGATGTAACTATCTTATTTTTAAGTTTACAGGCTCATAGGTGGAAGAGACTGGCCTTGTCTCAGATGAGGCTTTGAGCTATGAACTTTTGGGTTAATGTTGAAATGAGTTAAAACTTTGGGGAACTATTGAGAAGGGATGATTGTATATTGCTGTATGAGAAGGACATGTGATTTGGGAAGGTCCAGGAGCAGAATGACATGGTTTGGATTTGTGTCTCTGCACAAATCTCATGTTGAATTGTAATTCCCAATGTTGGAGGTGGGGCTTGATGGTCAGTGATTGGATCATAGGGGTGGGTTTCACCCTTTGGTGCTGTTCTCATGATAGAGTTCTTATGAGATCTGGTTGTTTAAAAGTATGTGGCACTTCCCCATCTCTCTTTTTTCTCCTCTCCTGGCCAGGTAAAGACATGCCTGCTTCCCCTTCACCTTCTGCCATGATTGCAAGTTTCCTAAAGCCTCCCCAGCCATGCTTCCTATACAGCCTATGGAACTGTGAGCCAATTAGACCTCTTTTCTTCATAAATTACCAGGTCTCAGACATTTTGTTATAGCAGTGTGAGAACAGACTAATACAGAAGGAGAGGACAATACCTATCTCAAGAGACTCTGGGTCTAGTTCCCCTTTATAGGCTGAATATCCTCCTTAATACCATAACATTCATTGTTTTTCTATGTTTTGAGAGGAATGGAAAAACAAATTATGACTTAAGTAGTCCCATTAAGATCTATGTGCACCTTTCTAAACAATGTGCATCCCACAGCATTGTAGCAAATAGAACATGTAATATTTTCTAAATGAAAACTTGTGTTTCAATGTTGCTAGTATAGGAAAGAAAGAAAAATCTGACTACTCTCCCTATTTATGAGATGATGGGTTTACTGTTAGTGTCATCACCACAAATTGTACCTGCCTTCAGAGAGGCTATACCAAGGGTTGATGTATTCTCTCCCTTCGAAGCACATGTCTTGTTTTGAGAAAACTCTGTAACTACTTTATACAAAGGTTAGAGGTCTAAATCTGCTCCAATATCTAAGCGAGAAGTATATTGAAAAAAAGGCTGGAACTGAGGTGAATATGTGAATGTAAGGTAACATTACTCAAAGTCATGATGAATAAGGAATAGAATAACACCAGACTGGTCTCTAGCTCTCTTGATAACCTAAAAGGTCTGCCTCATAGCTTATTATAAAAACAATACAAAACAAAACAAAAAATAAGTCTAACTCAGAGAGATGATCCATCCCTACGTTGGCCAGCGTTTACACACATATACACTAAGCATCACCTCTCCTGGTTCGTCCTTCCTCTTCCTTTTAGAGATAGCAGTATCCACATGCTAATCCACCTGGTTACTTTCTTCAAAACTCAAGTCAAACATCACCATCACCATGAGGCATTTTCCAAAGTTAAAATGCTTTCTCATCAGGGTTCTTATTACAACCTGCATGCATCCTCCCGATAACCCCAGTTGCATTGTTTTTATCACAGTGCCTAGCACATGGTACTTAAGAGTTGTGTGGTAAATGAATAAGTCAACCTTATCAAGTACCCTCTGAAGGCCATGTGATTGGACAGGGAGGACCTAATTCAAGAATCTCTTAGCATTATGACTTGCTAAATCAAATTATAGAATATTTCAAAACTTAAAATTTAAACAAATACTATCAATTTCAGTAAAAATGGAAATCAACAGAACTAAATCTACCAAAGACTCTGTAGGAGCAGAATAGGAAATAAACTCTCCCTCCACAAGCATGAAGAATACTATTTGTGGGATTATGACTATGATGATTTTTTTCCATTCATTTATATAACATGGTGTCTTAGCTGCATGCTGTCCAGTGGGCCTTGACACCAGCTTATCCATGTCTCCTTTCTGTTTATTGTGGTCCCCCCAACCCCATTCTGGTCAAATTATCTGTTGCAGGAATGCTTTCATGCTCTTTATAGCAGCATTTGCATATTTTTTCATTTCCATAGAAACATCTCCACTGACTCAGAACTGCCTCTGTCCTCTTAAAACAGAGATATTTATCTTTCAAACAGTGGAATATGCATGACATAAGACAGAAGGGAGTGCTTTCCCCGTAGTCCTCAACTTAGACTCTCCTGTTTAAAGGAATTTATAGTGGTCTGCCTTTAGGTTATTTATTTATATTTTGCTCCATGACTGCTTTTTCAGTAATGAGTTTAAATATAAGCAACATAAACCCATCTGGAAATAAAATTATGCTCAAGCTTCATGACAGAAGATAATTACATTATAATCAAGCTGTCATTTTTGGAGGTAGTAGGAGAAGAAGCATGTTGTAAACTGACATGAAAGTCTATACACTGTTCTTTTGAATATCCTCCACTGTGGCTGGGAGTACAAAGATTCCTGGTGCATAATATCAGACTTCATAACTGGAAAATTTCTGGAAGTTACCAAACACTTATTTTCTGAGGGTAATGGCTACTAGTACCCAGAGGACCAGAATCAGAATTTCTGTGCTCTGAATTAGAACTCAGATTAGCTACAATAAAACCACTTGGATTGTGCTCAGTTTCAAAACATGAGCCTCAATTTGTTCAAGTTTCTAACTTATCTTTATTCTTGGATTATTAATTTACTTCTTAGGTTGAAGTTATTTTTCACTACTCTGAGTTCAGTTTTCTCTTGCAACAATGAGATAGATTACTGGTTTTTCATGGATGAGAGGATTTTTTCCTCTTTCCTGAGCTTCAGATAGCTTCTATAAAAAAACAACAGTATACTTCCAACTCTGTACTTGGCTATCCCATCAGGAGAGGATAAATGATATAACTGAGATATGAACAGAACAGAGATGGGCTTATCAGAAAAGGTGCTGCCAATACTTGTCCCTTGTTATTGCCTCTGTCACAATGGAGAACACGTCACTTCAGAGGAAATCTATTGGTCAAGGAGTCCCAGGAGAGCAGCCTTCTGTTGTCTCCTTTCCTTGAGACTATCATTGCCCAAAGGGATCAGAGAATGCTTGTACTAGGGTACCATGACCCCGTAGTCCCAGGCTTCACCTCCTGGGACTCTGTAAGCCCCTGACTCACACTGACAGCACAGTCACTAACTATAAGTCACTTTGCATTCCCCAGCCTCTCTGAAGTCAAGGTACTAATATTTTCTAGTCCGCACTTACCTTCCTCGCCTCTAGCTTTCACTCATATTTCTTGGTGAATTTCAAACAAGGCCAGCAGTATTTTTCTTTTCCAGTGGAAAGGTATGGTCCTCAGCCCAGCAGTATCATCTTCTGGGAGTTTGTTAGGCAGAATATAAACCCAGCCTCACATCTTCCCACAATCAGAATCTGTATTTTAAGAGGCTCATCAGGCAACGTATATGCACACTGAAGTTTTAGATACACTGTAATTAGTAGGTTCAAACTACTAGCTGGTGTGATTTAGCTTTGGCTTTGCTGCACCCACCCCCAATAGGCCAAGAATCAGGTATACATAGTATATGCCACTGTTTATTGGACTAGTCTCTGTATGTAGGACGTGCCCTGGATTTCTGCCACATCCAAAGCCCTACCCAGAAGCCCAGGCTCTGCTAGGGTCTATACTGCTTAGTTCCTATCACCATCACTGGTGATGTATTTGGTGGTGGAAGGCTAGACACTGTCTCTGATTTCTGGTTGTTTCTTCTCTCAATGGGCAGGTGATCAGAAACTATGACTGTCACGAAGCTGATGGCCACTAGCTCCTGCCATCTGTCCTTCTGTTCTGTGACCACTTCTCACTGGACTGCCTTGTATATTGATGATGGCAGTTCAAACTAAGAATGACTTCATCTGTTCATGATATAGGACAGAAGTGCTAAGAAAGGCACTATTTCTGGTCATCATATGTTAATGGCCATGCCAGTATCTTCTAAATGTAATCATACTATCCCTGTTTTCTTCATTTTTTTCCTAGAGCCCAGTGCAGCTGAAATCCTAGAAGACCTCACAACTGTGTTAAATTTTCACAGCTGACCACTTAAAGGCAGTTCTCTTCAAATAAGAGGTGAGAAGACCTGGAGTCTGGAGCAAACTGACATATATTTATTTCCTCCTACTCTGGAAGGTTGGGCTCCCAGTCATCTTTTCTGCAAAATATTTGACTCAGTAGACCCTGGAAATGCAATATATGGGTATTCAACCTGTAGATCCTGAGAGGATTAATGGTTGAATAATGTGCAAAGCCTTAACTGAAAACAAAACAAGAATAAATAAGAATGACTATGAAGAGTATGATTTCCTTGTGGTTTCTTCATCATGAGACACAGACGAGGATTCTTTAGAAAATTAAGGTTGATTTCAAAAGGAAACTTCTCTTTCAAAAGGAAAATTATCTAAAAAACATCATAGGTTGAAAGTCAAGTGTGGGACACCTGATTCTTCTATGTTTGCTACATAGCAGAGATGGATCTGACTTGTACCTTGCAAAAGGGAATTACCTAACATATTAATGTGTTCTAGAACCCTAGGATGGTTCCAAACATTGACCCTGGCCATGATGTTTCAGAGGGTTAGATTTGGCATGAAGGACAGAGCCACACAAGTTTGCTGTCATCCACTAAGCTATCAGAATTAACATGCTTTCTACATTAGCACCGGATGGCAAGCAACATTGTTGAGAAACATGCCTTTGATTACTATTTGGTTTTCATAAATGTCTCTCCCTACTTTTGTCACCTATATTAGGATTTGGTTAATGATTAAAAAAAATTAACTAGAATAAGTAAAAAGAGAAAGAAGGAGGCTATGTTGGGCAAAACAAGCAGATGGGATTAAAAAACAAAGTCATTTAGACTGAAAGAACCTCAAAGAAAGACCCAATGATGAAACACACACAAACATGCACATACACATACACATACACATGCCCATGCACATATATACATCTACTTATAGGAACTAATTGTATATTAATTCCATGCCTCAGAACATGGAACACACCACTGAGTTATGGGCAAGGGTCCTGGAAGCAGCATCAGTGCCTCTGTTTAGATTTCTGCTCTCTTTGACATCTCTACATCTTGGAAACAGTATGTTATAGAGTAATAATAATACCTAAGTTTATTGTGCACTTGTTATATTTCAGGCCTTGTATTGAACACTGTATGTGTATTAAATCTTTTATATACAACTACAAGTAAGGTTTCAGATCCCATGGTCTTTTTTTTTTTTTTTTTTGAGACAGAGTCTCACTCTCTCACCCAGGCTGGAGTGCGGTGGCACGATCTCAGCTCACTGCAACATCTGCCTCCCAGGTTCAAGAGATTCTCCTGCCTCACTTACATAGATGAGTTTGATAACAGTCAAGCTGAAACTAAAAAGGTAAGATCGTGGTTATGAAAAATGATTCAGATCTGAGTTCAGTTCCAGCTCCGTCACTGATTACCAGTGGGATTCCTCTGCATTTGTCAAATGCAGCATCCACATCATAGAATCACTGTAATGATTAAATACTTTATATTCAATACTTAAAACATGGGAAATGATAAATGTTATTATATTAAATATTGTTATTAGAAAAGATATGCAATGCAGGAGATACACCAAGTTTATCTTTGAATTTTAATTTGTGCTGTTTTTGGGTAGACATAAATCCTAGCTCTACCTCTTACTGTGTGAACAAGTTATTTACCACCACCCCCCAGACTTCAGCACTCTCAGATTTAAAATGGTGACTACAATAATACCTACTCCATAAGGTTGTTGTAAGGATAAAATAACACATACAAATTACCTGGCACAGAGTGGGCACTTAAATATTATTTAGAAATCAAAGCATGCAAAAATAGCTAATATTCTTCATGTGTCAGTTCCAGATACTCAGCTAATTAGATAAGACAATTATGAGAAAAATTGAATAAATTTTATTTTTGGACCTTATTAAACTAAAAGTCCCTTTCTATCTTAAAAATTGCACTTGTGGAAGATGATCCCTTTGAATTATAATTAAATAGACTCATCTAAATAATTAAACAATAGGGTATCTATGTATAGCAACTATTTGACAGTTTTTATCTATTTTAAAGACTTATGGGTGCATACTATGCAAATGGATTTTCAGGGATTTTTATTAGCATAAATAGACTGCGCAATTTAAGTAACTTAAGCAGCACAGACAGTGTGAGTCACAGTATTTTCATTTTTCTTGAATACCTTGAGTTTTATGACAGCCTTGTTTCAGGAACCAGTAACAACGGGGCTTTTGAAGGATCCAGATCTTAAAACACGAATTGCACAGAGCCCTTGTTACCTCTCAGATGCTCAGAAACACGAGGAACACCCTCTCTCTGCCCACAGAGTTTAATGAAGATGAAGCAATGTTTTCCTATTTTGCATGATGAACAAAACAGCAGGTTTGTCAGATGAACTGGAAACTGTACTTTCCTTGATACCAAGCCAGAGGTTTCTTGACTTAATCGACTAATATTTCATAGTCAGTACTTCTCACTGCAGAAATCATAGCTGTGGTCGGGATCAGAGAACAGAATCCAAGAGCAAATGAATCTTTTATTACAAATCAAAATAGCAAATTGACTGAGAAACATAGTATCTTTGTACTCTTGAGTTCTATGTACCTTCTCACAGAAACAGTGAAACATGTGAGTTGTATGTTATGCATTTATTTAAAGGAAAAACTTCTCAAAACAAAACATGACATTCCTACCCTCAGGCTTTTTTTTTTTTTGTCTTTCATAGAATCAGATAAAGAGAAAGAACATAGAATCTTGGTATAAATCATTTTGTCTAGTTTGAAGCAGCAGCTATGAGAAATAACTATTTGAACACCCACACTCTCAGTCTCTCATTTGCTCTCTTCCACTTCTCTACACTGACCTAAAATCTCCATACCTATGCTATGGTCACACGTACAAGGGTCCAGGTCTTTATCATTTCTCATACTGTTAGCTCATCTTCACTCTGTTCCAACAAATGCAAGGGCAGCCACACCTTGAAATTTATCTTCAGGCCTCCATGCATCAACTTGTGTAACTTAGACTTCAAGCTTCTCTTTAATTGACTTTCTGTCTCTCCTTTCTCACTCCCATTGCTCTTTACCTTGACAGTTATTGGAGAGTAGTGAAAAGGGCATGAACTGCATTATTAGACCCAAGTTTGAATGCTGGCCTCATACTTCTCTGATTGTTCGTAAGTTATCCAACCTCTCTACATCTCCATTTCTTCCACTTATAAAATAGTGATACTGTTGCATATCAGAATAAGTACACATTAAACATTAGCTTTTCTCCGCTTTTCCTGTTCTTTCTTTCCTTCCCTTCTCTTCCCTTGTGCCTTTCCCACAAAACCTCTGAATTTCTGGGCACTTCCATTTTGTCTTTAGTCACTTCTAACTAAGTGTGTGTCTCAGTCTGGCCTGGACTCTGTGGTTCACATTTCAAATCTACACGCACTAGATCCTGAGGTTCTGTCCCCCTACTCTCTGCCATAATAATTTTGACAATTTTTGGCCATGGTTAATCCAAGCATCCATTTACTCTTGGTATTGAGTGTTGATGGCTCAAATCACACATCAATCCTTCATACTGATTTTTAGTGGTGATTTCAGAGAATGTTCTATCATAACAGACTCTTTTATTGCAAGTGAGCCCTGACATACTTGGGTTGAAATAAACTAACATTCTCTTTTTGACTCATTTGTTGGTATGATGCAACTGACATTCAACTTGACTAGAAAAACATGTAGGAAATACAGGAAAAATGAGAGTTTTACAGCTGATCAAGTAGTTTATAGCAGAACTTTACTTAACGGAAAATTATGGCCCTACTGATGGCCCCCAAATTGCTCTCTCAGTAGAGCCCTAAAAATTGCCAATCTTTTCTTTTATTGCCAGCTGACTCCTTATTTCACTCTTCAGCCCAGCATCTCTTCAAATCTCTTTCTACTCTTCATTAGCAGCCAACTCCACACCAGACTGCACTCCTTAATTTTAGCCATTCTGATAGGTTTGTAATAGTAACTGTAATTATTTGCTAGGACTGTTATAACACAGTATTATAGACTAGGTGATTTAAACAATGGAAATTTGTTTTTTCACAGTTACAGAGGCTGAAAGTTCAAGATTAAGGTGTTGGGAGGTTGTTTCTTCTGAGGCCCCATTCCTCGGCTAACAGATGGCTGCTTTCCCTCTGGCTCTTCACAAAGTTGCCCCCCTGTGCACATGTGCTCCTGCTGTCTCTATGTCCCAATCTCCTCTTATAGATAGTGGATTGGATGAAGGCCTACCAGAATAGGTTTAAGTGGAATGGATTAAGGTCTACCAGAATGGCCTCATTAACCTTAATCACCTCTTTAAAGGCCGTATCTCCAAGCCTAATTATATTCTGAGATACGTGAGCTCTGTAAAGTATGTGACTGAGGTGTATGATGAGAGTTTTAACATATGAATTGGGGGAAGTGAGATGAAATTCAGCTGATAACATTATATATTTTTGTTTTGTTTTATTTTCTGGAGGCAATTCCGCATGTATCTTTTGCATTTCTGAACAACTTTTGAGCAGAGGCACTGAGTGCACTTTTATTCTGGCCTATTTTTTTTTTTATAGCAAACAGTCTTGGAAGATAGAGAAGGCCTCCTGGTCAGTCATGCTTATTGTCCAGTATAAAGTATTTAAGTTTTCTAAGCTCAGAGTTCCTCAGTTTTGCTTCAAATAGACAAATTGCATAGGCAGTATCCACCATATCCCTTTCTCACCACCTTGTGGGACTTGCAGGAAAAGGGAAACTGAACAAATGTTATATTTCTGCTACTTCCTGTGCCTTGATAAATACAATTCTTTGTATCTACTCAATCTTACATCTTCTGCCAAGATCCATGAAACAGTAATAGGCTAGATTATTAGCATGCAAGTAAAGTCCCAGGCCCTTCACAGTCTATGATTGCTTTAAATTTCATGTCCCTAAAGACTCATGATGTTAAGCATCTGCTCGTGTGCTTACTCGCAGTTCACATATCATTTTGATGCATGACTACTTGAATATTTTCTCCATTTTATTATTATCATTGAAATTTAAATGTTTTTTTGTATAGTGGTCCCCACTTATCTGTGGGTAATATGTTCCAAGAGCCCCATGGATACCTTAAACTATCATGCATAGTATTGAACCCAACTGCCATCATTTCTGTTCATGTCTTAACACCCCACAAATTTGATGCTTTTTCTATCTTAGCTAAATACTTATTGTGCACTGTGACCATAACTTTTACAGTTTGAGGCACAAGTTAAAAACTTTCACGTTTCTTTTTCCTTCTTCACAATTTCATGAATAGAACACTTGTTGTAGATATTAGCAACCTCAGAATACAATTATTTTCCTTATTAAGTTAAGAACTTCCACTTTTCACTTAAAGAAAGTACTTTCCTGCTTCTCTCTGAATATTTGAACCACCAGCATCACTACTCTTGCACTTTGGGACCATTATTAGGTAAAATAAGGATTACATGAACACAAGCACTGTGATACCATGGTGGTCAATCTGATAAGTGAAAAGGCTACTAAGTGATTAATGGGTGGGTGACAGAGACAGAATGGACAAAAGGATGATTCATATCCTGGGCAGGTTGAAGTGGAACAATGTGAGATTTCATCATGCTACTCAAAAGGGCATGCAATTTAAAACTTACACATTTTGGGGAACCTAATTAAACTTAAGAGCTTCTGCACCACAAAAATAAAACAAACAAACAAAAAAACTATCAACAGAGTAAACAGACAACCTATAGAATGGGAGAAAATATTTGCAAACTATGCATCTAATAAAAGTCTAATATTTAGCATCTATAAGTGACTTAAAAATTTTTGCAAGAGAAAAACAAATAACTCTATTAAAAAGTGGGTAAAGGAACATGAACAGACACTTTTCAAAAGAAGACATACATACAGCCAAGAAGCATATGAGAAGAAGATAAGTATCACTGATCATTAGGGAAATGCTAATCAAAACCACAGTGAGATACCATCTCACACCAGTCAGAATAGTTATTATTAAAAAGTCAAAAATAACAGATGTTGGTGAGGTCATGGAAAAAGGGAACACTTATACACTAATGGTAGGAGTGTAAATCAGTTCAACCTTTGTGGAAAGCAGTGTTGCAATTTCTCAAAGAGCTAAAAACAATGCAACCCAGCAATCTCATTACTGCGTATATACCCAGAGGAACAGAAATCATTCCACCCTAAAGACACATGTACATAGATGTTTATTGCCTCCTGAAATATGCAGACATCAATGTAAAGATGTAATAGTTGTGAAAAATCAGGGAAATATTACACCACCAAAAGACTCTAACAAACCTCCAATGATGGAACCAGAAGAACTAAATATCTATAAATGTCAGGCGCAGAATTCAGAATAATCTTCTTAAAAAGATGAGGGAATCATAAGAAAATGAAAAGAAAAAAATAAATAAAATTTGAGAAACAATCTATGAGCAAAATGAGAAATTTGACAAAAATAAATAAATAAATAAATAAATAAATCTTAGAAATAAAGAATACAATAACTGAGGTGAAAAACTTGTTAGAAAGCTTCGCACTTTGGGAGGCCGAGGCGGGCAGATCACAAGGTCAGGAGATCGAGACCATCCTGGCTAACACGGTGAAACCCCATCTCTACTAAAAATACAAAAAAAATTAGCTGGCGTGGTGGCAGGCAACTGTAGTCCCAGCTACTCGGGAGGCTGAGGCAGGAGAATGGCATGAACCTGGGAGGTGGAGCTTGCAGTGAGCCCAGATCATGCCACTGCACTCCAGCCTGGGCACAGAGCAAGACTTCATCTCAAAAGAAAAAAAGAAAGCTTCAACAGCAGAAATGAACATAGGAAATATTAGCAAGCTAGAAGACAAAGCATATGAAATTACCCAATCCAAGGAGCAAAAAAAAAAAAAAATACACAAAAGAGAAAAAGGCTTACAAGACTTATAAGACACCATCAAGTGAAGTAACCTACACATAATAGAAATCCCTGAAGGTAAGAGACAAAAAGAAGACCCAGAAAGCATATTTCAGGAAATAATGGCTGAAAAATTTTCAAACTTGGAGAAATATGACACCATCCAGGCACAGAAAGCTCAGAGGTCACCAATCAAATTCACCCAAAAATAAAATTCTTGAGGCACATCATATTAAAATTAGCAAAAGTAAAATACAAAGAAATAACACTACTGGCATCAAAAGAAAAGAAACATATGACATTCAATGAGGCCCTAGTCTGGCTTTCAGGGGATTTCTCAACAGAAGCCCTGCAGTCCAGGAGAGAGTGGGTTTCTATATTTAAAGTGCTGAAGGAAAAATACTGCCAACTAAGAATACTTTACCCAAAAAGCATGAAGGAGAGATGAATACTTTCCTGGACAAACAAAAGCTGAGGGAACTCAACAACACCAGATCTGTCTTATGAGAAATGCTAAAAGGAGTTCTTCAGTATGAAAGAAGGGATGGTAATCTGTAACATGAAAACATCTGAAGGTATGGGCTGGGTATGGTGGCTCATGCCTGTAATCCCAGCACTTTGGGAGGCCAAGGGGGGTGGATCACGAGGTCAGGAGATTGAGAGAATCCTGGCTAACACGGTGAAACCCCATCTCCGCTAAAATACAAAAAAAAATTAGCCAAGCGTGGTGCCATGTGCCTGTAGTCGCAGCTACTCAGGAGGCTGAGGCAGGAGAATCACTTGATCCCAGGAGGTGGAGGTTGCAGTGAGCTGAGATCCGCCACTGCACTCCAGCTTGGTGACAGAGTGAGACTCTGTTTCAAAAAGAAAAAAATAGTGATCAAGGCATGAGTAGTAATCATTTCCTTATAAGTATGAAGGAAAATGTACATATTCTATTTAAAGTCACTACTGCTATTCAAAGTTGTATAGTTTTTTGGAGGCCTGGGTGACAGAGTGAGACTCCATCTCAAAAAGAAAAAAAGAAAACATCTAAACATCTGAAGGTATTAAACTCACTGGTCAAAAAACAATTCAGAATAGTCTATAATTGGGATAAATAACAAGTAACTTATAACTGAGAGGATTTGGAACCAAGTCACTGAGGAGGAAAAGGCTCCCATCCCCGTGTGCCATCTGGCACCCTGCTGGACACAGGCAAGGGAGTGAGAGTGTCACCACTGTAGCTTCCAGAGAAGACAAGGACATCACTGCCTCAGCTGCCGCTACTGCCATTTTCACCTGCAGCCACTTGCCAGTGGATCATGGTGGACAGGAGGCAGGACTAGACTGCAGCTCAGACTTGGGCGAATTAAGCAGTGTGTGGAGGTTTGCATCATGAATTTTTGCCCCAGAAATGACTGCAGGAATAAATAAGGAAACCCTAGAGGACCCACAGGCCCTCTGAAGAAAGCGGATTGTTCCTACAGGACCTGGGAGACACCCCAAATACTGTGGGTGCCCAAAATGTAGAAGTGGGAAAGGGAGATCATCCACCCTTGAACACACACCCTCACTGGGGAAATGAAAGGTCAAGATTACAGGAGAAGATTCTGACCTTACCTGGAGCTGAGACAATTTAGAGAGCTGAGTGAAATTCAGGGGTAGAGGAAGCAGCAGGAGGAAGCCTGTGATCTTGCTCGTTCCCCTAGCAAACCATTTCTGCCTAGCTTCACAGACATCCATTGCAAAGGGAAAGAGGCACTGGGAAAAGGCCACAGAGAGGAGGAAATCTCCAGCTGAACTTTGTAACAATTTGAATTGATCAGGAAGTCTCCTGGCCAGAAGTCAAGGGAGGCTGTGAATCTGGCATGCGGACTCCACAGGCAGGGGAAGAAGAAGAAAAGCCATACTTGCTTTCACAGCTGGGAGGTGGGTAGCCTGGGGCAAGTTCTCAGCCCTGCTTGCTCACTGCCTGGAAACAGGCTAAGTGCTATTGTTGGGGAATGGTGGGAGTGAGACCGCATTTTGGATTCCGTGGGGGCTGGGTGAAGCCTGTGACTGTGGACTTTCCCCCACTTTCCTGACATCCTGCATGGCACAGTAGAGACAGCCATAATCCTTCTAAGAACATAACTCCATTGACCTGGGAACCTCACCGCCACCCCCTCCAACAGCAGCCACAGCAAGACCTGCCCAAGGAGTCTGAGCTCGGATATGCCTAGCCCTGCGTCCACTCAATGTTCCTTCCTTACCCACCCTGGCAACTGAAGACAAAGGACATATACTCTTGGGAGTTCTAGGGCTCCACCCACCACCTATTCCTCCCCATACTACCACAGCTGATGCTCTCTAGAAAGTGCCACCTCCAGAAAGGAAGCCAACCAGCACAAAAACAGCACATTAAACCACCAAAGCCAAGAACCCTCACAGGGTCTATTTCACTCCTCTGCAACCTCCACCATAACAGGTGTTGATATCCATGGCTGAGAGACCCACAGATGGTTCACATTACAGGACTCTCTGCAGACAACCCCAAGTACCAGCCCAGAGCCTGGTAGACTTAGTGAGTGGCTAGATCCAGAAGAGATATAACAATCACTACAGCTCATTTCTCAGGAATCCACTTCCACAGGAGAAGGGGGAGAGTCATCAAGGAAATACTCCATGGGACAAAAGAATCTGAACAACAGCCTTTAGCCCTAGACATTTCCTATGGCAGAGCCTACCCAAATGAGAAGAAACCAAAAAACCAAATCTGGTAATATGGAAAAACAAGGTCCTTTAACACATACAGATCACACTACCTCACCAGCAATGGATCGAAACCAAGAAGAAATCTCTGATTTACCTGAAAAAGAATTCAGGAGGTTAGTCATTAAGCTAATCAGGGAGGCACCAGAGAAAGGCAAAGCCCAATATAAGGAAATCAAAAAAAGATAGAAAAAGTGAAGGGAGAAATATTCAATGAAATAAATAGCATAAATTAAAAAACCATCAAAATTTCAGGAAATAATGACACACTTATAGAAATGCAAAATGCTCTGGAAAGTCTCAGCAATAGAATCAAACAAGTAGAAGAAAGAAATTCAGAGCTTGAAAACAAGGTCTTCAAATTAACCCAATCCAACAGAGATAAAGAAAAAAGAATAAGAAAAAATGAGCAAAGCCTCCAAGAAATCTGGGATTACATTTAATGACCAAACCTAAGAATGATAATAATAGTAAGTGTTCCTGTGGAAAAAGAGAAATCTAACAGTTTGAAAACATATTTGGAGAAATAATTGAGAAAAACTTCCCCAGCCTTGCTAGAGACCTAGACATCCAAATACAAGAGGCACAAAGAACAACTGGGAAAGTCATCACAAAAAGATCATCACCTAGGCACAGTGTCATCAGGTTATCTAAAACTGAAACAAAGGGGAGAATCTTAGGAGCTGTGAGACAAAAGCACCAGGTAACCTATAAAAGAAAAGCTATCAGATTAACAGGAGATTTCTCAGCAGAAACCAACAAGTTAGAAGAGATTGAAGCTCTATCTTCAGCCTCCTCAAACAAAACAATTATCTGTGAATAATTTTGTATCCAGCAAAACTAAGCTTCATATATGAAGGAAAGATACAGTCTTTTTCATACAAACAAATCCTGAGAGAGTTTACCCCTACCAAACATGCACTTCAAGAACTGCTAAAAGCCGCTCTAACTCTTGAAACAAATCCTGGAAACACATCAAAACAGAATCTCTTTAAAACATAAATCTCACAGGACCTATAAAACAACGCAATTTAAAAAACAAAAACAAAAAACCAAGGTATACAGGCAACGAATAGTACAATGAATGAAATGGTACCTCATATCTCAATACTAACATTGATTGTAAATGTCCTGAATGCTCCACTTAAAATATACAGAATTGTAGAATGGATAAGAATTCACCAACCAATTATCTGCTGCCTTCAAGAGCCTCAGCTAACACATAAAGACTCACATAAACTTAAGGTAAAGAGGTGGAAAAAGACATTTCATGCAAATGGACACCAAAAGTGAGCAGGAGTAGCTATACTTACAACAGACAAAACAACCTTTAAAGCAACAGCAGTTAAAAAAGACAAAGAGGGACATTATATATGATAAAAAGCCTTGTCAAACAGGAAAATATCACAGTTCTAAACATATATGTGCATAACACTGGAGCTCCCAGATTTAAAAAACAATTACTACTAGAACTAAGAAATGAGATAGACAGCAACACAATAATAGTGGGGGACTTCAATACTCCACTGACAGCACTAGACAGGTCATCCAGACTGAAAGTCAACAAAGAAACAATGGATTTAAACTATATCCTGAAACAAATGGACTTAACAGATATATACAGAATATTCCATCCAACAACCACAGAACATACATTCTATTCAATAGCACATGGAACTTTCTCCAAGATAGATCATATTATAGGCAACAAAATTAGCCTCAATAAATTTTAAAAAATTGAAATTATATCAAGCACTCTGTCAGATCACAGTGGAATAAAACTGGAAATTAACTCCAAAAAGAACCTTCAAAACCATGCAAATACATGGAAATCAAATTACCTGCTCCTGAATGATCATTGGGTTAAAAATTTAAAAACTTATTTGAACTGAACAGCAATAGTGACACAACCTAGCAAAACCTCTGGGATACAGCAAAGGTGATCATAAAAGGAAAGTTCATAGCCCTAAACACCTATATAAAAAAGTTGGAAAGAGCACAAACAGACGATTTAAGGTCATACCTCAAAGAACTACAGAAACAAAAACAAACCAAACCCAAACCAAGCAGAAGAAAGAAAATAACCAAGGTCAGAGCAGAACTAAATGAAATGGAAACAACAACAACAATAACAACAAAGTGAAACATAAAGCTGCTTATTTGAAAAGATAAATAAAATTTCTAAACTATTAGCAAGATTAACTAAGAAAAGAAGAGAGAAAATCTAAATAAGCTCAATAAGAAACCAAATGGGAGATATTACAACTGACGTCACAGAAATACAAAAGATCATTCAAGGCTACTACGAACACCTTTACCCACATAAACTAGAAAACCTACAAGACATGGATAAATTCCTGGAAAGATACAACCCTCCTAGCTTAAATCAGGAAGAATTACATACCCTGAAGAGACCAATAACAAGCAGTGATATTAAAATGGTAATTTAAA
This sequence comes from Homo sapiens, assembly GCF_000001405.40. Taxonomy (NCBI): domain Eukaryota; kingdom Metazoa; phylum Chordata; class Mammalia; order Primates; family Hominidae; genus Homo; species Homo sapiens. Next base: position 111,376,692 of record NC_000003.12, read on the forward strand.
AATTACCAATGAAAAATGTCCAAGGCCAGAAGGATTCACAACTAAATTCTACCAGACATTCAAAGAAGAATTGGTACCAATACTATTGATGCTATTCCACAAGATAGAGAAAGAAGAAACCCTCCCTAAATCACTCTATGAAGCTAGTATTACTCTAATACCAAAACCAGGAGAGAACATAACCAAGAAAGAAAATTACAGACAAGTATCCCTGATGAACATAGATGCTGAAATCTAACAAAATACCAGCTAACTGAATCCAACAACATATCAATAAGATAATTCACCATGATCAAGTGGGTTTCATACTAGGGATGCAGGGATGATTTAACAGACACAAGTCAATAAATATGGTATGCTACATAAACAGAATTACAAACAAAAATCACATAATAGTCTCAATAAATACAGAAAAAGCATGCAACAAAACCCAGCATCCCTTTGTGATTAAAACTCTCAGCAAAATCAGCATAGAAGGGACATACCTTAATGTAATGAAAACTGTCTATGACAAACCCACAGTGAACATAATACTAAATGGGGAAAAGTTGAAAGCATTCCCTCTGAGAACTGGAACAAGACAAGGATTCCCACTCTCACCACTTCTCTTCAACATAGTAGTGGAAGCCCTAGCCAGAGCAATCAGACAAGATAAAGAAATAAAGGGCATCCAAATTGGTAAAGAAGACATCAAATTGTCACTGTTTGCTGACGATATAACTGTTTACCTTGAAAACCCTAAAGACTCCTCCAGAAAGCTCCTAGAACTGATAAAAGAATTCAGCAAAGTTTCCAGATAAAAAATTACATTACATTAGTACTTAAGTCATATAAGTCATATAGTACATAATGTAATTACATTACATTAGTACATAAGTCAGTATCTCTTCTATACATCAAAGTAACCAAGCTGAGAATCAAATCAAGAACTCAACCCATTTTAGAATAACTGCAAAAATAATAAAATACTTAGGAATATACCTAATCAAGGAGCCAACAGACCTCTACAAGGAAAACTACAAAACAGTGCTGAAAGAAATCATAGGAAACAGAAACAGATGAAAACACATCCCATGCTCATGGATGGGTAGAATCAATATTGTGAAAATGACCATACTGCCAAAAGCAATCTACAAATTCCATGCAATTCCCATCAAAATACCACCATCATTTTTCACAGAATTAGAAAAAACAATCCTAAAAGTCATATGGAACCAAAAAATGGCCTGCATAGCCAAAGCAAGACTAACCAAAAAGAACAAATTTGGCAGCATAACATTGCCTGATTTCAAACTATACGGTAAGGTCATAGTCAACAAAATAGCATGGTACTGGTGTAAAAACAGACACATAGACCAATGGAACAGAAGAGGGAACCCAGAAATAAACCCAAATACTTACAGCCAACTGATTTTCAACAAAGCAAACAAAATCATAAAGTGGGGAAAGAACACCCTTTCAACAAATGGTGCTGAAATAATTGGCTAGCCACATGGAGGGGAATAAAACTGAATTCTCATCTCTTACCTTACACAAAAATCAACTCAAGATGGATTAAGGTTGTAAATCTAAGACCTGAAGCTATAAAAATTCCAGAAGATAACACTGGAAAAACCTTTCTAGACATTGGCTTAGGCAAGGATTTCATGACCAGTATCCCAAAAGCAAATGCAATAAAAACAAATGTAAATAGCTGGGACTTAATTAAACTAAAGACCTTTTGCATGGCAAAAGGAACAGTCAGCAGAGTAAACAGACAACCCACAGAGTGGGAGAAAATCTTCACAATCTATATGTCTGACAAAAGACTAATATCCAGAATCTACAATGAACTCAAACAGATCAGCAAGAAAAAGCCAAACAATCCTATCAAAAATAGGCTAAGGACATGAATAGATCATTATCAAAAGAAGGTATACAAATGGCCAACAAACATGAAAAAATGCTCAACATCACTAATGATCAGGGAAATGCAAAACAAAACCATAGTGTGATACCACCTTACTCCCAGAAGAATGCCATAATCAAAAAAGCAAAAAACACTTGATGTTGGTGTGGATGCAGTGAAGAGTGAACACTTCTACATTGCTGGTGGGAATGCAAACCAGTACAGCCACATGGAAAACAGTGTGAAGATTCCTTAAATAACTAAAATTAGATCTAGCATTTGATCCAGCAATCCTACTCCTGTGTATCTACCCAGAAGAAAGTAAGTTATTACATGAAAGTTATATTATATTATAGCAGCCCATTCACAATTGCAAAAAATGTGGTAACAAAACAAATGCTCATCAATCAATGAGTAGATAAAGAAACTGTGATATATTTATGTATATATGATGGAATACTACTCAACCATAAAAAGGAATGAATTAATGGCTTTCACAGCAACCTGAATGAGATTGGAGACTGTTATTCTAAGTGAAGTAACTCAGGAATGGAAAACCAAACATCATATGTTCTCACTCATAAATGGGAGCTAAGCTATGAGCATGCAAAGGCATAAGAATGACACAATGGACTTTGAGGACAAAAGGGTAAAGGGTGGAAAAAGGGTGAGGGTTAAAAAACTACAAATAGGGTGCAGTGTACACTGCTTGGGTGACAGATGCACTAAAATCTCACAAATTACCACTAAAGAACTTACCCATGCAACAAAACACCACCTGTTCCCCAGTAACCTATGAAAATAAATTTAAAATAACCTAGGTGATGAGTAGGTAGGTGCAGCAAACTACCATGGCACGTGTTTACCTAATTACAAACCTGCATATGTACCCCAGAACTTAAATAAACAAATAAACAAATTAATTAATTTATAACTAAAGTATAGTGACTAAAAGACAAAAACCTATTAAAAATAATAATAACTGGGGAGATCTGGCAAGATGGCGGAATAGGAACAGCTGTGGTCTGCAACTCCCAGTGAGACAAACGCAGAAGGCGGGTGATTTCTGCATTTCCAAATGAGTGGTGCCTGGAACCCCAGTGAGAGAGAACCATTCACTCACTTGGAAAGGGGGCTGAAGCCAGGGAGCCAAGTAGTCTCGCTCAGCTGGTCCCACTCCCATGGAGCCCAGCAAGCTAAGAACCACTGGCTTGAAATTCTCACTGCCAGCACAGCAGTCTGAAGTCTACTGGGGATGATTGAGCTTGGTAAGGGGAGGGGCATCCACCATTACTGAGGCTTGAGTAGGCGGTTTTCCCCTGACAGTGCTAAGGAGACCAGGAAGCTCAGACTGGGCAGAATTCAACACAGCACAGCAAAGTGGCTGTGGCCAGACTGCCTCTCTAGATTCCTCTTCACTGGCAGGGCAGTTCTGAAAGAAAGGCAGCAGCCTCAGTCAGGGGCTTATAGATAAAATTCCCATCTCCCTGAGACAGAGCACCAGGGGGAAAGGACGGCTGTGGGTGCCGCTTCAGTGGACTTAAATGTTCCTGCCTGCCAGCTCTGAAGACAGCAGTGGATCCTGACAAGAAGGGTTTTCCCAGCACAGTGATCAAGCTCTGCTAAGAGACAGACTGCCTCCTCTAGTGGGTCCTGGACCCCCATGCCTCCTGACGGGGAGAGACCTCCCAACACAGGTTGACAGACACTTCCCACAGGAGAGGTCTGGCTGGCATCAGGTTGGTGCCCCTCTGGGATAAAGCATCCAGAGGAAGGAGGAGGCAGCAATCTTTGCTGTTCTGCAGCCTCTGATGGTGATACCCAGGCAAACAGGGTCTGGAGTGGACCTCCAGCAAACTGCAGCAGACCTGCAGAAGAGGAGCCTGACTGTTAGAAGAAAAACTAACAAACAAAAAGCAATAACATCAACATCAGCAAAAAGTACACCCACATAAAAACCCCATCCATAGGTCATCAGCCTCAAAGATCAAAGGTAGATAAATCCATGAAGATGAGGAAAAACCAGTACAAAAATGCTGAAAATTACAAAAACCAGAATGCCTCTTCCCCTTCAAATGATCACAACTCCTCTCCTGCAAGGGAACAAAACTGGAATGAAGAGGAATGAGCAAAGCCTCCAAGAAATATGGGGCTATGTGAAAAGACAAAACCTGTGATGGATTGGGGTCCCTGAAAGTGATTGAGAGAATGGAACCAAGTTGGAAAACACAATTCAGGATGGTAACCAAGAGGACTTCCCCAGCATAGCAAGACAGGCCAACATTCAAATTCAGGAAATACAGAGAGCACCACTAAGAAACTCCTCGAGAAGAGCAACCTCAAGACACATAATTGTCAGATTCTCCAAGGTTGAAATGAAGTAAAAAATGTTAAGGCCAGCCAGAGAGAAAGGTCAGGTTACCTACAAAGGGAAGCCCATCAGACTTACAGTGGATCTCTCTGCAGAAACCCTACAGCTAAAAGAGAGTGGGGGCCAATATTCAACATTCTTAAAGAAAAGAATTTTCAACCCAGAATTTCATATCCAGTCCAGCTAAGCTTCAGAAGTGAAAGAGAAATAAAATTCTTTACAGACAAGCAAATGCTGAGGGATTTTGTGACCACCATGTCTGCCTTACAAGAGCTCTGAAGGAAGCACTAAATATGGAAAGGAACAACCAGTATCAGCCACTGCAAAAACACATTAAAATATAAAGACCAACGATACTATGAAGAAACTGCATCAACTAATGTTCAAAATAACCAGCTAGCATCATGATGACAGGATCAAATTCACACATAACAATATTAACCTTAAATGTAAATAGGCTAAATGCCCCAATTAAAAGACAGAGACTGGCAAATTGGATAGAGTGAAGACCCATTGGTGTGCTGTATTCAGGAGACCCATTTCACATGCAAAGAAACACAGAGGGTCAAAATAAAGGGATGGAGGAATATTTACCTAGCAAATGGGAAGAAAAAAAAAAAAAAAGGCAGGGTTGCAATCCTGGTCTCTGATAAAACAGACTGTAAACCAACAAAGATCAAAAGAGACAAAGAAGGCCATTAATAATGGTAAAGGGATCAATTCAACAAGAAGAGATAACTATCCTAAATATATATGCACCCAACACAGGAGCACCCAAATTCATAAAGCAAGTTCTTAGAGACCTATGAAGAGACTTAGACTCCCACACAACAATAATGGGAGACTTTAACACCCCATCATCAATATTAGACAGATCAATGAGACAGAAAATTAATAAGGATATCCAAGACTTGAACTCAGCTCTGGACCAAGCAGATTTAACAGAGATCTACAGAACTCTCCACCCCCAATCAACAGAATATGCATTCTTCTCAGCACTATATAGCACTTATTCTAAAATCAATCACATATTTGGAAGTAAAACACTCCTCAGCAAATGCAAAAGAATGGAAATCATAACAAAGAGCCTCTCAGGCCACAGTGCAATCAAATTATAACACAGCATTAAGAAACTCACTTGAAACTGCACAACTACGTGGAAACTGAAAACCTGCTCCTGAATGACTACTGGATAAATAACAAAATTAACGAAGAAATAACGAAGTTCTTTGAAACCAATGAAAACAAAGAGACCACATACCAGAATCTCTGGGACTCAGCTAAAGCAGTGTTAAGAGGGAAATTTATACCACTAAATGCCCACATCAGAAAGTGGGAAAGATCTGAAATCCACACCCTAACATCACAATTAAAAGAACTAGAGAAGCAAGAACAAACAAATTCAAGAACTAGCAGAAGACAAAACATAAATAAGAACAAGCAGAACTGAAGGAGATAGAAACACAAAAAATCCTTCAAAAAATCAATTAATCCAGGAGCTGATTATTTAAAAAGATTAATCGAATAGAGCACTAGCCAGACTAATGAAGAAGAATCAAATAGACACACTAAAAAATGATAAAGGGGATATCACCACTGATCCTACAGATATACAAACTACCATCAGAGAATATTATAAATACTTCTATGCAAATAAACTAGAAAATCTAGAAGAAATGGATAAATTCCTGGACACATACACACTCCCAATACTAAACCAAGAAGAATTCAAATCCCTGAATAGACTGGTAACAAGTTCTGAAATCAAGACAGTAATTAATAGTCTACCAATCAAGAAAAGCCCAGGTCCAGATGGATTCACAGCCGAATTCTACCAGAGGTACAAGGAGGAGCTGGTACCATTTCTTCTGAAACTATTCCATAGAATAGAAAAAGAGAGGCTCCTCCCCAACTCATTTTATGAGGCCGGCATCTTCCTGATTTCAAAACCTAGCAGAGACACAACAAAAAAAGAAAAGTTCAAGCCAATATCCCTGATGAATATTGATGTAACAATCCTCAATAAAATACTGACAAACTGAATCCAGCAGCACATCAAAAAGCTTATCCACCATGATCAAGTCAGCTTCATCCCTGGGATGCAAGGCTGGTACACAAATCAATAAATGTAATCCATAACATAAACAGAACCAATGACAAAAACCACATGATTATCTCAATAGAGGTGATAAAACCCATTGATAAAATTTAACACCCCTTCATGCTAAAAACTCTCAATAAACTAGGTATTGATGGAACATACTTCAAAATAATAAGAGCTATTTATGACAGTTCCATAGCCAATATCTTACTGAATGGGCAAAAGCTGGAAGCATTCCCATTGAAAACCAGCATAAGACAAGGATGCACTCTCTCACCACTCCTATTCAATGTAGTGTTGGAAGTTCTAGCCAGGGCAATCAGGTGAGAGAAAGAAATAAAGGGTATTCAAATAGGAAGAGAGGAAGTCAAATTGTCTGTTTGCAGATGACATGATTGTATATTTAGAAAACCCCATTGCCTTAGCCCAAAAACTCCTTTTGCTGATAAGCAACTTCGGCAAAGTCTAAGGATACAAAATCAATGTGTAAAATTCACAAACATTCCTATACACCAATAATAGACAAGGAGAGAGCCAAATCATGAGTGAACTACATTCATAATTGCTACAAAGAGAATAAAATACCTAGGAGTACAACTTACAAAGGACATGAAGGACCTCTTCAAGGAGAACTATAAACCACTACACAAGGAAATAAGAAAGGACACAAACAAATGCAAAAAGAATTTATACTCATTGATAGAAAGAATCAATATTGTGAAAATGGCCATACTGCCCTAAGTAATTTATTGATTCAATGCTATTCCCATCAAGCTACCATTGACTTTCTTCACAGAACTAGAAAAAACTACTTTAAATTTCATATGGAACCAAAAAAGAGCCCAGATAGCCAAGACAATCCTAAGCAAAAAAGAACAAAGCTGGAGGCATCACGCCACCTGACTTCAAACTATACTACAAGGCTACAGTAACTAAAACAGCAGGGTATAGGTCCCAAAACAGATATATAGACCAAGGAACAGAACAGAGACCTTAGAAGTAGCACCACACATCTACAACCACCTGATCTTTGACAACCTGACAAAAGCAATGAGGAAAGGATTTCCTATTTAATAAATGGTGCTGGGAAAACTGGCTAGCCATATGCAGAAAACTGAAACTGGACCCCTTCCTTACACCTTATACAAAAATTAACTCAAGATGGATTAAAGACTTAAATGTAAAACTAAAACCATAAAAACCCTAGAAGAAAACCTAGGCAATACCATTCAGGATGTAGGCATGGGCAAAGACTTCATGACTGAAACACCAAAAGCAGTGGCAACAAAAGCAAAAATTGACAAATGGGATCTAATTAAACTAAAGAGCTTCTGCACGGCAAAAGAAACTATCATCAGAGTGAACAGGCAAACTACAGAATGGGAGAAAATTTTTGCAATCTATCCATCTGATAAATGTCTAATATCCAGAATCTACAAGAAACATAAACAAATTTACAAGAAAAAAGCAAACAACTACATCAAAAAGTGGGCAAATAATATGAACAGACACTTCTCAAAAGAAGACATTTATGTGGCCAAAAAGCATATGAAAAAGAGCTCATCATCACTGGTCATTAGAAAAGTGCAAATCAAAACCACAATGAGATACTATCTCATGCCAGTTAGAATGGTGATCATTAAAAAGGCAGGAAACAACAGATGCTGGAGAGGATGTGGAGAACTAGGAACACTTTTACACTGTTGGTGGGAGTGTAAATTAGTTCAACCATTGTGCAAGTGTTGCGATTCCTCAAGCATCTAGAACCAGAAATACCATTTGACCCAGCAATCCCATTACTGGGTATGTAGCCAAAGGATTATAAATCATTCTCATGTAAACACACATGCACACTTATGTTTACTGCAGCACTATTTACAATAGCAAAGACTTGGAACCAACCCAAATGCCCAACAATGATAGACTGGATAAACAAAATGTGGCACAAATACACCATGGAATACTATGCAACCATAAAAAAGAATGAGTTCATGTCCTTTGCAGGGAAATGGATGAAGTTGGAAACCATCATCCTCAGCAAACTAACACAGGAACAGAAAATGAAACACCGCATGTTCTCATTCATAAGTGGGGGTTGAACAATAAGAACACATGGACACCGGGAGGGGAACATCACACACCAGGGCCTGTCAGGGGGTTGGGGGAAAAGGGAGGGAGAGCATTAGGACAAATACTGAATGCATGAGGGGCTTAAAACCTAAATGATGGGTTGATAGGTGCAGCAAACCACCATGGCACATGTATACTTATGTAACAAACCTGCACTTTCAGCACATGTATCCCAGAATTTAAAGTAAAATTTAAAAAAACTAAGGAAATCTGAATAAACTGTGAACCTTAGTAATATTGTATTAGTGTTATTCCATTAACAAAGTGAGAAATGTAGGATGGTAATAATAGGGAATTCCTGGTTTTAACTGCTCTCTAAATCTAACACTTTTAAAAAGTGAAATATATTTTTTAAAGTTTGCAGCCAAAGAATATAAGAAAAAATATAGAGAGATGTCAGATAGTTAATATTAAATATTTTTTTTCTAAATTATGTGATGGTTTTGGAATTTCCCAGCTACTTAAATCTACAATTTGTTGTAATTTTCTTTCTCACTTTAAATAAATATTCATTTTCATCCTTAATTCTATATATGCAATTTATATTCTATTTGTTTTAAAAGGGCTGCCAAAATTATATGAGCTTCAGACACCACCCTACCTTTAAGTGATGGTTAGTTATTTGCAGTTCCTTTCTATTCACTGAATACTCCCCCATGCCTCTATATTTTTGCATGTTGAAATTTTCTCTAATTTTCAAGGTAAGTCCATCTTGAGTGACAGAGACAATTTATCCAAAAACAATGAACTCAGTATTGTAAACCTGGATTGTCCTCCTAAATCAAGCCTTGTTCAGTATTAGCACCAACTTTCAGAAGTCATTTAACTTCTTCCTATGAGGAATCCCATTTCTGCCATTTGCCAGTTCTATGGCCTTGGCTAGCTACTTAACAAATTAACACCTTAATTTGCTCATCTGTAAAATGGAGATAATAACACTATGCAAGGATAGGGTTATCTTACAGCTGGACTTGAGAGGCTCTGTGCTTATCTCCGGGGACACCCGGAAGTCTGCTACTGACCCTTGGTCAAGATAAGAATGGGATGTTACAGCTAGTGATTTAGAACATGTCATTTAGTTTAAAGTTCAAAACTCCCCTGGAGGCACTCCATGTTATCTTGTCTACACTGTTTAGGATATATGGATTCATGGTTTGCATCTGGTTTAACCTGTTACACAGCTTGGCTGTAGCGAAGTGACCAGTCAGGCGTAATAGGCCCTTCAGTAAACTTCCATTTGGACTATGCTGAACTTAGATACCCCATACATATCTGAAAAGTTCATAATCCAAAGATGAAATGCTTCATAAGCAACTGAGAAAAGACCTTGGGAGGACTGCACTGGGAGTTTTCAGACTTCCTATAATTGCCTGGACTTTTCTTCTCTTCGTGTGCCGTATTATTTGCAATTATTATAGCCTTACATGAGTGTAAAAAAAAATAACAACAGCAATGGTTAAGAGATAGGCAATATTAAAATATGTAAATTGAATCATCAATAAGTCATAATTTGGGGGGTATGGTATTAATGTGTAATTTGGTTTTGTTGCTTTTCTTTGCAATAAACCTTGTTTTATCAGTTTAAAATAACCTGTTATAATTATAAGATGTTTTCCACAAGCCTCATGGTAACCACAAAGCAAAACCCTATAATAGATACACTAAAAATAAATAGCACAGAATCAAAACATACTATTATAGAAAAATACTTAATGACAAAGAAAGATAGTAAGAAAGGAAAAATGGAAAAATGATTTGCAAAACAACCAGAAAACAAGCAACAATATCCTTACCTATGAAAAATAACCTTGAATGTAGGTGGAGTAAATTTTCCAATTAAAAGGCATAGAGTAGCTGAGTGGATAACAAGTAATGCCAATTAGAGGCTGTCTACATGAAATGCAGTTCACCTATAAAGACATACACCAGCTAATAGTAAAAGGATAGAAAATGATATTCCATGCAAATAAAAACCAAAAAGTGTAGAAGTAGCTATACTTATGATAGATAAAATAGACTTTAAGTATAGAATGGGGGGAAAAGGACAATAAAGTCGTTACATAATTACAAAGGGGTCAATATAACAAGAGGATATAACAATTGTAATTATATGCACCCAACACCAGAGCACCCAATTACATAAAGCAAGTATAAATAGACCTAAAAGGAGAGATTGATTACAATACAATAATAGTAGAGGACTTCAATACCCCCACTGTCAGCAATGGACAGATTATTCTGATTGAAAATCAACAAAGAAATCTTGGAGTTAAACTGCACTTTAGACAAAATGAACCTAGCAGGTATTTATAGAACATTTCACCTAACAGCTGCAGAACACACATTCTTTTCATCAGCACATGGAACATTCTGCAGGATTAACCATATGTCAGGAGACAAAACTTGCCTTACGAGATTTTTAAAAATGGAAATCATATTAAATATCTTTTCTGACCACAGTGGAATACAAGCAGAAATCGATAACAGAAGGAATGTTGGAAACTGGAGAAATTTATGACAATTAAGCAATATGCTCCTGAAATAATGAATCAACCAATGAAGTCATCAAAAAGGAAATTTAAAAATTTCCTGAGATAAATGAAAATAGAAACACAGCATACTAAAAGATATGTGATACAGCAAACACAGGTATAAGAGAAAAATGTATAGTAATAAATGCCAAGATTGAAAAAGTAGAAAGACCTCAAATAAACAATCTAACAATGTACCTAAAGAAAACAGAAAAGCAAGAACAAAGAGAACTTGAAATTATTAGAATGGGAGAAATAATAAAGATCAGAGCAGAAATAAATGAAGTTGAGACTCAAAAAATATTCACAAACAGGGACAATTTGACTTCTTCTTTTCCTAACTGAATACCCTTTATTTCCTTCTCCTGCCTAATTGCCCTGGCCAGAACTTCCAACACTATGTTGAATAGGAGTGGTGAGAGAGGGCATCCCTGTCCTGTGCCAGTTTTCAAAGGGAATACTTCCAGTTTTCGCCCATTCAGTATGATATTGGCTGTGGGTTTGTCATAGATAGCTCTTATTATTTTGAGATACGTCCCATCAATACCTAATTTATTGAGAGTTTTTAGCATGAAGGGTTGTTGAATTTTGTCAAAGGCCTTTTCTGCATCTATTGAGATAATCATGTGGTTTTTGTCTTTGGTTCTGTTTATATGCTGGATTACATTTATTGATTTGCATATATTGAACCAGCCTTGCATCCCAGGGATGAAGCCCACTTGATCATGGTGGATAAGCTTTTTGATGTGCTGCTGGATTTGGTTTGCCAGTATTTTATTGAGGATTTTTGCATGAATGTTCATCAAGGATATTGGTCTAAAATTCTCTTTTTTGGTTGTGTCTCTGTCCAGCTTTGGTATCAGGATGATGCTGGCCTCATAAAATGAGTTAGGGAGGATTCCCTCTTTTTCTATTGATTGGAATAGTTTCAGAAGGAATGGTACCAGTTCCTCCTTGTACCTCTGGTAGAATTCGGCTGTGAATCCATCTGGTCCTGGACTCTTTTTGGTTGGTAAGCTATTGATTATTGCCACAATTTCAGCTCCTGTTATTGGTCTATTCAGAGATTCAACTTCTTCCTGGTTTAGTCTTGGGAGAGTGTATGTGTCGAGGAATTTATCCATTGTATATCTAGAAAACCCCATTGTCTCAGCCCAAAATCTCCTTAAGCTGATAAGCAACTTCAGCAAAGTCTCAGGATACAAAATCAATGTAGAAAAATCACAAGCACTCTTATACACCAACAACAGACAAACAGAGAGCCAAATCATGAGTGAACTCCCATTCACAATTGCTTCAAAGAGAATAAAATACCTAGGAATCCAACTTACAAGGGATGTGAAGGACCTCTTCAAGGAGAACTACAAACCACTGCTCAAGGAAATAAAAGAGGATACAAACAAATGGAAGAACATTCCATGCTCATGGGTAGGAAGAATCAATATCGTGAAAATGGCCATACTGCCCAAGGTAATTTACAGATTCAATGACATCCCCATCAAGCTACCAATGACTTTCTTCACATAATTGGAAAAAACTACTTTAAAGTTCATATGGAACCAACAAAGAGCCCGCATCGCCAAGTCAATCCTAAGCCAAAAGAACAAAGCTGGAGGCATCATGCTACCTGACTTCAAACTATACTACAAGGCTACAGTAACCAAAACAACATGGTACTGGTACCAAACAGACATATAGATCAATGGAACAGAACAGAGCCCTCAGAAATAACTCTGCATATCTACAACTATCTGATCTTTGACAAACCTGAGAAAAATAAGCAATGGAGAAAGGATTCCCTATTTAATAAATAGTGCTGGGAAAACTGGCTAGCCATATGTAGAAAGCTGAAACTGGATCCCTTCCTTACACCTTATACAAAAATCAATTCAAGACGAATTGAAGACTTAAACATTAGACCTAAAACCATAAAAACCCTAGAAGAAAACCTAAGTATTACCATTCAGGACATAGGCATGGGCAAGGACTTCATGTCTAAAACACCAAAAGCAATGGCAACAAAAGCCAAAATTCGCAAATGGGATCTAATTAAACTAAAGAGCTTCTGCACAGCAAAAGAAACTACCATCAGAGTGAACAGGCAACCCACAAAATGGGAGAAAATTTTCGCAACCTACTCATCTGACAAAGGGCTAATATCCAGAATCTACAATGAACTCAAACAAATTTACAAGAAAAAAACAAACAACCCCATCAAAAAGTGGGTGAAGGACATGAACAGACACTTCTCAAAAGAAGACATTTATGCAGCCAAAAACCACATGAAAAAATGCTCACCATCACTGGCCATCAGAGAAATGCAAATCAAAACCACAATGAGATATCATCTCACACCAGTTAGAATGGCCATCATTAAAAAGTCAGGAAACAACAGGTGCTGGAGAGGATGTGGAGAAATAGGAACACTTTTACACTGTTGGTGGGACTGTAAACTAGTTCAACCATTGTGGAAGTCAGTGTGGCGATTCCTCAGGGATCTAGAACTAGAAATACCATTTGACCCAGCCATCCCATTACTGGGTATATACCCAAAGGACTATAAAACATGCTGCTATAAAGACACATGCACACGTATGTTTATTGTGGCACTGTTCACAATAGCAAAGACTTGGAACCAACCCAAATGTCCAACAATGATAGAGTGGATTAAGAAAATGTGGCACATATACACCATGGAATACTATACAGCCATAAAAAATGATGAGTTCATGTCCTTTGTAGGGACATGGATGAAATTGGAAATCATCATTCTCAGTAAACTATCTCAAGAACAAAAAACCAAACACCGCATATTCTCACTCATAGGCGGGAATTGAACAATGAGAACACATGGACACAGGAAGGGGAACATCACACTCTGGGGACTGTTGTGGGGTGGGGGAAGCGGGGAGGGATAGCACTGGGAGATATACCTAATGCTAGATGACAAGTTAGTGGGTGCAGTGCACCAGCATGTCACATGTATACATATTTAACTAACCTGCACATTGTGCACATGTACCCTAAAACTTAAAGTACAATAATAAAAAAAACCCACAAAAAAAAAAAAATTCACAAAAGATAATAAAATGAAAAGTTGGTTTCTTGAAAAGATAAACAAAATCATCAATCCTTTAACTGGACTAAGAAAAAAAGAGAGAAAACCCAAGTAAATAAAATCAGAGACAAAAAAGGAAACATTACAAGAGACATGACAGAACAAAGGATTATTAGACACTATTATGAACAACTACAGGCCAATAAATTGGAAAACCTAGAAGACATCGATACATTTTTGGAAACATGCAACTTACCAACATTGAATTATAAAAAAGTAGAAATCTTGGACAGACCAACAATGAGTAATGAGATCAAAGCAGTAATTAAGTCTCCCATTAAAGAAAAGACTGGGACCTGATGGATTCACTGCTGAAATCTATTATACAATTAAGAAAGAACTAATACCAATTCTATTCAAACTATTCCAGTAAAATTGAAAAGGAGGGAATAATTTTAAACTCATTCTTTGAGGCCAGCATTACTCTGATACCAAAACCAAACAAGCATACAGCAGCAACAAAAAAGAAAATAACAGGCCAATATCTGTGATTAACAAACATACACAGATAATGAGCAAAATGCTGGCAAACCAAATTAAACAACACATTTGAGGTATCATTTACCATGATCAACTGGGATTCATCTCATGGATTCAAACCTGGTTCAGTATATGCAAATCAGTAAATGTGATACATTAATGGAATCAAGGAAAATATGTGATCATTTCAATAGATGCTGAAAAAGTATTACTTAATATTTAGCACCCTATTATGATAAAAACTCTGAACAAACTGAGTTCAGAAGGAACATACATCAAAACAACACAGGCGATCTATGACAAACCCATGCCTACCATCATACTCAATGGGAAAAAAGTAAAAGTATTTCCCCTAAGATCTGGAACAAAACAAGAATGCCCATTTTCACTACTTTTATTCAACAAATTACTGGAAGTACCAACCAGAGCTATTAAGCAAGAGAAAGAAATAAAGAATATTCAAATTGGAAAGGGAGATATCAAAATATCCTTGTTTATGGATGACATAATTCTATATTTAGAAAAATCTAATGACTTCACTGAAAACATTAGGATGATAAAAACAAATTTAGTAAAGGTTCATAATACAAAATTAACATACAAAAATTAGTAGCATCTCTATATATTATCAGCAAGTAATTTTTTAAAATAAAAAAAGCAACCCATTTGCAGTAAGAAAACACAACAACAACAAACATGCCTAGGAATAAATTTAACCAAAGTATTAAAAGTTATCTACAATAGAAATTATTAAACACTGATGAAATAAATTGAGGAGCACACCCCAAAATTGAAAGATACCATGTGCTAGTGTATTGGAAGAATTAATATTGTTAAAATGATCGTACTATCTAAAGCTATCTACAGATTCAATGTAATCTCCATCACAAGACTAAAATTCCCCACAGAGATAGAAAAAATAATCCTATAATTTGTTTGGAACCACCAGAGGCCTGGATAGCCAAAGCAATCCTGAAAGAAAAGAACAAAGCTGGTGGTATCATACTTACTGGACTTCAAGATACACTAAACAACTTTAGTGACCCAAACTGCATGGTACTGGCATAAAAGCAGACACATAGGACCAATGGAAGAGAATAGAAAACACAGAAATAAATCCATGCACTTATAGGAAACTTCTTTTTTTTTTTTTAAATACAAAAGCACCAAGAACTTACATTGCAGAATGCACAATCTCTTCAATAAATGTTGCTGGGAAAACTGGATATCCCATATCTAGTACAATGCAGCACATTAAACTAGACTCCTATACCTCACCAGATACAAAAGTCAAATCAAAACGGATTAAAGCTGTAAATGTAAGACCTGAAACTGTAAAACTACTAAAATGAAACATTGAGAAAACACTTGAAGACATTCATCTGAGCAAAGATATTTTAGGTGAGATCTCAAAAGCACAGGCAACAAAAGCAAAAATAGACAAAGTGTATTACATCAAGCTAATTAGCTTTTGCATAGCAAAGAAAACAATAAATATAGTAAGGGAAAAACTACAGAACAGAAGAAAATATTTGCAAACTCTCCTTCTCAGGGATTAATGAAAATAATATATAAAGGAGGTGGGAGACTGGCAGAACTTGTTCTCAGATCACAACGCTGCTGACTGAAACAGGATGTGGTCCAGACAGCATAAAGTGAAGAAACCAGCAGGAACCAGCAGATGGTGATGAAAGTAATCCCTAGCTGCCCTCATTGCGCATTGACATAAGACACTCCCATCAGTGCATGACAGTTTACAAATGCCATGGCAGTAACCTGAAGTTACCACTCCTTTCCATGGCAATGATCCAAAAGTTACTGCCCCTTTCCTAGAAAGTTATATAACCTGCTCCTCAGTGTGCATTGACCTGTCCCTTAATTTGCATGTAATTGAAAGTAGGTTTAAGTAAGTATAAACACAGTTGCTAAGAGCCCATATGTTGCTTACTTTGGGTGAAATGGCTATGAGTTAGCCATGCTCCACAAGGAATAATACCATTCAATAAAAGATTGCTATCTAACACCTGTGACTCACCCTTGAATTCTTTCTTGGGCAAAGACAAAAACCCTCCCAGGTTAAGCCCCAGTTTTGGAGTTTGCCTGTCCAGGAACATAGAAACTCAAACAACTCATTAGCAAAAAAAAAAAAAAGAAAGAAAAAAAAAAGTAAAAAACAAACAAAAAATGAAACCCAAATAATCTATTTTAAATAAGGATATAATATGAATGGACATTTCATAACAGAAGACATACAAATGGACAAAAAGTTTATCTAAAATTCTCAACATAAATAATCAGTACAGAAATGCAAATCAAAACCACAATGAGATATCATCTCACCCCAATTAAAATGGCTTTTATCAAAAACACAGGGAACAACAGTTGCTGGTGAGGATATAGAGAAAGGGGTACCCTCCTCCACTTTGAAAGGAATGTGAATAAGTACAGCCACTATGAAAAGCAGTATGGAGGTTCTTCCAAAAACAAAATTGATCTACCCTATGGTTCGGCAATCCTGCTGCTGGGCAGACATATTGCAGCACTATTTACGATACCTAAGTGTTCATTAATGGATGAATGGATACAAAATGTGGTGTATATACACAAAGAAACACTATTTAGCTGTAAAAGAACAAAATTCTGTCATTTGTGGCAACATGGATGAAACTTGAGGACATTATATTAAGTGAACTAAACCAGGCACCGAACAACAAATATCATATGTTCTCACTCATGTGTGGAAACTATAAATGTTGATCTCATGAAGTTAGAGAGTAGAATGGTGGTTACCAAAGGTCAAAAACAATAGGAGAGAGAAGATAATGAAGAGAGGTTAGTTAATGAGTACAAAAATTTAGTTAGATAGAATAAGTTCAGTAGAATGGTGGTTACCAAAAGCCAAAAACAGTAAAAGAGAGGAGATTATGAAGAGAGGTTAGTTAATGAGTACAAAAATTTAGTTAGATAGAATAAGTTCTAGCATTTGATATCACAGAAGAGTGACAATAATCAACAATAATCTATTATATATTTCAAAGTAGCTAGAAGAGAAGATTTGGAATGTTCTCAACACAAAACAAATGAAAAATGTTTGAGATGTTTAATATCCAAATTACTGTGATTCGATCATTACATATTGTATCCATGTATTAAAATATCACATTATCCCATGCAATATTATATATAGAAATATATACAATGATTATGTATCAGTACAAAATTTTTAAAAAGAGAGAAGAAATTCACTCCTCCTTTAAATCCATGGTAGAATTCATCAGTAAAATTCTCTGAACCTGCAGATTTTTCTTTGTAGTAAAATATTTTTAAAGAGTATTTTTTGAGCCGGGCATGGTGGCCCATTCCTGTAATCTCAGCACTTTGGGAGGCCGAGGTGGGCAGATCATCTGAGGTCAGGGGTTCGAGACCAGCCTGGCAAACATGGTGAAACTCTGTCTCTACTAAAGATATAAAAAATTAGCTGGGCTTGGTGGCGCGCACCTGTAATCCTACCTATTTGGGAGGCTGAGGTAGGAGAATCGCTTGAACCCAGAAGGCAGAGGTTGCAGTGAGCTGAGATTGTGCCATTGCACTCCAGCCTGGGCAAAAAGAACAAAACTCCATCTCAAAAAACAAACAAACAAACAAAAAGTATTTTTCGAAAAGCCCTTTTAGCTTCACAGAAATATTATGAGAAAGGTACAAAGAGTTCTCATATACCCATCCCCCACCCCAAATGTAGCCTCCCTCATTATCAACATCCCTTTCCAAAGTGGTACATTTGTTATAATTAACAAACCGACATTAACACATCATTACCATTCAAAGGCCATAGTTTACACTAGGGTTGACCTTGTATATCCTAGGGGTTTGTATAAATGTATAATGACTTGCAACGGTGTGAATATTTGTGTCTCCCCCCCTCCAAATTCATAAGTTGAAACCTAATCTCTAATGTGATTACATTAAGAGGTGGGGTCTTTGGGAGGTGGCTAACTAGGTCATAAGGACAGAGCCTCATGAGTGGGATTAGTCCTCTTATAAAAGAGGCCTCAGAGAACTGCCTTGTCCCTTCCACCATGTGAAGACACAGTGAGAAGGGGCCATCTATGACCAGAGAGAAATGCCCTCATGAAATATAAATTCTGCAGATGCCTTGATCTTGGACTTTCCAGCCTTCAGAACTGTGAAAAATAAATTTCTGCTGTTCATAAGCCACCTGGTCTATGGTAATTTGGCATAGCAGCACAAATGGACTAAGAAAGACATATGCCCACAATTATAATAACATACTGAGTATTTTCAGTGCCATAAAAATCCTCTGTGCTCTGCTTGTTCATTTCCCCTGCCCCCAACCCCTGGCAACCACTGGTCTTTTGACTGTCTCTATAGTTTTGTCTTTTCCAGAATGTCAAATAATTGAAATTAAGGTGTGTAGCCTTTTCAGATTGATTTGTTTCACTTAGTCATATGCATTTAAGGTTCCTCCATCTTTTTTTTATGGCTTGATAATTCATTAATTTTTAGTACTAAATAATATTTCATTGTCTGGATGTACCACAGTACATTTAGCCATTCACCTAATGGAATAATCTTGGTTTCTTCAAGTTTTAGTAATTATGAACAAGGCTGATATAAAATATCCATGTGCTGGTCTTAGTGTGGACATAAGGCTTCAGCTACCTTTTGCTAAACATGAAGGAACAAAATTTCTGGATCATATGATAAGAGTGTGTCTGCTTTTATAGAAAAATCACCTGTCTTCCAATGTTGCTGTATGGTTTTGCATTCCCACCAGCAATAAATGAGAGTTCCTGTTGCCCTACATCCCTGGTAACACTTGCTGTTGTCAGTGTCAGATTCTGGCCATTCTAAGAGATGTGTAGTGGTAGCTCATTGTTGTTTTAATTTGCATTTCCCTGATGACATATGATGTAATACATCTTTTCATATGCTTATTGCCATCTGTATGTGGTGAGGTGCCTGTTAAGGTCTCTGGTACATTTTTTAATTGGGTCATGTAGACTTTTTCCTATGTTACATTCTAGTGGTTTTATAGTTTTGCATTTTATGTTGAGGTCTGTGATCCATTTTGAGTTAATTTTGTGAAAGAGGTAAGGTCTGTTTCTAGATTCTTTTGTTGGTGGTGGGAGGATGTGGATGTCCAGCTGTTGCAGTACCATTTGTTGAAGACTACTTTTTTTCCATCAAATTTGATGCTCCTTTGTCAAAGATCAATTGACTATATGTGAGTCTATTTCTACATTCTCTATTCTGTTCCATTTATCTATTTGTCTATTCTTTTGCCACTTACCATACTGTCTTTATTACTGTAGTTTTCTAATAAGTCTTGAAGTCAGATAGTGTTCTTATTCTTCAGTCTTATGTTGGCCATTCTGTGTGTTTTGTCTCTCATATAAACTTTAGAATCAGTTTGTTAATATCTGCAAAATAAATTTCTGAGATTTTCATTGGGATTGCATTGATTTAGGATAAAAATTTTAACTGTAGGTTTAAATATTTTAATAGATAAGGGCTACCCAGATTATCTATGTCTTCTTAAATGAGCGTTGGTAGTTTATGTCACTCCATAATTTTATTTATTTTACATAAGTTGTCAAATTTGTCGGTGCAAAATTGTTTATTATATATTATTTTTAATATCTTATAGTCTATAGTAATATCTACTCTCTCATTCCTGATATTGTTAATTTGTGTCTTTTCTCTCTTTTCTCATTCTGACTAAAGATTAATTAACTTCATTGATCTTAAAAACTAACTTTTGGTTTTATTAATTTTTTATAGTTTTTACATCTTTTAAAAATTTATGTTCTGATTTGTATTATTTCTTCTTATTAATTTTTGTTTAATTTACTCTTATTTTTCTTATTTCTTAAAATATAAGCTCAGATCAGTGATTTGAAACCTTCCTTCTTTTCCAAGAAGAGGTATTTAGTGCTATATTCTCTCTCAATAGTGCTTTAGTTGCATTCCACACATTTATATTTTGTGTTTTTAACTCCTTTAAAGTACAATATAATTTATCTTTTGATGTTTCTTTGCCTCATGAGTTGTTTAGAAGTGTCCCACTTAATTTCCAAATATTTTGGAGATTTTCCAGATATCTCTCAGTTGTTGATATCTAAATTAATTTCATATGGTCAGAGAGCATATGTTGTATAAGTCAAACCCCTTTAAATTTACTGAAATATGTTTTATGACTAAAACATGATCTAGTTTGGAAAATGTTCCATGTGCACTTGAGACGAATGTATATGCTTGTTATTTGGGGGTGGCATGTTCTGTAAATGGCTATTAGATCATGTTGTTTGACAGCACTTTTCAAGTCTTCTATATCCTTACTAATGTTCTATAATTTGTTGAGGAAAAGATATTAATTTTTACTATAATTGTTGAATTGTCTGTTTCTCTTGCAGTTCTATCAGTTTGGGCTTCATGTTTTCTGAAGTTGTCATGAGGTGCATAAAAGTTTTCGATGGCTATGTCATCGTGATTATAGGACTATATATTATTATAAAATAACCTTCCTCATCTCTAAAATTATCCCTAATATTCTTTGCTCCAATATATACTTCAGTTGATATTCATATAGCCATTTCATTTAACCTTTCTTTTAATTATGATTACCATGGTATATTTTTTCCATCTTTCCACTTTTAATTTATTTCTGTCTTTATATTTAAAGTGAGTTTCTCATAGGCATCATATAATTGGTTCTTGCTTTTTAGTCCAACCAAACAATAGCATGTACTGTAATTACTAACATATTTGAGTTTAAATCTGTCATCCTCTTGTTTTCTATTTGCTCCACTTGTTTTTTGCTCCCCTTTTTTTCTCTTTATGCTTTGTTTTTGGATTAAGTGAGCATATTTTATAATTCCATTTTATCTCCTTTGTTGGTTTATTAGCTATACATTTTTATTATATTATTTTAATGCTTTCTTTAGGGTTCATGGTGTACAATTTTAATTTATTATACTCTACCTTAGAGTAATCTTATATAAAAGTTACACACTCTAAAGTTCAGAGCCTCAATAGTATACTTATTTTTCCCCTACTGGCCTTTTGGATATTATTGTCATACATTTTATTTCTATATATGTTATAAATTCTACAACATATTGCTATTACTTTAAATGGTAATTTTTTAACAGTGTGAAATAATTAGAAATGCATATTTTATATTTGCACGTAAAGTTATTTTTCTTTTGTTTATATCTAGACTTCCACCTGGTACCATTTTTCTTTAGCTTGGGGAATTTCTTTAAAAATATTTATTTTAGTACAGGTCAGCTGGGGATGAATTCTTTCAACTTTTGTATGTTTGAAAAAGTTTTTATTTAACCTTTGATTTTGAAAATACTGTTTTGATGAGTTCTGAATTTTGTTATGGCAGTTGATTTTTTCTTGCCCTTCAGTAGTTTGAAGCTGCTCCACTGTCTTTGACTTACATTATTTTCAAGCGGAAATCGTCTGTAATCCTTACTGATCTTCATCTATACATAATGTTTATTCTGATTGCTTTTAACATTTCCGTTTATAACTAGTTTTAAGTAAATTTTGAAAAATTTTGCAAATTTTTGTTTCAAGAATTTCTTTCTATTCTTAACTCTCCTCTTCCTCAATGATTCTAAGTACAAGTATATTAGGCAGATTGAATTTGTCCTACAGATCACTGATGTTATGTTTTCTGCCTTTTAAAAAATCTTCCCCACTTTATTTATTTGGGATAATTTTCATTGCTATGTCTTAAAGTTCACTAATCTTTTCTTCTGCAAAGTCTAATGTGCTATTAATTTCACCCAGTAAAATCTTATCTCAAACATTATGTTTTTCATCTTTATAATTTTAATTTTTTTCTCTTATATATCTTCCATATTTTTGCTTAACTTGTTTATGATTTTCCCTGGCTTCCAAATTATATCAAATGCAATTAAAGAAACAAGTTTATGTATTAGTCCGTTTCCATATTGCTATAAAGAACTGTCCAAGACTGGTAACTTATAAAGAAAAGAAGTTTAATTGATCACAGTTAAGCATGGCTGGAGAGGCCTCAGGAAACTTAAAATCATGGTGGAAGTTGAAGGGGACCAAGGAATCTTCTTCACCAGGCAGCAGGAAGAAGTGCTGAGCAGTGCGGGGAAGAGCCCCTTATAAAATCATCAGATATAGTTGAGAACTCACTATCATGAGAACAGCATGGGGGAAACTGTCCCCGTGATTCAATTACCTCCACTTGGTCTATCCCTTGACACGTGGGGATTATGGGCATTATGGGGGTTACAATTCAAGATGAGATTTGAGTGGGGACACAAAGCCTAACTATATCAGTTTATATCATGGTTTATTAATTTTATTATTTTTGTCATTTCTATGTCAGTTTTAATTTACTAATTTTTATTTCTCTAGCCCTGAGTAGTTTTCTCAAACACATTCACTGATTGGAAGACAAGAAGAGATATTCCGCACATCTCTGAAGTTCTCTGTCTGTGACCTTTCTTCTTTCTGATACTTTGCTTTAGTAATTCTTGCTATCTTTTGTCTTCCTGTACTCCCATCTCTATTTCTTCAATGCACAGAGACTCCTGGGATCCACTTGAGTTACGCTTTCAAGTGCTATGGCCTAAAAACTCTCTTCATGCAATAAGATGGTAATCAGAGGACTCAACTCACTCATTTCCCATCTCTCATTATGACTCTTCTTTATTGCCCAATGTAAAATATTTTAAAAACCATTTATTAATATTTTGTTCAACGTTTTAGTTGTTTTACAGGAAGGCAAATCTCACTCCTGTTATTCCATCTTGGCAATTAGCAGAAGTTAATTATAACACCCTCCAAACTAACCATACTGTTCTAGTTTATTCTAATAAAAAGAAAATAACAATAACAGTAGCAACAACAAAATATGTATTGAGACCTAAATTATGTTGGGAGAATGCAGGATATTTGTGACAAGAATATGAAGAACTCATAGGCTCATCTTTAAAATGATCAGAATTTATTCCTTTCTAAATGTGTCTTTGAATGGATGAATTTCTACAAAACAGTATAAGGAAAACCATCTTTCTAAAACCCATCTAGGATTATGCTATCTTCTAAAAACCTATAATGCCCCCACAAACTATTTATCATGGTATACAATGTCTTCTGTGAGCTGTGTTTCTAAGTAAACATCACAGCTTAGCCTCCCTCAGTGGGTTATTATATACAGGGTATTTTTTACTATATTTCTGTAATATCTAGCAGAGTAGCTACATAAAATATAAGTTCACTAAATATTTGAGTGTATAAAATTACCCACTACAAAAAAATTAGAAAATAATCAATACAACAAGGAGAAATAATTTATTTTAAATTTAAAAAAATTCAGTATGAATTAAAGAATAAGGTGGCAATGAAAAAAATGAGATGGGCAAAACAGAGAGGAGTAGCTGGGTAGGTCACATTGGTCAAAAAAGATTGAAGAGGACAGAGTTGGAGCAAAGAAGGAGAATTATAAATAGGTGATGTGGATGAAATGAGAGAGAATGCCCAAAGTCTTGCAAAAAAACAAGACACGCAGACACACACACAAGAAAGGAAAAGGTAAAAAAAGAAAAAAAAAAAAAAAGAATGGGAAATCCAAGGAGATAAAGGCAAAGAAAAGAGAGAGCCCTGTGACGTAAATGATGATAGCAGAAGAAAACCAATGAACAAAAGTTAACATTTGTAACCATCTTTAATAATGACATGTATTCGTTGCTATATATGACTAAGTTGGCTTACCAAGATTAAGGTCACTCTATGTTTTAGTGTTCCAGTTATAAAACAAAAGTCACAAAAATCATGCCCTTAGTCTTAAGAATTTAGTTGGTATTTTCTATAGCTTATGGGACAAAGACCAGAAAATGATTTATATTTCACAACCCAATTTCTGGTTTATCTCTGAAATTTGAATGTATTTTTGTGTTTTTGATTGTTTTTTCTTTTTGAAAAATATACTTCAGTTGAACAAAATTTAACCTGGGCCTTTTACTCAAACACTTTAGAATACAGACTGTGTTGAAATTTGTGATATGATTAGCAATAGCAAAGCCACAACTCAATGACTGTGCTCATTGAAACATTAAGATTTGAATCAATAAAAGGCACAATTGAAAATGCATCTCGATAAGAATGAAGTTTAAAATTGCTTGAAGAGCTAATGGTGTGTGATTCTGAGAATGAAATGCCTTAAGAAATGTTCCACCTATTATTAATTTTAGGTTTGAATTTGGGACAAATACTCTAGATAGACAAGAGAAATTTTTGAAGAAAAAAAAATCTGAAAACACATAAGGTTGTTTGAAGAATTGTCCTATGGCAGAACAACTGCTTTTCAGTTTGATTCCAAACAAAAATGACTTCCTATTTGTGGAAAGATGAGTTCATAGCAATGGGTAAAATAATGTCTTTTGGGAATAACCTTGGCTACTTACGATTTCAGCCAAAAACACCCTCCTCCAAATGACCAGGCATATTGCGTGGGAAGGTGAAATGACAGAGACAAGCCCTGGCCCTGAGCCTGCAAGTCCAGCCATATCCACACCTCCCTAAAATCTCCCTGGGAATTGAGCTGCTCTCTATTCAATCACAGACACAGCATTATCTTTGAAGAACAACTTGGAGCTTAGCACTGCTCAAGAGGCCTTTGGGGACCTGGCTGAAGCCTACTCACCAAATATCCTTTCCCCTTCTTCCTTGGCCTTTACAATGTGTTATGTGCTCCTGTCATACTGAACTAAACTACTGCAGCACTGAAGAAGGCTGCACGCACATTTACAGACTTCGAAAACGGCACCACCTTGTTCTCTACTTAGAATTCCCTTCCCTTCTCCTTTCCTATCACCAGACAGGCAAACTTGAAATGTCCCTTTGAGACATCTCAAATGCCACTTCCTTTACACAGACTTTCTTCATATCAGCCTCAACTGCTCCTCTTCCCCAAAGATACCCTTACCAGGTAGGGCTCAATTAAGACTCTTGAGGGCCTGACCCATAAAACAACTATGCAGCATTCTTATGTATGGCAAAATATTACTAAATTAGAAAATAAACAGAAAGGAATTCAAACAAGTTATGGATTTTCCCAGATAACCTCAACTCTTTTTAGAAAATGCATCACATTTATAAAGACCATGTCTTTTCTCTTCTTGTGTCTTACGGTATTTATCTAAGTGATGATTACATAGAAAGTGCTCAACAATGGCCTGTAGAGTAAAATAATGAAACATTACATATTTTTACCTGCACAATAATAGCCATTTTTCTTCTAAAAAACTGACATTTTATTAAATCCAGCTGATCCTTAATTTTTTACAATTACATTTTAAGGTTTTTCTTTGATTCCTTTTTTTTTTTTTTTTTTTTGAGACGGAGTTTTGCTCTTGTTGCCTAGGCTGGAGTGCCATGGCACAATCTCGGCTCACGGCAAACTCTGCCTCCCGAGTTCAAACGATTCTCCTGCCTCAGCCTTCAGAGTAGCTGAGATTACAGGCATGGCCACCATGCCTGGCTAATTTCGTATTTTTAGTAGAGACAAAGTTTCTCCATGTTGGTCAGGCTGGTTTCGAACTCCTGACCTCGTGATCTGCCCGCCTTGGCCTCCAAAAGTGTTGGGATTACAGGCGTGAGCCACTGTGCCCAGCCCTTTATTACTATCTTTAATAGTAATAAAAGGCATAATAATTGTAAATATTTATAGGGTACAGTGTGCTCTGATCTTTATTATTTCTTTTCTTGTATTAATTTTAGGCTCAGTTTGTTCTTGCTTTTCCAGTTCATTGTTAGGTTTTTTATTTGAATTTTTTCTACTTTTTTGATGTAGGTTATTGCTATAAACTTCCCTTTTAATTCTGCTTTTGCTGTATTCTATAGGTTTTGGTATGTTGTAAACACAACATACTTTCATTTTTTCAATGCATTTTAAAATTTTTCTTAAATTTCTTCATCAAACCATTGGTTGTACAGGTGATGTTGTTTAAATTCCATGTATTTGTACAATTTTACAAGTTCCTATTGTTATTAATATCTGGTTTTATCCCACTGTGATCAGAAAAGATACTTGATACAATTGCAATTCTTTACATTTGTTGAGACTTATTTTGTGGCCTGACATGTGGTCTATCCTGGAAAATTTTCTATTTGGTGATGAAAAGAATATGTATTCTGAACCCATTGAATGAAATGTTTTATAAATTGTAAATTTATATTATAAATTTATAAATGAAATGTTTTATAAATGTACTGTTAGGTACATTTGGTCTAAAATGCATTGTAAATCCAATGTTTTTTTGTTGTCATCAACGTTATTGTTATATAATAACCTTGTCTCTTTTACAGTTTTTGTCTTAAAGGCTGTTTTATCTTATATAAGCATAGCTACTCCTGCTTGCTTTTGGTTTTCATTTGTGTGGAATACCTTTTTTTTTTTTTGCATCCTTTTATTTTATGTGTCTTTACATGTAAAGTTTTGTGTTAGCAGCATATAGTTGGGTTATGTTTTTTTCATCCATTCAGCTACTCTATGCTCTTTAAGGGGGGAATTTGATCCATTTACATTCAATGTTATTATTGATATATGAGAACTTACTCCTGTCATTTTGTTAACTGTTTTCTGGTTGTGTTGTATATCCTGATTTAAAAATTTTTATTTCTTTTTTCATTGGTGCTTTTCTGTAGTTACAAGGTTTGATTATTTTCTCTTTTCCTTTTTGTATCTTCCCTATTAGTGAGTTTTATACTTCTGTGTGTTTTCATGATAGTGATTATCAATTCCAGATGTAGGACTCCCTTGAGTATTTCTTGAAAGGCTGATCTATGGGGATGAATTCCTCCAATGTTTGTTTGCCAGGGGAAGGTTTATTTTTCTCTTATTTCGAAATAATAGCTTTGCTGGGTGCAGTATTCTTGGCTAACATTTTGTTTAGCACGTAGTATACATCATTCACATCTCTACTGGCCTGTAACACTTCTGTGGAGAAATCGGTTTAGTCTAATAGGGATTCCCTTAAATGTGTCTTGACACTTTTCTCTTGCTAGTTTTAGAATTCTCTTTGCCTTTGACTTTTGACCCTTTGATTATAAGGTTCCCAGAACAGACATTTTTAGGTTCAATCTATTTGGACACCTTTAAACTTCCTCATTCTGGATGTTCATATCTCTCCCTAGACTTGGGAATTTGAATTTTTAGGTATTATTTCATTGAATAAGTTTCCTGTGTCTTGTCTCTTCTTCTGAAATTCCAATATGAATATTTGTTCACTTAATAGTGTTCCATAAGCCTTATAAACAGTCTTCACTCTTTCTAAATCTTTTCTTTTCTTTTTCTCTGGCTGGATTATTTCAAATAGTCTATTTTAAAGTTTAGAGATTCTTCTGCTTGATCATATCTGTCTGCTGTTAAAGCTGTCTGTAGTATTTATTCTTTATTGAATTCTTCAGCTGCATTATTTCTATTTCTTTTTTATAATTTTTAGTTCTTTGTCAAATTTCTTATTCATAAAACTGTTAATTTCTTTACTGATTTTCTTGAATTGTTTATCTATATTTTGTTGTATCTCATTGAATTTTCCTGAGGTCATTATTTTCAATTTATTTTCTGACAATTTTTTAATTTTTTCATTGGAATCTGTTATTGCAGAGTTATGTTCTTTTGGTGGTGTAATGTTTCCTTGTTTTTTCATGTTTTTGTGTCTCAGTGTTGATGTCTGTGCATCTAGTGAAACAATCATCACTTCCAAAATTTTCATAGTGGTTTTTATAGAAAAAGACTTTCACTTGCAGTTAGGTTTTAGTGTACAAGTTTGGAAGGATATAGTGACATTGTTTCTGAATAGGTGCAGTGGTATAGTCTTCATGCAGCTTCTTCATCTGTGTTCAATATAAACAATAATTGTGGACACTTCAGTGGTCTAGGCTGTAGAAATATGTGGCAGTGGCAGTGTTGGCTGGGTCATTAATTTCCTTGGTGTCAAGGACTTTTGAGGTCCTCCTATTCTTGTTTTCCCCACAACAGAAAAACTTAGCTAAGGGACTACCTCTTGATTTATACATGGCCTATGAGCAGCTTCAGCAGTGCTGGGCTCCAAATACGGATGTTCAAAGTAGCTGTGGGTCTGGGGTCCTAGGCTTAGACTCTAATTAATCTATTGTGGCACCTGACTCTTGGGGTACAAGTTCATTCCCTGTGGCAGGATTGAATGCAGGTTGCTCATAGAACCAGAATCTGTGATTCTGAGAGCCCCCTAGCAGCTTGGGCCCAGGAACCCAGTTACAGCTGTGATTCTATGCCTGGAATGTAGGATATAGCACTGGCCTGTCTCTGGGGCAGAAAGGGTGTTCTGGAGGTTTGGGCTCAGAGGGCAGGTATGTCTGTAGTTTTTGCAAGCTGAGCCAATAGAGTTTGATGGCAACTCAGGTCCTAGAGGATGAGGCACCATGTAGAAGGGACTCTAGACCCTGGGATGGAGGAGCTGATCAGTATCCTAGACTCTGTGAGGGAGAGGTATAGCAGCAGCAAGTACCCCAAGTACCCCAGAATGATGAAGCACAGCTGTTTTGGGGCCTTTCATTTCTTATTCTTGAACTTTGCATTGAATAGAGCCTCCAATACCATGTTGTATGGAAGTGGTAAGAGCAGCCATCTATCATTCTCATCTTAAAGGGAAAGCATGTAGTCTTTCAAGTAACATTAAGCACAATGTTAGCTGTAGGATTTTCTTAGATGGTCTTCATCAGCTTGAGGAAGTTCCCTTCTATTCTTAGTTTGTAGACTTTTTTTTTTTTATCAGGGTTACAGTATTATTTTGTTAAATCCTTGTTCTTTGTCTATCGAGAAAATAATATGGATGTCCTTTTTAGTCTGTTAACATGGTGAATTGCATTGATTGAATTTTAAATTTATTTCTGTATTCCTAGAATAAATCTTATTTTAATAGTATATTATATTTTTATAGATAGGTGAATTCAATTAGTTAAAATCATATAAGAAATTTTAGCATCTATATGAATGAGAAATACAGTTTTCTCTTGTGTAATACCTTTGGTTTTGGTAGCAGGATAATGCTGGCCTCATTAGATAAGCCTGGGGATTTTTCCTTCATCTTGGATTTTTTTGAGAGAATATGTATACAATAGGTATATTATTTATCTTAAATATTTGGTAAACTTCATTAATAAAGTTATTTGAGCATAGAGTTTTCTTTGTAATAGGTTTTTAAATTGCAAATTCAATTGCTTTAAGAGATACAGTGTTATTCAAGTTATTTCTTCTTAAATAAGCTTTGGCAGTTTGTGTCTGTCAAGGAATCTCATCTAAGCTTAAAAACGTATAGGCATAATTTCTTTATTCTTTCATTACTATTTAACATCTGTAGAATGTTTAGTAATGGCATATCCCTCATTCTTGATATTGATCATTTGTGTCTTCTTTTTCATCAATCTGAGTGGAAATGTATAAATTTTGTTGATCTGCTCTAACAACTAGCTTTTGCTTTTACTATTGTTTCTCTGTTTTCTATTTCATTGATTTTTGCCCAATTTTACAATTTTGTGCTTTTCTGCTTACCATATAAGTTTAATTTTACCTTACTCTATTCTTAAGGTAGACATTCAGGTAATTTATTTGATAACTTTTTCTTGTGATACAAATTTCTAGTGCTATAATTTCCCCTTAAGTATTGTTAATACAGGTACTACAATAAACAGGGGAATGCAGGTATCTCTTTGATATACTGATTTACTACCTCTTGGGTATATACCCAGCAGTGAGATTGCCCACCACCTGATCCTAGGGCAAACTTGTATCCTCCCTATGAAACCACAGCTCATGAACTCTTGAAAGCACCTCTTCTTGGCTGGAGGTCAACCGACACAAAACCAGCACACTTAACAAAAATACAACTAAGGACCCTCACAGAGTCCACTTCACACCCCTGCTACCTCCACCAGAGCAGGTGATGGTATTCAGGGCTGAGAGACATGAAGACAGACCATATCACAGGACTCTTTGCAGACACTCCCCAGTACCAGCCAAAGCCAGTAGCTCACTGGGTGGTTAGATCCAGGGGAGAAATAACAATCACTGCTGTTTGGCTCTCAGGAAGCCTCATTCCTAGGGGAAATGGAAGAGGACTACATCAAGGGAGCACCCACAGGACAAAATAATCTGAACAGCAGCCTTTGAGTGCCAAATCTTCCCTCTGACATAGTCTACCTAAATGAGAAGGAACCAGAAAAACAATTCTGGTAATATGAAAAAACAAGATTCTTTAACACCCCCAACAGATTACACTAGCTCACCAACAATGGATCCAAACCAAGACAAAACCTCTGAATTGACAGAAAAAGAATTCAGAAGGTTGACTATTAAGCCAATCAAGGAGGCACCAGAGAAAGGTGAAGTCCAACTTAAAGAAATCAAAGAAATAATACAAAATATGAATGGAAAAATCTCAAGTGAAATAGATAGCATAAATAAAAAAAATCACAACTTCTAGAATGAAGGACACACTTATAGAACTACAAAATGCACTGGAAAGTACAATCAATAGAATTGAAAAAGTAGAAGAAAGAACTTCAGAGCCCAAAGATAAGGATTTTGAATTAACTCAATCTGAAAAAGAAAATAAAAAAGAATTAAAAAAGAAACAAAGCCTCCAAGAAGTTTAGAATTATGTTAAACAACCAAACCTAAGAATAATTGGTGTTCCCAAGGAAGAAGAGATATCTAAAAATTTGGAAAACCTATTTGAGAGAATAATCAAGGAAATCTTCCCTGACCTTGCTAGAGATTTAGACATCAAAATACAAGAAGGTCAAAGAACACCTGGGAAATTCATCACAAAAACGTCATTGCCTAGGCAGATAGTCATCAGGTTATCTAAAGTCATGAAAAGAATCTTAAGAGCTGTGATGCAAAAGCATCGGGTAAGCTCTAAAGGAAAACCTATCAGGTTAACAGATTTCTCAGCAGAAAAGCTATAAGCTAGAAGGGATTGGGGTCCTATTTTAAGCCTTCTTAAATAAAACAATTATTAGCCAAGAATTTTGTATCCAGTGAAACTAAGCTTCATAAATGAAGAAAAGATACAGTCCTTTTCATACAAACAAATGCTGAGAGAATTTACACTACCAAAACAGCACTGCAAGAACTGCTAAAAGAAACTCTAAATCTTGAAACAAATCCTTGAAAAACACCAAAATAGAGTCTCCTTAAAGTGTAAATATTACGGGACCTATACAACAACAACACAATGAAAAAAAAAGTATTCAGGCAAGAAATAGCACCATGAATAGAATAGTGCCTCACTTTGTAATACTAAAATTGAATGTAAATGGCCTAAATGCTCCACTTAAAAAATACACATTGGCAGAATCAGTAAGAACTCACCAACCAAGAATCTGCTGTCTTCAAGAGATTCACCTGACACATAAGAACTCACATAAACTTAAGGTAAAGGGGTGTAAAAAAGATATTCCATACAAATGGACACTAAAAGCAAGCAGGAGTCGCTATTCTTAAATCAAACAAAACAAACTGTAAAGAAACAGAAGTTAAAAAAGACAAAGAGGGGCATTATATAATGATAAAAGGACTAGTCCAACAGAAAAATATCACAATCTTAAATATATATGCACCTAACACTGGACCTCCCAAATTTATAAAACAATTACTACTAGAATGAAGGAATTAGATAGACAGCAACACAATAATAGTGGGGGACTTCAATACTCCAGACAGCACAAGACAGGTCATCAAGATAAAAAGTCAACAAAGAAAAAATGGACTTAAACTATACCCTAGAACAAATGGACTTAACAGATATTTACAGAACATTCTATCTGACAACTTCATAATATACATTCTAATCATCAGCCATATGGAACATTCTCCAAGACAGACCATGTGATAGGCCACAAAACAAGTCTCAACAAATTTGAGAAAACTGAAATTAGAGCAAGTATTTTCACAGACCACAGTGGAATAAAATTGGAAATCAACTCCAAAAGAACCCTCAAGATGAAAATTTAAAAATTCTTTGAACTGAATGATAATAGTGACACAACCTATCAAAACCTCTGGGACACAGCAAAGGTGGTGCTAAGAAGCAAGTTCATAGCATTAATCGCCTACATCAAAAAGTCTGAAATAGCACAAATAGATAATCTAAGGTCACACCTCAAGGAACTAGAGAAAGAAAAACAAACCAAATCCAAACCCAGCCGAAGAAAAGAAATGACCAAGATCAGAGCAGAACTAAATACAATTGAAACAAAAAATACAAAAGATAAAAGAAACAAAAAGGTGGTTTCCTAAAAAGATAAATAAAATTGATAGATTATTAGCAAGATTAACAAAAAAAAGAAAAGATCCAAATAAGCTCAATTAGAAATGAAACAGGAGCTATTACTACTGATATCACAGAAATACAAAAGATCATTCAAGGCTACTATGAACACCTTTACACACATAAACTAGAAGACCTAGAGGAGATGGATAAATTCCTGGATGTATACAACCCTCCTAGATTAAGTCAAGAAGAAATAGAAACTCTGAACGGACCAATAACAAGCAGTGAAATTAAAATGGTAATTAAAAACTTAACAAAAAAAAAAAAAAAAAAAAAAAAAAGGTCCAGGACCAGACAGAATCACAGTTGAATTCTATCAGACATTCAAAGAAAAATTGCTACTAATCCTATTGACACTATTTCAAAAGAAAGAGAAAGAAGGAATTCTCCTCAAATTATTCTATAAAGCCAGTATCACCCTAATACCAAAATGAGGAAAGGATATTAAAAAAAACTACAGACCAATATCCCTGATGAGTATAGGTACAAAAATTCTCAACAAAATACTACCTAACCAAATCCAACAGCATATCACAAAGACAATCCATGATAATCAAATGGGTTTCATATCAGGTATGCAGGGATGGTTTAACATACACAAGTCAATAAATGTGATATACCACATAAAAAGAATTAAAAACAAAAATCACATAGTCATCTCAATAAATGCAGAAAAGCGTTCAACAAAATCCAGCATCCTTTTATGATTAAAACCCTCAGCAAAATCAGCATAGAAGGGACATACCTTAATGTAATAAAGCCATCTATGACACACCCACAGCCAACATTATACTGAATGGGAAAAAAATGAAAGTATTTCCCCTGAGAACTGGAACAAGACAAGGATGCCCACTTTAACCACATCTATTCAACATAGTACTGGAAGTCCTAGCCAGAGCAATCTTACAAGAGAAAGAAATAAGGGGTATCCAAATTGGTGAAGAGAAAGCTGAACTGTCACTCTTTGCTGATGATGTAATTGTATACCTAGAAAACTCTAAAGAGTCATACAAAAAGCTCCTAGAACTGACAAAAAATTCAACAGTGTTTTAGAATACAAAATTAATGTATACAAGTCAGCAACACTGCTATACACCGACAGCAACCAAGCTCAGAATCAATTCAAGAACTCAACCTTTCTTACAATAGCTGCAAAAAATAATATACTTAGAAATATATCTAACCAAGGAGGTGAAAGACCTGTACAAGGAAAACTACAAAACACTGCTCAAAGAACTTATATACAACACAATTAGAAACACATCCATGCTCATGGATGGACAGAATCAGTATTGTGAAAATGACCATACTGTCAAAAGCAGTCTACAAATTCAATGCAATTCTCATCAAAACACCACCATCGTTCTTCAGAGAACTAGAGAAAAACAATCCTAAAATTCATATGGAACAAAAAAAGAGTGCACATAGCAAAACAAGACTAAGAAAAAAGAACAAATCTGGAGGCATCACACTACCCAACTTTAAACTATAAGACCATAGTCACCAAAACAGCAATGTACTGGTATAAAAATAGGCAATAGACCAATGCAACAGAATAGGGAATCCAGAAATAAACCCAAATACAATCAGCTGATCTTCAGCAAAGCAAGCAAAAACAGAAAGTGGGGATAGGACACCCTAATCAACAAATGGTGCTGGGATAATTGGCAAGCCACATGTAGAGAATGAAACTAGATCCTTGTCTCTTACCTTATACAAAAATCAACTCAATATGGATCAAGGACCTAAATCAAAGCATGAAACCATAACAATTCTAGAAGATAACATTGGAAAAACCCTTCTAGACACTGGCTTAGGCAAAAACTTCATGACCAAGAACCCAAAAGCAAATGCAACAAAAACGAATATAAATAGATGGGACTTAATTAAACTAGAAAGCTTCTACACAGCAAAAGGAACAGTCAGCAGAGTAAACAGAAAAACCAGAGTGGGAGAAAATCTTCACAATCTATACATCTGACAAAGAACTAATATCCAGAATCTACAATGAACTCAAACAAATTAGCAAGAAAAAAATCAAACAATTCTATCAAAAAGTGGGCTAAGGACATGAATAGACAATTCCCAAAATAAGATATACAAATGGTCAACAAACATATAAAAAAATGCTCAGCATCACTAATTATCACGGAAATGCAAATCAAAACCACAATGCAATACCACCTCACTCCTGCAAGAATGGCCATATTCAAAAAATAATAGATGTTGGCATGGATGTGGTAAAAAGGGAACAGTTTTACACTGCTGGTGGGAATGTAAACTACTACAACCACTATGGATAACAATGTGGAGATTCCTTAAAGAACTAAATGTGCATCTACCATTTGATTCAGCAATCCCATTGCTGGGTATCTAACCAGAGGAAAACAGGTCATTATATGAAAAATATACTTGCACACACATGTTTATAGCAGCACAATTTGCAATTGCAAAAATGTGGAACCAACCCAAATGCCCATCAATCAAGTGGATAAAGAAAATGTGGCATATATATACCATGGAATACTACTCAGTCACAAAGGAATGATATAATGGCATTTGCAGCAACCTGGATGGAATTGGAGACCATTATTCTAAGTGAAGTAACTCAGGAATGGAAAACCAAACATTGTTTGTTCTCACTGATATGTGGGAGCTAAGCTATGTGGACTCAAAGGCATAAGAATCATACAATAGACTCTGGGGACTCAAGGGAAGGGGTATGAGGGGTGTGAGGGATAAAAGATTACACATTGGGTACAGTGTACACTGCTTAGGTGATGGGTGCACCAAAATCTCAGAAATCACCACTGAAGAACTTATTAATGCAATCAAACACCACCTGTTCCCCCAAAACCTATTGAGATAAATAAACAAATAAAAATAAAGGTTTTTACTCTGGCTGAGGGGAACATAAATTATTCCCAGTCATGTGTGAGCTCCAGGGATTACTTATACTCAGCCTTTTGAGTAGATTTTTCTCCGTCATGGGTAGTATCTTCATAAAAATATGCTGCTTAATACTCAGGACCCTTGGCATATCCTCAGAACTCTTTCTCTATGCAGATCTCTCCTCTCAGGTATTTTAATTTTTAACTCTAGCCATGTTGACTCATCCAGTGTATTAGTCCATTCTCATACTTCTGTGAAGAAATACCCAAGACTGGGTAATTTGTAACCAAGGAAGCTTTAATTGACTCACATTTGCACATGGCTGGGGAGGCCTCAGGAAACTTACAATCATGACAGAAGAGGAAGCAGGCATCTTCATCACAAGGTGGCAGGAGAGAGAGTGAGCGCGCAGGAACAACTGTCAAACACGTATAAAACCATCAGATCTTGTGAGAACTCCCTCATTATCATGAGAACAGCATGGAGAAATTGCCCTCATGATCCAATCACCTCCCACCAGGTCCCTCCCTTGACACTTGGGGATTATAATTCAGATTACAATTCAAAATGAGATTTGGGTGGGGACACAGAGCCAAACCATATCACCTAGACACCAATCTTCATCTTCTCCACTCAATGAGTTTGCTGGTTTCTGTGTGGCTTCCCTCTCTCCCTGTGCTTTAGTCCAGAAACTCTCTCCAGGAAGTAAGCTAGTGAAGTTATATGGCTCACCTATTTGTCCTTCTTCTCTCAGTGATCATTGCTCTGTGCCACCTGATGTTTGTTAACAGATGTTTCATGTATTTTGTCTATGTTTTTAGTTGGTTTGATGAGAGAATAAATCTAGCCACTATTACTCAATTTTGCCTAGAAATAAGAATCCCAATATTCTCTGTACTCTCAGATGTTACTTTTCACACAATTTAACACATTTTAATATGCATCTGACTATGACACAATTTTTAGTTTAATATCAGTTCCAAAATATAACCTAAGTTACCTAATATTCTTAGTCTAAATGGCCTCGTTTTTGTAAGTGATATGGTTGGACCACATCAGTGGCATTCACCTTTCTATCTCCTCCAATAGATCTGAGTAATATTACAGAGATTCTCTCTGGGGGGATGATTCTCAGTATTTGGGGAGT
Source organism: Homo sapiens (assembly GCF_000001405.40). NCBI lineage: Eukaryota > Metazoa > Chordata > Mammalia > Primates > Hominidae > Homo > Homo sapiens. Next base: position 111,413,742 of record NC_000003.12, read on the forward strand.
GGATTGGTGTTCACTATCTTCATGAAATATAATAAAGGGGATTGTGTACTTTGGGAATATAAAGAAGTCTTTGGTGGGATGCATCTATTTCCTCAACTGACACTCTGAAGTAGATGATTCAATTCTAGGAACATCTATTGAACAACTTGAGTATTATATGAAACCATGTTCAGTTCCGTGAAAAGGGGAAATATTACTAAGACTGGTTTCATATCCCTAAATATTATATAATAAATAGTGGTAACCTCTAAAGTTCTGTTACTAAAAATGTCTGAAAATTATTATGAGAGTTGGGAAAATATATAATTGATATCAGAATACTAGAACTCATTGCATTAACAAAATTTGTTTCTAGTAGTCCAGATTTTTCAGATCACAAAAATGCAGAGGTACATGATGTGGTAGTCTGCATTGCCAACTAACATCTGGAAGAGTTCTTTAGGTCTCTGGTAATGGCCAAATAATCTAATCGATAGAAAACGATACATCATTTTGTATTTTTATGTTTTACAAATGTATTTTCAAATCTCAAACTCTCTAAGTCTCAAACTCCTCTAAATCTAAATTATAAATCTCAAACTCCTCTAAATATGTTAAAAAGATCCGTATACTTGTGAAAATTCACAGCCAATGGTATTTATCTATAATTCATTGACTCAAACACAAGAGCTAATTTGTCTGTATTATGCTTTAGAGACAGTTAATCACTGACACTATTTTTTTGCAATAAACTAGAATAGCTCAGTAATTTTCCCACTTAGTAGACTTTTTATTTCTTACCTACGTATCTAATATAATTAATGCATTTATGGATTAACTGTCTCAGACTGTGAAACAGCTGGTGCAGAAAACCTACTAATCACTAATTACTGTAGATTCCTTCTGGAAAATAACTTTCAATGTGCAGACCCAGGGGTTTCTAATCTAGTTAAAGGATTTCCAAGTGGGATGTGCAGCACTTCAGCCAATCTGTACAAACTAATTGCTATGTAGCTATGTAGCCTGAAATGTAATCAAAATCATATGTGCATAAACCAGAGAGTTGCATATTTAAAAACATTTTCTGGATGTGAATAAAAAGAATTGTTCAAGTGTGAGCTGGCACCAGACCAGCTTTGCAGTAAATCCCAAAATTCTGTTGCCATTTTCTTCCTTTCTCTGACTTTACTAAGAAAGGGTACAGTTTTCCCTATATCTTGATTCATGTTTTATATTTTCCAATTGTTATTTATAAGTGATACTTCTTACCTAATATAAAAGAAACACATTTTAGAATCTCAGGAGAAATAAGGGCAATTTTGTGCTGTGATGATGGGTCAAATAAAGTTGTAGTACCAGTACTACAGTAGATAATTTTCAATCTTCAGTGTACATTTGAATTACTTAAAGAAGTTGTTAAATGCAGTTTCTCCATCTCTGTCTCAAGAGATTCTGATTCAGTAGGTCTGGGGTGAGGCCCAAGAACTTGCATTTTTAACAAACCTTTCCAGTAATTCTGATGAAGATGGACTATAGAGCATTTTTAAACAATGACTGGAATAGCCATGAGTTTTCCAAATTCTCCTCCCTTCTCTGTATTAACCTTGTTTGAAATTTAAATGTTTTCTTTTGTTAAAAACATGCTAGTACTAAATTTTGATATTTTAATTAATGAAAAGGGTTCATTCTCTTTTCCCTCATATTACATGCTCTCTTCCCACTGGTTTATTGGATTTAAGTTTTCCAACCCTATGGTATTACACAGAATTAAAAAAAAAAAATAGGCCAGTGGATGCTCCAGTAAAAAATAAGAAAAGCTTTAATCTTAATGCTATAGCAAAATACATCCCCCTCCCTACCCTCTGGATTCCATACAGTGAGAGCCCCCTGGAGATACACTTCTGGTATCTTTCTCTATTCCTAAATCACTCCTCCCCGAGAAGGCAGAGTGAAGTATCAGGTCAATAATGGACATGGGGTTATGTTTCTCAGTTGGGGGAAGATAATATATTCAAACCTGTATGAAATGGTGTGTCAGTCTCCCTTCGTCTCCCATTCTCAGTGTAAAGCAGAAATTTGGGGTATGTGCAACTTGTCTACAGATTGACTTTTCCCTTGAGTGCTATGATTGGACTAGGAGTACAGGAAGAGAAAGTGCTTGCATGTCTAGTTGGTCTTCACACTAAGTCACATCCTCCCAATAACTTCATAAGCAATAAAGGTAATATTTTAGAAATCCATATACCTGACTCCTGTTCTATATCTCTCAATGTTTCTGGACTTGGGTGTGGAAAAGAGTGTTATTTATTGATCCCTACCCCTTAGACCCCAGTTCTTGGCAGATTGAAGCATAACAGCACATTTTCCGTATCTCTCTTTACATGGGTATTTCTATCAGTCTATTTTTACCTATTTACATGGCCTTTGTTTTTCATTTTCTTTTAATCTAATGCATTTTTTTCTAAAGTAAAAGACTCACAGAAATAAAGGAAAATAGGTTCCAAATCTGCTTCCAGCTCTACAGTTCCAGTTCTAAGCTTACCATCAAAATATGTAAATAGGACAAATCTGCATACCAGTTGGAGATAAAGAGTCAGTGTCTTTCCATGTTGAAAAACCAGAGGGACCCATGCAAGATTCAATCTTCAGGTCGTATCATGTATTAGTTTCCAAGGGCTGCCATAATAAAGGATCACAAACTGGGTGCCTTACAACACCAGAAATGTATTCCTTCACAGTCTGGAGGCTGTGAGGGAGAATTTGTTCTATGCTTCTCTCCTGGTTTCTGGTGGTTGTCGGCAATCCTTGATTTCCTTGGCTTGTAGATGCATCACTCTCTGCCTTAATGGAGGTGATGGTATTCTTTCTGTGTGTCTGTCTCCAAATTTTCCTCTTTTTATAAGACACCAGTAATTAGATTAGAGCCCCTTCTAATCAATTACAAACTCTCTTAATTTGATTATAACTACAAAGACCTTAAGATAAAGTCATATTCACAGATATATTCACAGATGTGATTTTTGATGGGGGACACCATACAATGTAGTACCCAGCACATTGAAGGAGGACTTGAGAGGTGATTATCATGGTTGTCTACCAAACATCCATCCTACCACTGTGGATTAGCCCTCTGGCTTGGGTGGTACCATTCTCAAACCCAGCTGGTTATTTGTTTTCATTATTTATCCATTTACATGGTTTTATAAACTTGTTTTTTCTACCAAATTTTCCACTAATAAAGAAAAACATAAACTATTTGAAGTCTGAATGAAAAAGAACATTTTGCCGTTTTAACACATACCAGAAAATGGCTCTAAACTATTTATTCGATATGCATGATTCTGCACACTGTACTTAGTACTTTCACTAAGCAATGGAAACAAAGGCATCAAACTTACCTTAACAAATTTTTGGTAATCTAAGAGAAAGAGAAACTTATATAGCATACTCTCATTTTTTTCTCTGTGTTACACTTATAAAGCCAAGTCCAACATGAACAGACAAGAGCTGTGTTGCTTTTGAAGATGCAGAGTAGTCCCCAAACGAATCTCAATCTTTACTCACATCTTTTGAAAACATTTAAAGGGGTGTCATATAGTTGATCTATAACAACTTGTCTTCTTAGCCTCTCTTGTGTCTAGCATTCCCACTTTGCAGAAACCTTCTTTTCTCGTAGCCTAGAACTTTCTCTTTGATAGCGTACCATCCCAGCCATCTTACCCAGTGAACTCTCTCTCATCACTGTATCCTTTCAGTCCGTTGGCACGTTATATCCCGTGGCAGTTGTATCCCCTGTTGCAGTGTCCCTCAGGGTGTGGTTCACCTTTTCTGGTGATTTGCTTATGGATTTTGTTCTTTTTCTACTTGGAGTTCAGGAAAGGGAGATAAAAGCTAAGTAGGGAATATCAAGTGGTTTTCTTGGAGCAGGTAGGGGAACTGGTAGGAATCAGGTGAAGGTAGCAAGGAGGTGGGGGGAATATTATGAGCTTCTGAATTTTAGGTTTTTTGTTTAGTTTTGTTTTATCACTTTTGTACCATGGAAAATCACCAGAAAACTTTCTACATGTACCATATTATCACAGCTCTCCCTCTTCACAGAAAAGCTTTTATGGGTTGGGTATTTTAATGTTTGTGTTCACTTTTATGAAGCATGCAATATTTTATGAGGCTCCTAAATGAATATCTGTTCCTATGGTTTCAGACATTGCAGAAGAGGGCCTGGGAAATGGGAGTTGTCCACTGAATCTGGTTGATACAGCTCTAATGCTGCTGTGACTTGGTGAACAAAATAGATTTGAATCAACACTTTTCAGATTGGCTAGAAATTCTTTTGCAGAATCTGGATCCTTCTTCCATAACACATATATACTCTGTAAATGGAATGTGCAGATCACGTTTTTCTATGTTTCCTTCCTTACATGTTCTGACTTGCCTGCACGTTGAAAAGAAAATCAAGAAAAATGTTTCTTTGAGAATTTCCCCTTCTGAATATTTCCCCCACCCCAATAGCATCTACAGTGCTAGAAAATGTTCTTCCAGGGTTTTAAGAACACCAATTAGTTTCACAGTTGGAGGCAAAACACTTCCCTTGGAGAGCATTTCTTAACATACAGCAGAATCCTTGGTTAGCCCCTGGCTGTGTTAAAAGGAGAGAGAAACAAAACTCACTTTTCTCCTCCTGTTCAGTCACATCTTTCTTCACCTCTTCTTTTCTAGCTATATATCTTCTTTTACTTTGGGCTGTTGAGCTGTGAAGCTCTATGCCTCTCATGATGGTAAGTTTTGTTCAAAGACCCTGGAGCTGCAATTAGGGCTTAAGCACTGGTTTCTTCTTCTCTAAGCCAAAATGTACCGAACCTCTTGTGAAACCCAAAAGGGGAAGTAGTGTTGTAAATATCTATGCTTATCTACTGACCTATCCAACTTTTCATATCAAGCACAAACCCATTTATGCAGCTACTCTCTTCAAATGCAGAGTTCCCTTGTTGTAAGCCAAAACTAGTAGCAGTTAAATCCAGCTTGTCACATAATCTCTTTTCCTAATTTTAAGGTGAAAGTATGGGAAATGGGAAAGCATGAACAAATATATGCAAGGAAGACAAGCTCTTATAATGTGAAGAACTGCTGGAATAATGATTTTTAAAATTTAGATGAGATTGTGATGATTACCATTGATTACCATGATATTTGTGCAAATTCTCATTTTGAAGCAGTTTGATAATGTAAACATTTTTATATCCTTAATATAACCCAGAGGGCAAAATGGAAGGTTATTCCTAGCTGAGGTTATTTTGTTTTAATAAATAAAAATAGAGCTTAATGACCCTTATCTGTATATGGTTTATAATATTAATATTTGTATACATAATTTGGAACATGAAGCTGTTCACACTCCCCAAGACTCTAAAAGAGGTCTGTCCCAGGTGCATTGGGAAGGTAGTGGCATGGAATGGCATTTCTGAGATGTTTCGTGCGCCAGCAGCAAAGGTTTCTATCTTAAATTGTGTCTGTTTAAAAATACCCTGCCTGGCCAGAAGAATTGCTATGGGGGTCACCTTACTTCCTCGTCCCTCCATATGAGTTTTACCTCCATTTAAACAAGAACTGTTATTTACAATACACCATGCCTTCTCTGGCAAATAGATTCCACCCAAGAATGCTGCTTTATTTTTCTAAACAAAGTAATGCATAAGAATGCAATTTGAAGAAACCTAAGAGTATGTATTTCTCAATGTGAGTGGAAATGCAGTGGTGGTGGTGGTACAGGTGGTGCAAGGAGGGCTCCAGGAGAGAAGCAAATTGGAGCAATGCAGGCTTGGCAATGCTGTGTAGAGGTGGAGAGGAAAGTTAAAAGAGACTGAGAAAGAGCCACCAGAGTGGGGAGAAAAAGAGAACTTAACTGGCCGAAAGAACTGGTGTAATATTTTAGGATGCAATGTGTGCAGTAATACTCTCCTCTACTTTTCTCAAAAGCTCTTGTAAAAATTTACATTTGGCTTTGAGTTCATAAAACTTCATTTGTAAGTGTTTTGGGGAAGGGACTTGGGAGTGAGTTGCAGCAAAGTGCTGAGAATAGCCTTGGAGTAGGAGCAGGGCTGAAGCATAAGCTGCCTTAGGGAACACAGATATAATCCTTGTACACTGACACCAAGATGTGTGTTTGTCCATTTAGCTACCTATTTATCTATTTAACATGAGTAAGAATGAATAAAAATATAAAAACTGAACTACAATAACATTTTTTGCTATTTACATACTATTTCAAAAGTAAGGATCTTAGAACAGTGAATATTAACCTATCAATCCATGATTTATTTGTAGTGAAAGAACCAGTTCAATTTCTTATTTGATTTATGGAATGGGTCTCTGGCATTAGGAGATCTATATCACTCACCCAGACAAATTTACTGCTTTTGTGAAGTTTTCCTTATTATTTGCTACATCCCTCCTGTTCATTAATAGACTCTGCAGCTTCCCTCTGCCTAAACATTTTACCTCTTTAATCAACAAAATATAGTCAAGAGTGTAGTTTTCTGGAGCAATGACATAGATTGAGATAGGGCTACAGACATTTCACAGGCTTCAATTTCAAAAGTTAGTATGTAAATCAGTTGTTTTGAACTGTGGTTGCATTTTTTCCATTGAAATTATATTATAAGTTGTATGGAAGACTTCATAAATCTTAGACCTGCAGACTCTCTAGAACATGTTCTATTTCTGTAGGGGAATGGGTTTTTTTTCTTCTAAACTTGGGATATCTTTAGCAAAGTTAGCTAAAATGGGTCTTTGGCAAGGTAACTCAAGCCCAGGACAGAGAGTCTATTTAATAAAAGGACTTGGGTTAGAAAAAAAAAAAGTACTTCTTGGTAGTGCGAAAAGTCTTGTCTTATATAGTCCACCCCAATGTGAAATTAGACCACAGTATGAATTCCCATCAGTTTCCACTGCCCCTCACTTACAACTTGATGCAGACTGAATGAGAGGACAAGCAAGATATTGAAGAATGACAAGAGAAGCAATGAGGTTAAACAAATAACAGGTCATGAAGTTGGAAAAGAAGATAAGATCAAAAACGAAGAGATTTCCATGGTAACTGGATATGGATGGTGATATGAGGTGTACCACTGGAGAGGTTTGCTCCTGAGCCCATCATCTCAGGGACAGACCCTGAGGGATGAACATAAAAGATAGAAAATCATGGACAATAGAGAATGGGAAGAACTTTTAGCAGTAGCTGGGATTAGGTAACTTATATAAAAATTAACTTCATGGAACATTTCTGTGTGTCACACTGTAAAACCCCTAAACTAAACTTTACAAGAAAATTTACAGAAATGACTTTCATTCATCTCAAATGTGTCCAAACTCAGCTTTGACTGTGAATTTATGTAGACATTTGCCAGGTGAAGGCCCAGCATTTATTAGGGTTACCAAGGCAGAAATAACCTATACCTGCCAGAAATTATTCTTTACCAGCTCTGGAGAAACAAAAATGAACAAATTTGATTATAAGTTAAATTTATAAATAGAGCTTGGAACTTGTCACCACAATTGTTCATTGAAATTCTTCATACTATTTTCCAATTTTTTAAATGCTCCAAGATATGAGTAATTGTAGACACAGTTTCAGTAAAAGCAATCTACAATTTCTATCAATAGACAAGCTGTTGAGAAAAATATTTAAGCCTGGGATTTCTCTGGAGCTGAGTTTTCAAACACCTCGAGTCTAGAAGCACCTGTTTTGGGGGTTGAAAGCAGAGACTGAGAGAGAGACTGAAAGGCTTTCCTGCAGTAAAGATCCATACATGTTAGGAAATTATTTTTTCAGTGGTTCAGAAGTAAGCAAAAGGGTATTTCTCAACTACGTTAGTGTTTTGTATTCACGGAACCCCAATTCTGAGTGTTATTACCATGGAAAATTCTCAGCAAGGCTTCCAGGTTGTTTCTTGAGCAAGGTAGAAATAACATACAATCTAATAAGAATGGCTGGGGCTGGGTGCAGTGGCTCACACCTGTAATCCCAGCACTTTGGGAGGCCGAGGCGGATAGATCACCTGAGGTCAGGAGTTTGAGACCAGCCTGGGCAACATGGTGAAACTCTGTCTCTAGTAAAAATACAAAAATTAGCTGGGCATGGTGGCAGACGCCTGTAATCCCAGCTACTTGGGAGGCTGAGGCAGGCGAAGCTTGAAGCCAGGAGGCGGAGGTTGTAGTGAGCTGAGATCATGCCATTGCACTCCAGCCTGGGCAACAGAGCAAGAATGGCTGGAAAATCAACTTGGTATAGACTTCCCTACAAGGATCATTATCACCTTCATTTACAAAGGATAACATTTCTATTCCCCTGAGACCACCAATTTCTTCAATATCTACATAGAGTACTTCAGTTTTCCACCACACTTAACGTTGGAAAGCCTAGTGATTTCTTCTAGACGGGCAATGTGAGATGTTGCTTATGTTCTATCAGTGGCTAACTTTCTGTCTTCCTTTTCTCTGAACTCTTCCTTCCTGTCCAACTCTCAGGCCACAACTGTGATATAAATGGTTATATCTTTTATGCCCAGGTAAGGAGAAACACTCCTGTTCTTTAGTTCCCAATGCTAGAGACTACCACAAAGCTCTTGTGATCATGATTTCACTGAAGAATTAGGAATAAAATTGAAATTACAGCTTCAAAAAGGAATTGTTTAAAATTAAATATCAGTATCTCTGTTCTTTAAATTATTCATCCAACCCCGCATCAAGAAGGTGTTGCAGATAAAACCCCAGGGAGAAGAATCTAAGGCAAAAATTAGCATGCCTGAGAGAAGTGCTCTTGGGATCAAAACCAAGGAAGAGAAAGCAATGAAGCAGGATTAGACAAAAGGAGAAGTTGAGCTACAATGCAGTCTCAACAAAGGCCTTAGATGACTCCATGGGTAGTTCTGAAATTGAAATGGCCCTTCATCTTACCTGATTGCAAACTATACTACAAGGCCATAGTCACCAAAACAGCATGGTACTGGTATAAAAACAGGCACATAAACCAATGGAAAAGAATAAAGAACCCAGAAATAAACCGAAATACTTACAGCCAACTGATCTTTGACAAAGCAAACAAAAACATAAAGTGGGGAAAGCACATCCTTTTCAACAAATGATGCTGGGATAATTGGCTAGCCACATGTAGGAGAATAAAACTGAATTATCATCTCTCACCTTATACAAAAATCAACTCAAGATCGATTAAGGACTTAAACCTAAAACCTAAAACTATAAAAATTCCAGAAGATAACATTGGAAAAAACCTTCTAGACATTGGCTTAGGCAAAGGATTTTGTGACCAAGAACCCAAAAGCAAATGCAATAAAAACAAAGATAAATAGCTGGGACCTAATTAAACTGAAGAGCTTTTGCACAGCAAAGGAAATTCAGCAGAGTAAACAGACAACCCACAGAGTGGGAGATAATCTTCACAGTCTATACATTGGACAAAGGACAAAGGACTGATATCCAGAATCTACAATGAACACAAAGAAATCAGTAAGAAAAAAAAAACAATCCCATCAAAAAGTGGGCTAAGGACATGAATAGAAAATGCTCAAAAGAAGATACACAAATGGCCAACAAATATATGAAAAAATGCTCAACATCACTAATGATAAGGGAAATGCAAATCAAAACCATAGTGTGATACCATCTTACTTCTGTAAGAATTGCCGTAATCAAAAAATCAAAAAACACTAGATGTTGGCATGGATGTGGTGATCAGGGAACACTTCTACACTGCTGGAGTGAATGTAAACTAGTACAGCCACTATAGTAAACAGTGTGGAGATTCCTTAAAGAACTAAAAGTAGAACTACCATTTAATCCAGCAATCCCACTACCAGGTATCTACCCAGAGGGAAATAAGTCATAAGAAAAAGATACTTGCATATGCACGCTCATAGCAGCACAGTTCTCAATTGCAAAATTGAGGAACCAACCCAAATGCCTATCAACCAATAAGTGGATAAAGAAGCTGGTGTGTATATTTATATAATATATATATATACACATGATATACATATATGTATATCATGTATATGTGATGGAATACTACTCAGCCATAAAAAGGAATGAATTAATGGCATTTGCAGTGACCTGGATGAGATTGGAGACTATTACTCTAAGTGAAGTAACTCAGGAATGGAAAACCAAATATTGTATGTTCTCACTGACATGTGGGAGGTAAGCCATGAATACACAAAGGCATAAGAATGATACAATGGATTTTGGGGACTTGGAGGGAAGAGTGGGAGAGGGGTGAGAGATAAAAGACTACAAATAGGGTGCAGTGTATACTGCTTGGGTGATGGGTGCACCAAAATCCCGCAAAGCACCACTAAAGAACTTACTCACATAACCAAATAACACCTGTATTCTAATAACCTATAGAAAAAATGAAAAAGAAGATAAAAGCAAAAAAAAACCTAAACAAAACAAAAACAAAAACAAAACCCATCCAAAGGAAAGCAACTTCAAAGATTGAAAGAACATCAGCCCACATTGATGAGTGAGAAAGAACCAGTGCATGAACTCTAGCAACTCAAAAAGCCAGAGTGTTTTCTGACCTCCAAAAGACTGCACTAGTTCCAAAGCAAGGGTTCTCAACCAGGATGAAATGACTGAAATGACAGATGTAGAATTCAGGGCATAGAGAGGAATGAAGATCATGAAAATTCAGGAGAAAGTTGAAACCCAATCCAAGGATTCTGAGGAATACAATAAAATGAAATAGGAGGTGAAAGATAAAGTACACATTGTAAGAATGAACCAAACTTATTTTAGAGAGCTGAAAAATCTCACTTTGAGAATTTCAGAATACAATCACAAGTATTAACTTCAGAATTCATCAAGCTAAGGAAAGTATCTCAGAGCTCAAAGACTGGCTCTCCCAAATAACTCAATCAGAAAAGAATTTAAAAATAAAGAAAGAAAAATGAGCAAAACCTCAAAGAAATGTGAGATTATATAAAGAGAGCAAATCTATGATGCATTGTCATCTCTGAAAGAGTGAAAGAGAAAGGAAGCAACTTGGAAAATGTATTTCAGGATATGGTTCATGAAAATTTCCCCAGCCACAATAGTAGGGTTAACATTTAAATTCGGGAAATGCAGAGAACCCCTGAGAGGTACTACACAAGATGACTGTCTCCAAGACACATAGTCATCAGAGTCTCCAAGGTCGAAATGAAAGAAAAAATGCTAAAGGCAACTAGATAAAAGGGCCAGGTCACCTACAAAGGGAACTCCATTAGGCTAACAGTGGATCTTTCAGCAGAAACCCTATGAGCCAGAAAATATTGGGGTCATATATTCAGCATTCTTAAAGAAGAAAAATTTCAACCAAGAATTTCATATTCAGCCAAACTAAGCAAAGAATAAATTATATCCTTTTCAGAGAAGCAAACGCGAAGGGAATTCGTTACCACCAGACCTGCCTTGAAAGAGGTCCCAATGGAGTACTAAATATGGAGAGGAGTGAGCATTACTAGCCACTATAAAAACACACTTAATTACATAGACCACTGACACTATAAAGCAACCACAAAAACAGGTCTGCATAATAGCCAGCTAACAACATGATGACAGGATCAAATCTGTACACATCAATATTAACCTTGAATGTAAATGGCAAAATTAAAAGTCAGAGTGGCAAACCAGATAAAGAAGCAAGACCCAATGATATGTGGTCTTCACGAGACCCTCTTACCTGCAGTGATGTCCATAGGCTCAAAGTAAAGGGATGGAGAAAAATGTACCAAGCAGATAGAAAACAGAAAAAAAAAAAGCAGGGGTTGCAATCCTAATTTTAGACAAATCAGACTTTAAACCAGCAAAGATCAAAAAAAGACAGAGAAGACCATTTCATAAAGAAAAGGGGCTTGATTCAACAAGAAGACCTAACTCTTCTAAATATATATGCACATAATGCAGGAGCACCAAGATTCATGAAACAAGCTCTTAGAGACTTAGGAGGAGACTTAAACAACCACACAATAATTCTGGGAGACTTTAACACCTCACTGACAGTATTAGATCACTGAGGCAGGAAACTAAGAAAGATATACAGGACCTGAATTTGACACTTGACAAAATGGACCTAATAGACATCTGCACAACTCTCCACCCCAAAACAACAGAATATACATTCTTATCCCTGCTACATGGCACATATTCTGAAAACAACTGCACAATCAATTCTCAGCAAAAAAAAAAAAAAAAAAAAAAAAAAAAGTCATAGTAACCACACTCTCAGACCACAGCAAAATAAATAAAAGTAAAAATAAATAATAAGAAAATTGCTCAAAATCATACAATGACATGGAAATTAAACAAGCTACTCTTGTATGACTTTAGAGCAAACAATTAAATTAAGACAGAAATCCAGAAATTATTTGAAAGTACAGAAATACAAAAACTCTCAGAGATTATTACAAACATTTCTATGCACACAAGCTAGAAAATCTGGAACAATGGATAAATACCTAGAAACATACAAATTTCCAAGACTGAACCAGGAAGAATTGATTCCTGAACAGAGTGATAATGAGTTCTGAAACTGAATCAGTAATAAAAAGCCTACCAACTAGAAAAAGCCCAGGACTGGATAGGTTTAAAGCCAAATTTTACCGGATATATAAAAAGGAGCTGGTACTATGCCTAATTAAACTATTCCAAAAATTTGAGAAGGGACTTTTCCCTAACTCATTCTATAAGGCCGGCATCATTCTGATACCAAAACGTGGCAAAGACACAACAAAAAAAACCTCAAGCCAACATCCTTGATGAACATCAATGCCAAAATCCCCAAGAAAATACTAGAAAACTGAATCTAGCAGTACATCAGAAAGCTAATCCACCACAATCAGGTAAGCTTTATCCCTGGATAAAATAGTTATAGGTATATAAACTATAGTATAATTTAGAATAGTGACGTTGGTTGAACATATGTACATCAACAGAATTAAAACAGAATTAAAAACAAAAAACACATAATTATCTCAATAAATGCACAAAAGATATTTGATAAAATTCAACATTGCTTCATGTTAAAAAAAAAAAACCCTTCAACAAACCAGGCTTTGAAGGAACATAGTTCAAAATAATAAGAGCCATCTATGACAAACCCATAGTCAACATCATACTGAATAGGCAAAAGTAGAAGTATCCCCTTTTAAAACCAGAACAAGACAAGGATGCCTGCTTTCACCACTACTATTCAACATAGTGCAGGAAGTCTTAGCCAGAGCAATCAGGCAAGAGGGAGAAATAAAAGGCATCTAAATAGGAGGAAAGAGAATCAAACTATTCCTGTTTGCAGATGATATGATTCTATACCTAGAAACCCCATAGTCTCTGTTCGAAAGCTCTTTGATCTGATAAACGACTTCAGCAAAGTTTCAGGTTACAAAATCCATGTATAAAAATCAGTAGCATTCTCACACACCAACTTCCAAGATGAGAGCCAAATCAATAATTCAATCTCATTCATAATAGCCACAAGAAGAATAAAATGACTGGGAATACAGCTATCCAGAGAGGTAAAATATCTCTGCAATGAGAATTACAAAATACTGTTTATCATGAATAGGAAGAATCAATATTGTTAAAATGGTGATACTGACTAAAATAATTTACAGATTCAATGCTATTTCTATAAATCTACCAATAACATTCTTCATATTATTAGAATAAACTACTTTAAAATGCATGCAGAACCAAAAAATTAGCCTGAAAAGCCAAGGAAATCCTAAGCAAGAAAAACAAAGCTAGAGGTCTAAAATCATCCAACTTCAAATTATATTGCAAGGCTGCAGTAACCAAAACAGCATGGTACTGGTACAAAAACAGACACATAGACCAATGGAACATAATAGAGAGCCCCAACATAATGCCACAAACTTACAACCATCTGATCTTCAACAAAGTTGACAAAAGTAAGTAATGATGAAAGGATTCCTTTCACAATAAATAGTGCTAGGATCACTGGCTAGCAATATGCAGAATACTTACATTGGACCCCTTCCTTACACCATCTACAAAACTCAGCTCAAGATGGATTAAGGACTTAAATGTGAAACCAAAAATCTGTGAAAACCCTGGAAGATAATTGACATAGTTGATATTTGTCCCTGCCTAAATCTCATGATGTTGATATGTAATCCCCAGGGTAGGAGCCTGGTGGGAGGTGTTTGGATTATGGATAGGGTCCCTCATGAATGGCTTGGCCCAGCCCATTGGTGATAAGTGAGCTCTCACTCTGAGTTCACATGAGATCTGCTCATTTGGAAGTGTGTGGCTCTCACCTCCCTACTCTTTCTCTCTCTCTCTGGCTCCTACTGCAGCATGTGATTTCCTTGGTCCCACTTTGCCTTCTGCCATGAGTAACAGCTTCCTGAGGGCTTCCCAGAGACTGATGCTGGTGCCATGCTTCCTAGACAGCATATAGAGCTGTGAACAAATTAACCCTATTTTCTTTATAAATTTCTCAGTTTCAGATATTGCTTTAAAGCACCACAAGAATGACCTAATAATAGAAAATTTGTACCAAGGAATTGGCATTGCTATAATGATACCTAAAAATGTGAAAGCAGTTTTAAAACTGGGTAATGGGCAGAGGTTGGAAGAGTTTGGAGGGCTCAGTAGAAGATAGGAAGATAAAGGACAGTTTGTAACTTCCTGGACACTAGTTAAATATTTGTGACAAAATGCTGACAGTGATATTGCTGTTGACATACAGGTTGTCAAGGTCTCAAATGAAAATCATGAACTTTTTGAGAACTGGAGCAAAAGTCACTGTGTTCTGCCTTAGCAAAGAACTTGACTACATTGTGCTCCTGCCTTAGGGATCTGTGGAAGTTTCAACTTCAGAGTAGTGATTTAGGTTATCTGGCAGAAGAAACTTCTAAGCAGTAAAGCATTCAAGATATGGCCTGGCTGCTTCTAACATCATATGCTCAGATGCAGAAGCAAAGAAATTACTTAAATTTGGAATTTATATCTAAACAGGAAGCAGAACACAAAAGTTTGGAAAATTTGCAGCCTGGCCATGTGGCTAAGAAAAAAAAATGCTTTTTCAGAAGAGGAATTCAAGCAGCCTGTGGAGCAACTGCTTTCTAGAGAAATTTGCATAGCTAAAAAGAAGGTAGGTACTGAGAGCCAAGACAATGGGAAAAAGTCCTTGAAGGCATTTCAGAGTTTTTTGAGGCAGCCTCTCCTATCACAGGCTCTGAGCCCTAGAATGACTAAATGGTTTCAGAGGTGAAGCTAAGGGTTCTGCTGCCTTGTGTAGCTTCCAGACACTGGTCCTCATATCACAGCTTCTCTGGCTCCAGCTTTGGCTACAGAGGGTGCAAGCCAAAAGCCTTGGTGGCTTCTACATGTTTTTAAGTCTGAGGGTGCAAAGAATGCAAGAGTTGAAGGTTGGCACCCTCTGCTTAGATTTTAAAGGGTGTGTGGAAAAGCCTAGATGTCCAGGCAGACGCCTGCTGCAAGAGTGGATCCCTCAGAAAGAATTTCTACTAGGGCTAGGCAGAGGGGAAATGTGGGGATGGAGGCCCTACAGAGTCCCCACTGGGGTGCTGTCTAGTGGAGCTATGAGAAAGGAGCCACTGTCCTCCAGATTTGAGAAGGTAGATCCACCAGCAGCTTAAACACTGTGCCTGGAAAAGCTGGAGACATTAAACTCCAGCCCAAAAAAGCAGCCATGGGGGATAAACCATGCAAAGCCACAGAGTTAGAGTTGCCAACAGCCTAGGGAACCAACTTCTTTCTCCAGTGTACCTTGGATGTGGGCCATGGAGTCAAAAGAGATTATTTCAGAGGTATAAGATGTAATGGCTGCCCTGCTGGGTTTTAACCTGCATGGGGCCTGTAGCCCCTTTCTTTTAGCTGATTTCTTCCTTTTGAAACATGAATGTTTATCCAATGCCTGTACCCTCATTGAGGCCTTCCCAGAAGCCAAGCAGATGGCCAGCATCATGCTTACTGTACAGCCTGCAGAACCATAAGCCAGTTAAAACCTATTTTCTTTATAAATTACCCAGTGTATTAGTCTGTTTTCACACTGCTAATAAAGACATACCCAAGACCTTGTATAAAAGAGAGAGGTTTAATTGACTCACAGTTAAGTATGGCTGGGAAGACCTCAAGAAACTTACAATCATGGCAGAAGGGGAAGCAAATCATGATGGCAGGAAGGAGATGTGCAGAGTAAAGGTGGGGAAAAGCACCTTATAAAACCATCAGATCTTATGAGAACTCATTCACTATTACCAAAACTGCATGGAGGTAACCTCCCCCATGATTCAATTACCTCCCACCACATCCCTCCCATGACATGTGGGAGTTATGGGAACTATAATTCAAGGTGAGATTTGTTTGGGAACATAGCCAAACCATGTCATTCTATCTCAACCCCTCCCAAATGTCACGTCCTCACACTTTAAAACACAATCATGCCTTCCCAACAGTCCCCAAAAGTCTTAACTTATTCCAGAATTAACTCAAAAGTCCAAGTCCAAAGTCTCATCTGAGACAAAGCAAGTCCCTTCCACCTATGACCCTGTAAAATCAAAAGCAAGTTAATTACTTTCTAGATACAATGGGGGTACAGGCATTGGGCAAATACACCTGTTCCAAACGGGAGAAGTTGGCTAAAACAAAGAGGTTACAGGCCCTGTGCAAGAATGTTGAATATTGGCACCTAATCTCTTCTAGTTTGCAGGGTTTCTGCTGAGAGGTCTGCTATTAGTGTGAAGTACTTCTCTTTGTAGGTGACCTGACCTTTCTCTCTTGCTATCTTTAGCATTTTTTTTTTCATTTCAACTTTGGAGAGTCTGATGACTATGTGTCTTGAGGATGATTTTCTTGCAAAGTAGCAATACAGTAATATTACAGAATTTCAATACCCAAGTTTCAACAATGGCCAGATCATCTGGTCAGAAAATCAATAAACAAAGATTGGAATTAAATTACACTTCAAAGTAAACCTAATAGATATTTACAGAACCTTTCATTCAACACTAAAATAAACATTCTTATCAAGTGCACACAAAACATTCTCCAGAATAGATAATATATTGGGGCACATAAAAAGTCTTAACAAACTTAGGAATATTTATATCATTTGATGTATAATTTTTAGCCACAATGGTATGAAATCAGAAATCAATAACAGGAGGAAAATTGAAAAATACACAAATATGTGGAAATTAAACAACACACACCTGCATAATCCATGGGCCAAAGAATAAATAAAAGGGAAAGCAAAAATGTCTTACAACAAATGAAAATGGAAACATAACATACCAAAACTTACGGGACGCAGCAAAAGCAGTTCTGAGAAGTTTGTAGTCATAAATCCCTACATTAAGAAAATAAAAAGATCTCAAATAAACAACTTAACTTTGCATCTCAATGAACTGGAAAAAGAACAATCTAAGCTCAAAGTTAGAACAAGGAAAGGAAATAATAAAGATCAAAGCAGAAATAAATAAAATAGAGACTAGAAAAAATCAAGGAATCTAAGTTGGTTTTTTTGAAAATATAAACAAATTTAACAAACTCTTATCTAAACTAAGAAAAAAATAAAGAAGATACATCTAAAATCAGAAATGTAAGAGGAGACATAACAAATTATACCACAGAAATAAAAAGGAACATAAGAGACTACTATGAACAATTCCATGCCAACAAATTGGTTAACCTCAAAGAAATGGACAAATTCCTAGAAATATACAATCTTCTAAGACTGAATCATGAAGAAACAGAAAATCTACAAGGACAAATAACATTAAGGAGATTGACTCAGTAATCAAAACTTCCCAACAAAGTAAAGCCCATGATTAGATGGTTTCAATGGTGAATTTTATCAAACTTTTAAGGAAGAATTAATGTCAATCCTTCTTAAACTATTCTAAAATTTTGAAGAGGACGGGACATTTACACACTCATTTTAAGGCCAGAGTTCCCTGATACCAAATTCAGACAAGGATACTACGTAAAAATAAAACTATAGGCCAATATCCCTGATAAGTATAGAAGCAAAAATCTTCAACAAATTACTAGCAAACTGAATTTAAGAGCACATTAGAAGGATCATATACCATGACAAAGTAGGATTTATACTTGAGATGAAAGGATGGTTCAAAATATGCAAATCAATAAATACAATATACCATATAAACAGAATAAAAATTTAAAATCATATGATTATCTCAATAGGTGCAGACAAAAACATTTGATAAAACTCAACATCCTTTCATGTGATAACTCTCAACAAATTAGTTATAGTAGGAATGTACTTCAACATAATAAAGGTTATATATGACAAGTTTACAGCAAACATCGTACTCAATGTCAAAAAGCTAAAAGCTTTTTCTCTAAGCACAGGAATAAGACCAAGATGCCCACACTCCTGACTTCTATTCAACATAGTACTAGAAGTCCTAGCCAGGGCAATTAGAGAGGAAAATCAAATAAAAAGGCATCCAAATTGAAAACAAAGAAGTAAAATTGTCTCTGTTAAGAGATGTCATAATTTTTATATAGAAACCATAAAGATTCCACCAAAAATTTGTCAGAACAAATAAATATAATAAAGTTGCAGGATACAAAGTCAATAACAAAATCAGCAGTGTTTCTATATACTAACAGTAAACTATTGAAAAAAGTAAACAATCTCATTTACAATAGCCACACAAAAATAGAATACTTGATGACTATGCAGTAACAAATTTTCTCATGTATTCCATAAATATGAACAAGTAAAATAAATAAATATTAAATAAAATATGAATAAACTTTACCAAGGAAGTGATGGGTCTTTTTTTTTTTTTTTTTTTGAGATGGAGTCTTGCTCTGTTGCCCAGGCTGGAGTGCAGTGGTGTGATGTCAGCTCACTGCAAGCTCCACCTCCTGGGTTCACGCCATTCTCCTGCCTCAGCCTCCCGAGTAGCTGGGACTACAGGTGCCCGCCACCATGCCCAGATAATTTTTTGTATTTTTAGTAGAGACAGGGTTTCACTGTGTTAGCCAGGATGGTCTTGATCTCCTGACCTCGTGATCTGCCCGCCTTGGCCTCCCAAAGTGCTGGGATTACAGGTGTGAGCCACAGCACCCTGCCATGATGGGTCTTTACACTTAAATCTCTGAAACATTAATAAACTAAATTGGAGAAGACACAAATAAATGGAAATGTATTCCATATCCATAGACTAGAAGATAATATTTCAAAAATATACCTATCACTCATAGCAATCTATATATTCTATGCAATCCCTCTCAAAATTTCAATGGAACTTTTCACTGAAACAGAAAAAACAATTAAAAATCGAGATAAAACCACGAAAGACCCTAAATGCTAAAGCAATCTTGACTGAGAAAAACAAAGGTGAGAGCAACAAACTTCCTGATTTCATATTATATTACAAAACTATAATAATCAAAACAGTGTGGTACTGGCATAAAAATATACACATAGACTAATGGAACAGATAGGGAGCCAAGAAATAAACACACACATAAAGTCAATTAATCTTTGACAAAGGCACCGAGGATACATGATTCGGAAAGGATAGTCTCTTCAATAAATGGAAATTGGATATCCACATGGAAAAACTGAAATTGGATTTTTATCTTACTCCATAGTAAAAAAAAAAAATTTAACCCAAAATATATTAAGGACTTAAATGCAAGACCTGAACCTATAAAACCCCTAGTAGAAAACATAAGGGAAAACCTCCATGACCTTAGTCTTAGCAATGATTTTAGGATTTGACATCAAAAGCCAGGCAACAAAAGCAAAAATAAACAAGTGAGACTACATCAAAGTAAAAAGTTGCTGCACAGCAAGGAAGGAAACAATGAAATGAAAAGACAACCCATATAATAGTAGGAAATATTTGTAAACCATATATACAACAAGGGTTTTATATCCAAATATATAAGAAACTGATACAACTCAATAACAAGAAACCAAATAACACAATTTAAAAATGGGTAAAAGGTCTATATAGGCATTTCTTAAAAGAAAACATACAAATGGCCAACAGCTATATGAAAAAATACTCAATGTCACTAACCATTGGGGAAATGCAAATCAGAACCACAGTGAGATATCACCTCATACCTGTTAGGGATGGCTACTATCAAAATGTCAAAATATAAGAAATGTTGGCTAGGATGTGGAGAAATGGGAACCCTCATACATTGCTAGTGAGAAGGCAAATTAGTACAGTCATTATAGAAAACAGTACGGAAGTACCCTAAAAAATTAAAAATACAACTACCATATAATCCAGCAATTTGACTTCTGAGTATATATCCAAAGGAAATAAAATCACTATCTCAAAAACATATTTGCACTTACATGTTCATTGCAGCATTACTCACAATAACCAAGAGATAGTAACAACCTAAGTGTCCACTGATAGATGAATGGATAAAGAAAATGTGATTATATATGTGTGTAATATATATATATATATATATGTCTGTGTGTGTACACATATATGTATACACGTTTGTTTGTTATATATGTATATACACATGTTTGTTTGTGTGTGCATGTGTGTGTATGAAATTCAACCCTAAAAGAGAAAGAAAATAAATAAAAGAAGTCCTGCATTTGCAACATATATGAATCTACAGGATATTATGTTAATTGAAATAAACCAGACACAGAACAACAAATATGGCATGATCTCACTTATATGTGGACTCTTAAAAAGTTGAACTCATAGCAACAGAGGATATAACAGTAGTTGTCAGGGGTTTGGGGGTAGATTGGAGAAAATGAGGGTATGTTGGTCAAAGGATACAAACTTAAACTTACTGTTAGAAGATAAGTTCTCGAGATAAAAGGTAGCATGGTGACTATAGTTGATAATGCTAATGTACAGTCATGCACTGCATAACATTTCAGTCCATGACAGATATAACAGTGGTCCTGTAAGATTATAATGGAGCCAAAAAATTCTTATTGCCTAGTGCCATCACAGTCATTGTAACATTGAGAGCAACAAATTACTCATGTGTTGATATGATCCTGGTGCGAAGACACTTACTGCGTTGCCAGTCACTTAAAAAGCAAAATTAAAAATCAGAAAACCTTAGCAATAGAGAAAAGCTTACAGATAAGAATATAAAGAAAAATAACTTTGTACAAATATGCAATGTTTGTGTTTTAAGCTAAGTTTTATTATAAAAGAGTCGGAAGTTTTAAAATATTGAAAATTTATAAAATGGTTACAGTAAACTAAGGTTAATTTATTATTGAAGAAAGAATTTTTTAAAATAAATTTAGTGTAGCTTAAGTGGACAGTGTTTATAGAGTCATAGTAGTGTACAGTAATGACCTAGGTTTTTATATTCACCTGCTGACTCACCCAGAGCAACTTTCAGTCCTACAAGCTCCATTTATAGTAAGTGCCCTGTCTAGAAAGGTACACCCTTTTTATCTTGTATACTATATTTTTACTGTACCTTTCCTATGGTCAGATTTACTTAATTATGCAAATGTTTACCATTGTGTTACAATCGAGTATAGCAGTCAATACAGTAACATGTTGCACAGGTTTATATCCTAGGAACAATAGGCTATACATATGTCCTAGGTGTATAGTAGCTATACCATATAGGTTTGCGTAAATATTCTCTATGATTTTCACACAATGATGCAATCACCTAACAATGCATTTCTCAGAACATAAACCCATTGTTAAGCAATGCATGACTGTATTATACACTTGAAATTTGCTAAGAGAGTAGCTCTTAAGTTTTCTCACCAAAAAAAGGTAAATATATGAGGCAATGGATAGGTTAATTAGTTTGATTTATTTGTCAATAATACCTCAATGAAAAAAATAATGTGTACTTTCTTCACTTACTTACACTGAATTTTAATAAAAAATAATGGATTGGGGCTAATGAAGAGTTGATCTCCCCCTTTCCAGAGCAAATGTAAGTAATTTTTTCATGTATTGTATTTGTTTTTCTTTTGTATTACAAAATAAATTTGTTTAAAATACATTTGCATTCAATACTACTAATGTGATATGAGGACTTCATATTCATACATAAGTTTGAATGTGTTGTGCATGTATATATAATCATCCCTTGGTTTCCAATGTGTGCAGGTTTCAGAACCTCCCACGAGTACCAAACTCTGAGGATGTTCATGTACCTGATAAAGATTGGTGTAGTATTTGCATAGAACCTATGTGCATACTCCTGTGCACTTCGACTCTTCCCTAGATTACTTATAATACCTAACACAAGGTAAATGCTATGTAAATAGTTGTTATGCCATATTGTTTAGGGAATAATGATAAGAGAAAAAGTCTGTACATATTCAGTACAGATGAAATTTTTATTAACATATTTTTTATCTGCAATTAGTTGGATCCACAGATGTGGAACCCATGGATATGGAGGACTGACTGTATATACATATGTAATGTATTCTTTTAAAAAATGGTTAGACGTCATCAATAGCTGACCTAATTCTACTTGACAATTAAAACTTTCTTTTAGTCAAGTCTCTTTTTTCTACAGACAGAGAAATACTTAAAACATCTTTGAACTAGTGTATTAGATATATAATATCTGGATTCATGAGTAATTTTGGTGACATTAAAAATGCTTATCAATATCAAACTTTATGAAGAGTTGAAGAATATAAATTATGGCAACCAGTTTTTAAGCTGTACTCTGTTTAACCACTTTGTATATAGTAGATGATCAGATCCTCATATTAACCCCTCAGGGTAGTTATTATTTCTATTTTACTCATGAGGGATTTGAAGTTCAGAAGGGTTAACTGATTTGTTCAAAGTAATAGCAAGGGTGATATTCTAATCCCAAACTCATTGGCCTCAATGACACTATCCTTTTTATTCTTTTACTACGATACATTTCAGGAGTCCATCTTGAAATGACTGAATAATCCTGAGTCTTGGAACGGCCAGTTTGGCCTTTTCAGCCATTATTGTCTCATGTCTTAATTCAGTATTGTCTCATCTCTTAATTCCTATAAATATTAGGAAATATGATAAAACCCAGTGTGATTGGGCCAGGTGATTTTGTATATGTGCTTAGGTTAGTTAATTTGGGGAGGAGAAAACATGACTGGGTAATTGGTTTACATCATCCAGTTCTGATTATAAGCATGTTTCTGGGACGATTTTAGATATGAGCCTACTTAGACCCATGAGGTAAAGATCTGGTAAAATTTTAGTGTCTGTATTCCTTTTATTTCTATGAAAACAAAATTAAATTATTCAAAGCCTGGGAGAAATTTTATGTAGACACAGTAAATCGAGGGAAAAATGTGAATTCATTAATTTCCTACTCTAATTGAAAGGACACCTGCAGGCTTTATTGATTAGGCATCTTAGCAATAACTCTGCTGCCTTAATCAGTTCTCCTACAATTATATGAAGATTAATTTTCACTCTGGGTATTAAATCACCAGAATCAAATAAAAATATTTATTGAGTGTTTACTGAGCGCGAGTCATTGTAAAATGAGAATTGAGAACACCTAATGATGTGATCACATTTGACTCCCATTTAAGAATAATGTTATTTGTCTTTCTATTATTTCTTCCAGGATCTTGCATGATATAATTTGGACTATCGTCCTAAATCACAAATTTTGCCAGAGAACTTTATCTGTTTCTCAAATAAGTAGCCTGATTTTTTTTCACCCATCTGGAAAGCTCTCCTGATCATACTGAAAAACACCCATTCTATTGCTAAATCCTAACATTAGCACATAGTGAAGAGCATATAGTGTTTTTGCTTATCTAGCCCTATTCCCTATTCTGTTAATAGCTCCCTGGATTTTGCTTTGAGAATCTCTCTACATCACTCTTAGTCATAAAGTATAGAGGGTCTAGCATCAATTCCAGGTTTCAGCAGAAACCACAGAACCAAATAAAACTTTGTTCATTATGACTGGTTCAGGGATGAATATGTGAACAACTGAGCCAATGAGAACCTTCCATAAGATTTCTCTGGAATTACTGAAGAGACAAATTCTCTTTACCCCTAGAAGATCTAAGTCTGGAACTTCTGGAGAGCATGATGTGGATAAAATCTATTTTTGAGCAAAGGCAATACAAACAACAAAGTAGAGATGAAGAAGTAGAGAAGAAAATGAGAGCTCAGATACAGCTTGCATCATTTCAGCCTCTGACTGGAACAAGACCCACTCCTGGACATTTCCAACATGTGAACAAATAAATCACTAGTTTGAAATAGTAAACTTGAGTTGGGCTTTAGTAGTTACATCTGAAACATGCATGATGAGTACACCTATCTATCTGGCCAAAGGTAACAATGGGAAGGAGGAGGCAGCAGTTGGCTCTTGTTGTCCAGTTCTTGCCCCTTGTGATCTAGTTTTGGGCCTTGTCATTTATAATATTGATATCAAACTCTAACAACTTTTCTTGCCTTTAGCATTATTACTAAAAGACTAAAAGGGAACTTAATTTGGAAAATCCTTTTTTATAATCTGCTCTAAACCTAAGCAATTTAATACAATTGATTGAATATGAGTTCAAGGCCTGTCCAGGCCACCTGAAATGAAGAGAGGTGTAGAAATTGTGTTCGTATGAGATCAGTCTATCTTGGGACTTCTTCCTTAGTGCTTCTAAGCTGTCATGTTACTTTGTTCCTATAGTTCACCGAGTCTTGGCAGCTGTCAAGCAAGACTTGATATAGTGACAATACAATTAATTAATAGGCTTGCACAGAGGCTGGGAGGATGTTGGCTGCTTCCTAGCACATAAGTTCACCTGTCTTCACGAAGCACTAATTAACTATTCTGTTTGGAGAGTGCTCCATGATGTGACAGAATACAAGGGCCTTCAGACAAGATTTTGATGGAGAGTTTTGTCTGGCTTGTCCAATTGTGCCTATAAATCTCTTAGGGCTCTAACTTCCTTATGAAGCTTGACATCACATAGACTGGCACAGGCAGATTCAATGTAACAGGCTCTCCTGGAAGAGTGTATCTTTCCTTTGGGATCCTTATTCCTTTCTGTGATTATGCATTCTGTGTTTTGGTGAATACTTACATACCTCTCTACATTATTAGCTCCATGAGACTAGCTCACCTTTGAATCTGTGGTACCTAGCATAGTGGCTGACATATGAAGGCATTTGGTGAACATTAGTTGAAAAAAAATTAATAAATAAATAAAAGAACAAAAAGGGAATAAGGTCCAGCTTTAGGAGATGAATTTAGAAGAGCCAGGTTGTAAAAACCCGGGAGGACAGGAAGCAGAATATAAATGCAGTGAGAAACAGCAGTCTCCTTTCCTTGAGAGAGTAACGACAGCCCATCCATGGGACCCCATGGATGTAGTCTTCTAAACCAAGTGAAAGCTACCTCATAGTAAAACTGCAGTAGAGGTTACAAGCCCTTACTTTTCTGAGAATAAGGAAGACTTTGTGGAAAAGGGGGTGAGATTAGGCAGAAGGAGAGAAGTTTACAGATTCCTAGGCATTGGTGCTAAAAAGGACCTTAGAAGGTCAACTTGTACAGCCTCCAGCCTTCAGACAGGAATATTTGCATTTACAGATGTGGCATCCCTAGTAGTTTAGTGACTTTTATGAAGCTCAAAGTTATAATTATCTATAGAAAATGGTTTTTGAGTTTATTTCAAAAACGAGTGAGCTTAGATTCCTCCCAGAGTACTCGGCAGGCAGTTCCCTATTAGCCTAGAGACAGATCATCCAAAGTTTTGGAACTCTGCTCTTTGGAAAATAAATGAGAAAAAAGAGTGAAGCAAATCAGCATGTCTATCCCATTGGGGGCCTATTCCATGGGCTGTGCTATGGCACTAATAGGAGGTGTGGAGTAAGTGGGAAAAGGTGCGAGGGTGCAATAGTTACATGGTGTGCTCCAAAATCAATCTTGAATCAGTAACAACAGCGACATCTGAAAACACAGAAACCCTAGCTTTCATTATCTCAGCGAAAGGAGATAAATTCACATGTAAAGCAGACTTGACTTGGTTTCAATGTTGTTGTGATGGAAAGCTCTCCAGAGGAGCTTCTGCAGCAATGCTGTGGTTCCACAGGATGACTGTGAAAATAAGCTCAGGGTTACACAGACACCTTCACCTCCATCCTTTGTGAAGGGACACATATAGTGGAAAAGGGACAGATGCTTTTCCACCTGACTGAACACTAAATAGAATGAACACATTTGAAGGGAGCAGAGCAGTGTGAAGACTGCCTGACAGCAACATGGCATCGCAAATATGGTGAGGGACTGAAATCCCTTCTGGTCAGGAGAATCAAAATTCCATGGATGGGAATTTACCTTTCCTTTTAACCCTCAGGCAGTGTGGCTGCAGGAAACTGTCTTCTGAAGGGACACAAGGATCAGAGAGTCAATCAGAGGGTCTGTCTTCTGATTATGGGTCTGAGCAGTCAAGGGCAACCCCACTATGGGGTTGCCCAGCTCCTTCACCTGAGTAGGGGCTGCAAGTCATAGCCAGGGAGTGGTTGCTGAGCAAATTCCAATGTGAGGTGAAAGTAAATGCTATTGTTGTACATCAGCTAGCAGCTATCCTTGAGGGCATTGTGAAATGTGGCCCAGCTAAGCTCCAGCAAATTAGAGAAGGCCTCACCTAAGTGGCACATTAGGCTCATTATTTAGATTCAAAATGGGCTCTAGGGGTAGGAGGTACAGGCAGAGAGGACTGAGAAGTATGAGCCAGCTCTATTGATGTGGGAATGAGTGAGGCCTGGAGGGGTGGGACAATGTCTTCTTTCACTGCCTGGAATGCACAGGCAATGAAGAAATGGTTTTTAATTAATAGCGAATGTTAACATTCCTACTCAAACATCAAGGGGAATAATTGTTCTGCACCCATCTCCTTACCAGGCCATGATGAGATAAAAGATCAACTAAGGAACAAGCGTGAAAGGCAGCTTTCACTGAAGTCCTGAACCTATGACTGATCTTACCAGGCATGCCAGGAGAATACGCTGCCAGGTTCCCTCACCTCTACCTTCCAACTACAGATTGAAAAGTCTGCTTTGCCTCTTCTAAACCATTGCGTCTTGAACTTAAATGTGCTGATAAACTACCAGAGAATCTTGTTGAAATACAGATTCTAATTCAGCAGGTCTGGAATGTGATCTGAGATTCTGCATTTCCAACAAGCTTTTAGGGGATGACCATGTTACTGCTCTGCAGGTCACACTTTGAGAGAAAGGTTTTAGGCTGCTGTTTCTTAAGCTATTGTGTGCCTAAGAATCACCTGGAGAGCTAACAAAGATGCAGATCCCTGAATTCTATTAGTAAAAAGTCTAATAAACTGTTCCTATGAGAATCTGGAAGTGCAAAGCTTAATTTTATTATTATTATTATTAGTAGTAGTAGTAGTATACTTTAAATTCTGGGATACATGTGCAGAACATGCAGGGTTGTTACATAGGTACACACGTGCCATGGTGATTTGCCACACCCATCAATCTGTCATCTACATTAGTTATTTCTCCTACTGCTATCCCTCCCCTAGCCTCCCCCTGCAACAGGCACCAGTGTGTGATGTTCCCCTCCCTATGTCCATGTGTTCTCATTGTTCAACCCCCACTTATGAGTGAGAACATGTGGTGTTTAGTTTTCTGTTCCTGTGTTAGTTTGCTGAGGATAACGGTTTCTAGCTTCAACCATGTCCCTGCAAAGGAAAGGAACTCATCCCTTTTTATGGCTGCATAGTATTCCATGGTGTATAAGTGCCACATTTTCTTTATCCAGTTTATCATTTATGGGCATTTGGGTTGGTTCCAAGTCTTTGCTATTGTGAACAGTGCTACCATAGACGTATGTGTGCATGTGTCTTTATAGAAGAATGATTTATGATCCTTTGGGTACATACCCACTAATGAGATTGCTGGGTCAAAGGTATTTCTAGTTCTAGATGCTTAAGGAATCACCCACTGTCTTCCACAATGGTTGAACTAATTTACAATCCCACCAATAGTGTAAAAGCATTCCTATTTCTCCACATCCTCTCCAGCATCTGTTGTTTCCTGACTTTTTAATGATCACCATTCTAACTGGCATGAGACGGTTTCTCATTGTGGTTTTGATTTGTATTTCTCTAATGACCAGTGATGATGAGCTTTTTTTCATATGTTTGTTGGCCACATAAATGTCTTCTTTTGAGAAGTGTCTGTTCATATCCTTTGCCCACTTTTTGATGAAGTTGTTTGTTTTATTCTTGTAAATTTGTTTAAGTTCTTTGTAGAGTCTGGATATTAGCCCTTTGTCAGATGGATAGATTGAAAAAATTTTCTCCGATTCTATAGGTTGCCTGTTCACTCTGATGACCGTTTCTTTTGCTGTGCAGAAGCTCCTGAGTTTAATTAGGTCCCATTTATCAATTTTGGCTTTTGTTGCCACTGCTTTTGGTGCTTTAGTCATGGAAAACACCAAACACTTTGCCCATGCCTATATCCTGAATGGTATTTTCTAGTTTTTCTTCTAGGGTTTTCATGGTTTTTAGGTCTTACATTTAAGTCTTTAATTCATCTTGAGTTAATTTTTATGTAAGGTATAAAGGAAGGGGTCCAGTTTCAGTTTTCTGCATTTGGCTAGCCAGTTTTCCCAGCACCATTTATTAAATAGGGAATCCTTTCCCCATTGCTTTTGTCAGGTTTGTCAAAGATCAGATGGTTGTAGATGTGTGGTGCTATTACTGAGGCCTCTGTTCTGTTCCATTGGTCTATTTATCTGTCTTGGTACCAGTTCCATGCTGCTGTTTTGGTTACTGTAGCCTTGTAGTATAGTTTGAAGTCAGGTAGTGTAATGCTTCTAGCTTTGTTCTTTTTGCTCAGGATTGTCTATTTGGGCTCTTTTTTGGTTCCATATGAAATTTAAAGTAGTTTTTCAAATTCCATGAAGAAGGTCAATGGTATCTTGATGGGGATAGCATTGAATCTATAAATTACTCTGGGCAATATGGCCATTTTATTGATATTGATTCTTCCTATCCATGAGCATGGAATGTTTTTCCATTTGTTTGTGTCCTCTCTTATTTCCTTGAGCAGTGGTTTGTAGTTCCCCTTGAAGAGGTCCTTCACATGCCTTGTAAGTTTTATTCCCAGGTATTTTATTCTTTTTATAGTAATTGTGAATGGGAGTTCACTCATGATTTGGCTCTCTGTTTGTATATTATTGGTTTATAGGAATGCTTGTGATTTTTGCACATTGATTTTGAATCCTGTGACTTTGCTGAAGTGGCTTATCAGCTTAAGGAGATTTTGGGCTGAGACTATGGGGTTTTCTAAATATACAATCATGTCATCTGCAAACAGACAATTTGACTTCCTGTCTTCCTATTTCAGTACCCTTTATTTCTTTCTCTTGCCTGATTGCCATGGCCAGAACTTCCAATAATGTGTTGAATAGGAGTGGTGAGAGAGGACATCCTTGTCTTGTGCCGGTTTTCAAAGGGAACGCTTCCAGCTTTTGCCTATTCAGTATGATATTGGCTGTGGGTTTGTCATAAATATCTCTTATTATTTTGAAATACATTCCATCAATACCTAGTTTATCGAGAGTTTTGAGCATGAAAGGGTGTTGAATTTTATCAAAGGCCTTTTCTGCATCTATTGAGATAATCATGTGGTTTTTATTACTGGTTCTGCTTATGTGATGGATTACGTGTATTGATTTATGTATGTTGAACCAGCCTTTCATCCCAGGGATGAAGCAGACTTGATCGTGGTGGATAAGCTTTTTGATGTGCTACTGGATTTGGTTTGCCAGTATTTTATTGAGGATTTCACATCAACGTTCATCAGGGATATTGGCCTGAAATTTTCATTTTGTAGTGTCTCTGCCAGGCTTTGGTATCAGGATGATACTGGCCTCACAAAATGAGTTAGGGAGGAGTCCATCTTTTCTGTTGCTTGGAATAGTTTCAGAAGAAATGGTACCAGCTCCCCTTTGTACCTCTGGTAGAATTTGGCTGTCAATCCATCTGGTCCTCGACTGTTTTGGTTGGTAGGCTATTAATTACTGCCTCAATTTCCGAACTTGTTACTGGTCTATTCAGGGATTCAGCTTCTTCCTGGTTTAGTCTTGGGAGGGTGTATGTGTTCAGGAATGTATCGATTTCTTCTAGATTTTCTAGTTTATTTGCCTGGATGTGTTTATAGTATTCTCTGATGGTAGTTTGTATATCTGTGGGATCAGTGGTGATATCCACTTTATCAATTTTTATTGTGTCTATTGATTCTTCTCTCTTTTCTTCTTTATTAGTCTGGCTAGTGGTCTATCTATTTTGTTAATCTTTTCAAAAACCAGCTCCTGGATTCATTGATTTTTTAAAGGGTTTTTCATGTCTCTATCTCCTTCAGTTCTGCTCTGATCTTAGTTATTTCTCTCCTGCTAGCTTTTGAATTTGTTTGCTTTTGCTTCTCTGGTTCTTTGAATTGTGATGTTAGGGTGTTGATTTTAGATCTTTCCTGCTTTCTCTTGTGGGCATTTAGTGTGTCCCAGAGATTCTGGTACATTGTGTCTTTGTTCTCATTGGTTTCAGAGAACTTACTTATTTCTGTCTTAATTTCGTTATTTACCCAGTAGTCATTCAGGAGCAGGTTCTTCAGTTTCCATGTAATTGTGCAGTTTTAAATTAGTTTCTTAATCCTGAGTTCTAATTTGACTGCACTGTGGTCTGAGAGACTGTTTGTTATGATTTCCATTCTTTTGCATTTGCTGAGGAGTGTTTTACTTCCAATTATGTAGTCAATTTTAGAATAAGTGCTATGTGGTGCTGACAAAAATGTATATTCTGTTGATTTAGGGTGGATTGTTCCGTAGATGTCTGTTAAATCTGCTTGGTCCAGAGCTGAGTTCAAGCCCTGAATATCCTTGTTAATTTTCTCTCTTGTTGATATGTCTAATACTGACAGTGGGGTGTTAAAGTCTCCCACTATTATTGTGTGGGTATCTAAGTCTCTTTGTAGGTCTCTAAGAACTTGCTTTATAAATCTGGGAGCTCCTGTATTGGGTGCATATATATTTAGGATAGTTAGGTTTTTTTGTTTTATTGATCCCTTTACCATATGTAATGCCCTTCTTTGTCTTTTTTGATCTTTGTTGGTTTAAAGTCTGTTTTATCAGAGACTAGGATTGCAAGCCCTGCTTTTTTTTTCTTTTTGCTTTCCATTTGCTTAGTAAATATTCCTCCATTCCTTTGTTTTGAGCCTATGTGTGTCTTTCCATGTGAGATGGGTCTCCTTAATACAGCACACCGATGGGTCTTGACTCTATCCAATCTGCCAGTCTGTGTCTTTTAATTGGGGCATTTAGCCCATTTATATTTAAGGTTCATATTGTTATGTGTAAATTTGATCCTGTCATTAAGATGCTAGCTGGTTATTCTGCTGATTAGTTGATGCAGTTTCTTCGTAGTGTCAATGGTCTTTACAATTTGTTATGCTTTTGCAGTGGCTTGTAATGGTTTTTCCTTTCCATATTTAGTGTTTCTTTCACGCCCTCTTGTAAGGCAGGCCTAGTAGTGACAAAATCTCTCAGCATTTGCTTGTCTGTAAAGGATTTTATTTCTCCTTCAAGTATGCAGCTTTGTTTGGCTGGATATGAAACTCTGGTTTGAAAATTATTTTCTTTAAGAATGTTGAGTATTGGCCCCCACTCTCTTCTGGCTTGTAGGGTTTCAGCAGAGAGGTCCACCATTAGTCAGATGAGCTTCCTTTTTTGGGTAACTCAACCTTTATCTCTGGCTGCCCTTAACATTTTATTCTTCATTTCAACGTTCATGAATACGATGATTATTTGTCTTGGGGTTGCTCTTCTTGAGGAGTATCTTTGTGGTGTTCTCCGTATTTCCTGAATTTGAATGTTGGCCAGTCTTGCTAGGTTGAGGAAGCTCTACTGAACAATATCCTGAAGAGTATTTTCCAACTTGTTTCCATTCTCCATCACTTTCAGGTATACAAATCAAATGGAGGTTTTGTCTTTTCACATAGTCCCATATTTCTTGGAGGCTTTGTTTGTTCCTTTTTATTATTTTTTCTCTAATGTTGTCTTCACACTTTATTTCATTAAGTTGATCTTCAGTCTCTGATATCCTTTCTTCTGCTTGATTGATTCGGCTATTGATACTTGTGTATGTTTCACAAAGTTCTCATGTTGTGTTTTTCAGGTCCATCAGGTCATTTATGTTCTCTAAACTGGTTATTCTAGTTGGCAATTCCTCTATCATTTTTTCAAGGTTCTTAGCTTCCTTGCATTGGGTTAAGACATGCTGCTTCAGCTCGAAGAAGTTTGTTATTACCCACCTTCTGAAGCCTACTTCTGTCAATTTGTAAAACTCATTCTCCATCCAGTTTTGTTCCCTGGCAGGCGAGGAGCTGTGATCCTTTGGAGGAGAAGAGGCATTCTGGTTTTTGGAATTTTCAGCCGTTTTGCGCTGTTTTTTTCTCATCTTCATGGATTTATCTACCTTTAGTCTTTGATGTTCGTGACCTTTGGATGGGGTTTCTGTGTGGACATCCTTGTTGTTGATGTTGATGCTATTGCTTTCTGTTTGTTAGTTTTCCTTCTAAAAGTCAGGCCCCTCTGTTGCAGGTCTGCTGGAGTTTGCTGGAGGTCCACTCCAGACCCTGTTTGCCTCAGTATAACCAGAAGAGGCTGCAGAACAGCAAAGATTGCTGCCTGATCCTTCCTCTGGAAGCTTCATCCCAAAGAGGCACTCACCAGATGCCAGGTGGAGCTCTCCTTTATGAGTTATCTGTCAACCCCTGCTGGGAGGTGTCTCCCAGTCAGGAGTCATGGAGGTCAGAAACCCACTTGAGGAAGAAGTCTGTCCCTTAGCAGAGCTTGAGCACTGTGCTGGGAGATCCCCTGCTCTCTTCAGAGCCAGCAGGCAGGAACGTTTAAGTCTGCTGTAGCTGTGCCCACAGCCACCTCTTCCCCCAGGTCCTCTGTCCCATGGAGATGGCAGTTTTATCTATAAGCTCCTGACTGGGGCTGCTGCCTTTCTTTCAGAGATGCCCTGCCAAGAGAGGAGGAATCTAGAGCAGCAGTCTGGCTACAGCTGCTTCACGGACCTGTGGTGGGCTCCGCCTAGTCTGAACTTCCCAGTGGCTTTGTTTATACTGTGAGGGGAAAGCAGCCTACTCAAGCCTCAATAATGGTGGATGCCCTTCCCCCACCAAGCTCAAGCATCCCAGGTCAACTTCAGACTGCTGTGCTGGCAGCGAGAATTACAAGCCAGTGGGTCTTAGCTTGCTGGGCTCCATGGGGGTGGGATCCACTGAGCTAGACCACTTGGCTCCCTGGCTTCAGTCCCTTTTCCAGGAGAGTGAACGGTTCTGTCTCATTGTCATTCCAGGTGCCACTGGGGTATGAAAAAAAAAAAAAAAACTCCTGCAGCTAGCTGGGTATCTGCCCAAATGGCCCCCCAGTTTTATGCTTGAAACCCAGGGCCCTGGTGGTATAGGAACCCAAGGGAATCTCCTGGTCTGTGGGTTGTGAAGACCACGGGAAAAGCGCATAGCATCTGGGCCATAGTGCACCATTCCTTATGGCAGAATCCCTCGCAGTTTCATTTGGCTAGGAGAGGGAGTTCCCCAACACCTTGCACTTCCCAGGTGAGGTGACGCCCCACCCTGCTTCTGCTCCCCTTCATGGGCTGCACCCACTGTTTAACCAGCCCCAATGAGATGAGCCAGGTACCTCTGTTGGAACTGCAGAAATCCCCCACCTTCTGCATTGATCTTGCTGGGAGCTGCACAATGTAGCTATTCCTATTTGGCCATCTTGCCAAAAATCCCTATTTTTTTATTTCTCTGAAATATTTTATGAAAGATGTAATTAGGGGAGGAAACAAAAGATTGTTGGAATTTTTTCAAGATTTTTTTTACTTTAGTCTGTATTGTGACAGTTTTTGTATGTCTGTACTTTTTCACACTTTTATTAGCTATTGGAAGAATCCTGTAACTCACGTAAGTAAGAAAAGTTTGTCACTGTATGGCATCATTGTCAATTATTTTTAGGTCAAGAGCAAGAGGCAAGTAATTTCAGCAGGGAAGGGTTGCAGCCAAGTTGTAGTCTTTACTGAAAAAGACCTTCTAAGGCTGGAGGCAAGATGGCTGAATAGATGCAGCCAGGAGGAATACCTGACACTGAGGGACTGAGACATTGGGAAAACCAGTGACTCTGAACAGATCTTTAAAGGAAAGGCATTGAGAGTGGATGGAAGGAGAACACAGCTTGGAATCCTGCACTGGGCTACTGTGCACTGGGACTCATTCCTGGCCCCCAGTGCCTCCTGAATAAGGGGTGAGTTGAGCATGTGAGAACTGACCCACTCTCACCATAAACCTCTGAAATCCTGGCAGCAGGAGATGCCACGAATATGTAAGTAGGCAGGAACAGCTGCTTAGAGACATGGTAGGCACAGAATTCTAACCAGTGCAGAGCCCAGAAGTCTTGGTGTGGGACCATCTGCAGTGGAGCATGCCCAGGGATGCCCATCCCCCAAGACCCATCTTGCTCCCCTAGGAGAATTTAACCTTAGGTGAATTGTCAGACCTGAATAGAGAGGGTGATCTTGTCCATGATATGGGACTGGTCAGACCTGAGCATTCTCCTGTCTGCTGGCAACTCCCACAGCCCCAGCCTAGCCATGCCTGTTTGCAGTGCAGCCTTAGATGCCCATTCAGGTTGCCTCCCCAGGGTCCACATCACAGCTCCTGCACAGGCAGGCCACCCCTGATTCTTGGAGAGCTCCAGTAGAGTGGCCCCTCTGACCCCTACCAGCCCACCCACATTCTCCCCCAACTGACCCCCCACCCACACTTTCCCTCCACCGCAGTCTCCCCTGTGCCACTTTTCCAGCACGCACTCACCCATGACCACCCCCCACATCATTTTGTTGGTGTGCAGGGGGGCAGGTGGATCTTGCCTCTCCTTTCCCCTGGTAGGATCTTGCCTCTCCTTTTCCCATGTCACGGCTACCAGTCCCTACCTGCCAGTCCCTATCCTGGAAAACCATTGCAGCTGGTACAAACATGCACAGAGACAGCCAGCCCAATGCCCACCACCACCTTACCCCCAGGTCAATGTCCCCACTCGTGCAAATGAGCACATTACATAAAGAGACCAAATCTATGACCCATTGCATCCCTGAAAGAGAGAAAGAGAAAGCAAGCAACTTAGAAAACATATTTCAGGATATCATTTATGAAAATTTCCCCAACCTCACTAGAGGCCAACATTCAAATTCATGAAATATAGGGCATGAGAACCCCTGCAAGATACTACACAAGAACACCATCCCCCATCTCCAAGACATAGTTATCAGGTTCTGCAAGGCTGAAATGAAAGAAAAAATGTTAAAGGCAGCTAGAGAAAAGGGGGAGATCACCTACAAAGGGAGCCAAATCAGGCTTACAGTGGACCTTTCAGCAGAAACTCTACAAGCCAGAAGAGACTGGGGACCTATATTCAGCATTCTTAAAGAAAAGAACTTCTAATCAAGAATTTCGTATCTAGCCAAACTAAACTTCATAAGCAAAGGAGAAATTAGATCCTCTTCAGACAAGCAAATGCTGAGGGAATTTGTTACCACCAGGCCTGCCTTAAAAGAGGTCCTGAAGAAAGTGCTAAATATAGAATGGAAAGACCATTACCAGCCACCAAAACAAAAACAAAAACATAACTTCAGTACATAGACTATTGACACTATAAAGTAACCACACAAACAAGTCTGCATAATAACCAGCTAACAACATGATGACAGGATCAAATCCCACATATCAATATTAACCTTGAATGTAATTGGACTAAATGGCACAATTAAAAGGCAGACTGGCAAGCTGGAAAAGGAAGCAAGACCCAACGGTACAATTTCTTTAAGAGACCCATCTCATATGCAATGAGACCCATAAGCTCAAAGTAAGGGGATGGAGAAAAATCTACCAACAAACAGAAAACAGAAAGAAGCAGAGGTTGCAATCCTTATTTCGGACAAAACAGACTTTAAACCAACAAGGATCAAAAAAGAAAAAGAAAGGCATTACATAATGAAAAAGGGCTCGATTCAACAAGACCTAACTCTCCTAAATATACATGAACACCACACAGGCACACCTAGATTTATAAAATGAGTTCATAGATACTACAAAGTAACTTATATAGCCATAATAGTGTGACACTTAAACACCCCACTGGCAGTATTAGACCTAAAATTGAGGCAGAAAACTAACAAAGGTATGCAGGACCTGAGCTTGACACTTTACCAAATACTCTAAAATCAACCACACAGTTGGACATAAAACAATACTCAGCAAATTAAAAAAAAAAAAACCCAAAATCATACTAACCACACTCTCAGACCACAGCACAATAAAAACAGAAACCAATACTAAAAAAATCACTCAAAACCATACAAATTCATGGAAACTAAACAAGTTGCTCCTGAATGACCTTAGGGTAAACAATAAAATTACAGTGGAAAACAAGAAATTATTTGAAATTAATAAGAACAAAGATACGACATCCCAGAATCTCTGTGTTACAGCTAAGCAATATTAAAAGGAAGGTATATAGCACTTAATGCCCACATCAAAAAGGTAGAAAAATTTCAAATTAAGAAACTAACATCACAACTACAGGAACTAGAGAAACAAGAGAAAACCAACAACAAAGGTGCAGAAGACAAAAAATTACCAAAATCAAGCTGAATTTCTAGAAGGAAATTGAAATGCAAAAAAAAAAAAATACAAAAGATTAATGAATTCAGTATTGGTACTTTGAGAAAATTAATAAGATAAATAGAGCAGTAGGTAGGCTACTAGAGAAAAAAAGAGAAAAGATCTAAATAAACACAATCCGAAATGAAAAAGGAGATATTACCACTGACCTGACCCCACAGAAATACAAAAAATGCTAGCCAGGCATGGTAGCTCATGTCTGTAATCCCAGCACTTTGAGAGTCAGAGGCAGGCAGATCACTTGAGGCCAGGAGTTCAAGACCAGCCTGACCGACATGGTGAAATTCCATCTCTACTAAAAATACAAAAAAAAATTGTGAGGTGTGGTGGCAGGCACCTGCAGTCCCAACTACTCAGGAGGCCAAGGCATGAGAATGGCTTGAACCTGGGAGATGGAGGTTGCAGTGAGCCAAGATCCAAGATTGAGCCACTGCACTCCAGCCTGGGTGACAGAGCGAAACTCTGTCTCAAAAACAAACAAACAAACAAAACAAACAAACAAACAAAAAAACCTCAGAGACTATTATGTACACCCCTATGCACACAAGCTAGGAAATCTAGAAGAAATGGATAAATTCCTGGAAATATACAGCCTTCCAAGACTGAACAAGGAAGAAATTGAATTCCTGAACAGACCAATAACAAGCTCTGAAATTTAACCAGTAATAAAAAGCCTGCCAATCAGAGAAATCCCAGAACCAGATGGATTCATAACTGAATTCTATCACATATATAAAGAAAGGCTGGTACAATTTCCACTAAAACTATTTCAAAAACTTGAGGAGGAGGGACTCCTCCCTAACTCATTCTGTGAGGCCAGCATCATCCTGATACCAAAACATGGCAGAGACACACAAAAAAGGAAAACTTCAGGCTAATATCCTTGATGCAAACATCTTCAACAAAATATTAGCAAACTGAATCCAGCAGCACATCAAAAAGATAATATCCTATGATCAAGTAGGCTTCATCATTGGGATGTGAGGTTGGTTCAACATACACAAATCAATAAATGTAATTTATTATATAAACAGAATGTTAAAAAATCCCATGATTATCTCAATAGACACATAAAAAGCTTCCCATAAAATTTAACATCAAAAACTCTCAATAAACTAGGTATTGAAGGAACATACCTCAAAATAATAAAGGCCATCTATGACAACCCCACAGCCAACATCATACTGAATGAGTAAATGCTGGAAGCATTCCCCTTGAAAACCAGCACAAGACAAGAACACTCTCTCACAACTCCTATGCAACATAGTCCTGGATGTGCTGGCTACAGCAATGAGGCAACAAAGAAATAAAAGGCATCCAAATAGGAAGAGAGGAAGTCAAACTATCCCTGTTTGAAGATAATATGATTCTACACATACATAACCCCATAGTCTCTGCCCCAAAGCTCCTTAATCTGATAAACAACTTCAGCAAAGTTTCAGAATACAAAATCAATGTAGCAAATTCTGCAGCATTCCTTTACACCAAGAACCTTCAAGCTGAAAGTCAAATCAAGAACACAATCCCATTAATAATAGCCACAAATAAAAGAATAAAATACCTAGGAATACACCTAACGAGGGAGGAAGAAGTTCTCTCCAATGAGAATTACAAAACACTGCTGATGGAAATCAGAGATGACATAAACAAGTGGAGAAACATTCCAGGCTCACAGATAGGAAGAATCAATATTGTTAAAATGGCCATACTTCCCAAAGCAATTTATAGATTCAATGCTATTCCTATCAAACTACCAATGACATTCTTCGCAGAATTAGAAACAACTGTTTAAAAATTCGTATGAAACCAAAATTAGCCCAAATAGCCAAGGCAATCCTAAGCAAAAAGAACAAAGCTGGGGGCATTACATTATACTATACTACACAGCTTCAAACTATACTATAAGGCTACAGTAACCAAAACAGCATGATACCTGGTAAAAACACAGTCACATAGACCAATGGAACAAATAGAGACCCCAGAAATAACGCCACCTGCCAACAATGATTTGATATTTGACAAAGTTGGCAAAAACAAGCAATGGGGAATGGACTTTCTATTTGATAAATGATGCTGGGATAATTGGCTAGCCCTATGCAGAAGATTGAAACTGGATCCCTTTCTTACACCATACACAAAAATCAATTCAAGATAAATTAAAGACTTAAATGTGAAACCTAAAACTATAAAAACCCTTTACAAATCTATTTTCTAGGTGCCTAGAACATAGGATAGGACCTGGCAAAGATTTCATGATGAAGACACCAAAAGCAATTACAACAAAGACAAAAATTGATAAATGGTACCTAAACTAAAGAGTTTTTGCACAGAAAAGAAAAAAAGTCAACACAGTAAACAGACAAAACAGATAACCTACAGAATGAGAGAAAATATTTGCAAACTGTGCATGTGACAAAGGTCTGATATTTAGAATCTATAAGGAATTTAAACAAATGAACTAGCAAAATCAAACAACCTCATTAAAAAAATGAGCAAAGGACATGAACAGACACTTTTCAAAAAAAGGCATATGCTCAGACAACAAGCATATGAAAAATGCTCAATACTACTAATCAGTAGAGAAATGCAAATCAAATCCTCAATGAGATACCATCTAACAGCAGTCAGAATGGCTGTTGTTAAAAAGTCAGAAAATAACAGACGCTGGTGAAGTTATAGAGAAAAGGGATGCTTATACATTGTTGGTGGGAATGTAAATTAGTTCAGCCATTGTGGAAAGTAGTTTTGCAATTTCTTGAAGAACTCAAAGCAGAATTACCATTCAACCCAGCAATCCCATTACTGCATATATACCCCCAAAAATATAAATTGTTCTTCCGTAAATACACATGCATGCATATGTTCATAGCAGCACTATTCACAATAGCAAACACATCGAATCAACCTAAATGCCCATCAACAGTAGACTATATAAAGAAAATGTAACATATATACCATGGGATACTACACAGCCATAAAAAACAATGAGATCACGTCCTTTGCAGCAACATGGATGAAGCTGAAGGACATTATCCTAAGCGAACTAACACAGGAACGGAAAACCAAATACCACATGTTCTCACTTATATATGGGAGCTAAACATTGAGTACAAATAAACACAAAGAAAGGAACAAAAGACACTAGGGCCTACTTTAGGGTAGAGGGTGGGAGGAGGGTAAAGATCAAAAAACTATCTATCAGGTACTCTGTTGACTACCTGGGTGATGACATAATCTGTACACCAAACCCCTGTGACAGGCAATTTACCTATATAACAATCCTGCACATGTATCCCTGAAGCTAAAGTACAAGTTAAACAAAAACATTAATTAAACTTCAATTCACTCTTTTTCTCTGTACTGAAAGCTGCAGAAATAGAGCTTTAAATACCAAGACAATTTAGTTTAAGACCTCAAAATTAAAATAAAAATATTATCCATTTAAAAAAGAGAGAAAAAGACGTTCTGAATGATGGAGCTCTTTAAATTCTGAATCTTTTAAGCTACATATATAATATATATGCTTAACATTCATATATATACATACACACACACACACACACACACATATATATATATATAAATTATTTGGAACATGGCAAGGAATGGAAATCTAGATATTTGGCTAAGAACTCCCCAAATAGCAAGTCTTAGCTGGGGAACAAGAATCTGCATTGTAAAAACGGTATGTTTGATTTTTGTGCACACTTGGAGAAATAATAATTAATATGTAATGTAGTGATTTTTAAATTACTCCTGAGAACTATATGGACCCACAGAGGTGCCATGGGAGCCACCCAATATAAGCCAGCAAATGGCCCAGAGGCCCTAGTTCTCTGTACCTTGATGATCTCACGTGAGAACATTTTAGCTTTTACTTACATATTCATTTACATAAAGGCAGCACATAAAAGTTCATTTGAAAAAAGTGCCATGTTAACAGCAAAACTAAACATCTTTGTGAGAAATGACATGTGAAATCTGCTGGACCAAATAGGCTAATTATAAACCCCTTTCTTGCAGGTTCTACCTGCCCTTCTGCCTTCTTATTGCAAGCCAGCCGAAGCTGTATTTTCTGGGTCTCACCTGCAGACAAGCTTGGTGCCATTGCCAATCCTATCTGGGGCAGGGAGTCTCTCAGCTGCCTTAGCACCACCTTCTAATGGGGACTGGATTTCATGGTGCTGCCTGCGATGATGCCTGGGCCCTGTTGTCACCAGCAGGTTGCTGTGGTCCCTGCCACGGGCTTGGGTGGGTGCCCAGTTTCCTGGGGAGAGGGATTGAGGCTTAAGGAAGAAAGGGCAGGCTTTGAAGTCAGACAGACTTAGAGTTCAGCTCTGATTCTGCCATTCCTTAACTCTTTGATCTTAACCAAATTGTCTCACATCTCAAGGTCTGCTTTCCAAATATGAGCATAATAGTATTTACCCTTCAGTGTTATTATGAGAATTCTCCTAAGTAGGTAAAAAGCCTAGCATAGTACCTGATACGTAAAAGGTACTCAATTAGTGGTAACTTCTTTTTAACTGCACCTTAAGGTTTGAGTTCCCAAAGTATCCTTGTTGCTCAATTTGACATTACTAGACTTTCCAGTCTTCCCAGGGATTTCACATTTGGTTACAGGTTAGAATTTGAAGTTATTTGGAGATATTTTATGTGACAGCATGTAGTTAAGTGTAAAATATTTGACAAATATCTCATCATGAAAGACTAAAAGGAAAAAAATTAATCAAAATTGAGTGAGGATTTGAGAAAAATAATGGAGAATTTGGGGGAAAATCAGACAGAAAATAAGAGCTTATTGTCTATCACAAGTTTGTAAAAACCTTTCCCAAATTGATATCAATTTTAACTCTAGTTATGAAATATGTAATGCCAGTAATACTTCATTTCACCTTGAATTCACTGTTTTAAGTCCTTATAAGGAATTCTTCAATGACATTAAACTTCTAGATTGCAAGTTGTCCTACTTATTATTTTCATTGTTATCTATTTTTTTTAATGCTTAGATCTTCTGGGCATTGTGCTAATTATTGTATACTCTAATTTCATTTAAACCCCCAACAACTCTCTGTATTAGGTAGCACCATTCTCATCTTAAAGAGGTGGACACTGAGGCTTGGGGAGGTAGGAATTTTGCCCAAGGTAACACAGCTGGTAGTGGTGACAGGTGAAGCCGGCTGGGCTTCTGGTTCGGGTGGGGACTTGGAGAACTTTTCTGTCTAGCTAAAGGTTTGTAAATGCACCAATCAGTGCTCTGTCTAACTAGTCCGGTAGGGG
The DNA here is from genome assembly GCF_000001405.40 of Homo sapiens. NCBI lineage: Eukaryota > Metazoa > Chordata > Mammalia > Primates > Hominidae > Homo > Homo sapiens. The sequence continues at coordinate 111,455,804 of NC_000003.12, forward strand.
ACTTGGAGAACTCTTCTGTCTAGCTAAAGGATTGTAAATGCAGCAATCAGTGCTCTGTGTCTAGCTAAATGTTTGTAAACTCACCAATCAGCACTCTGTAAAATGGACCAATCAGCGCTCTGTAAAATGAGCCAATCAGCAGGATATGGGCGGGGCCAAATAAGGGAATAAATGCAGGCCACCCAGCCAGCAGTGGCAACCTGCTCAGGTCCCCTTCCACATCGTGGGAGCTTTGTTCATTTGCTCTTCGCAATAAATCTTGCTGCTGCTCACTCTTTGTGTCCACGCTACCTTTTATGAGCTGTAACACTCACCGCGAAGGTCTGCGGCTTCATTCTTGAAGTCAGGGAGACCAAGAACCCACCGGAAGGAACTAATTCTGGACACAATGGCAGGGTGCCACTAGAACCTGGTTGTCCAGTTCCAAGCCACACTGAAAGTTGGTTTCAGATAGGGCTTAATCAGAAATGAAAAACAGAGGTCTTTCTTCCTCAGCAATGGCCCCGTGTCTCCTTTTTCTCTGGTTTTTCTATTCTCTCAATTAGCAACAACTCAACTCTCAACGTTCAGGCATTTAAAAAGTTAAGGAAAGGCAAGATTATTATTAATTGATTTTTAAGAAGGAAAAAAAGTGCTTTTATTTCCAAGATTGAGATCATTGTCCTTAACATAAAAATAATAGCTTTCATTATCAAATGCTTTCACCAAATGGATGACCTGTGTTGTTGCATTGAGTACTCAAGTCACCCTACAAAATATCATCACTCCCATGAGAACCAAGACACAGAAATTTTACATTACTTTAATAAGGTCACTTTGTTCATAAGTGAAGGAGCCAGAATTCTGCCCCAATAAACCTGATTCTAAAGTTGGTTCTTTTAGCCATATTCTCTTTAGTTGTTGCATGGGGTTTACATATTTTTTCTTTCACATTTGTCTTTATTAGATAAGTGCTTTCAAGCTTCACTTTCCTACAGGGTCCAGGACAAAGCAGTCCACACCACAAAGGCTCTGAGTGACCCCTAAGATCTCCTATCCAAGCGAGGAAGAAGGAGGTACATTTGTGAGCTGAATGATTCTAGTAGCCACTTTTTTTTTTTTGTCCTGTTGCCTATTGTTTACCAACCCTTTCCTATAGGGACATCTCATAAATCTTCAAAGATGTGTGATTAGTTCTTGATTGGATGTATAGTTTATCAGTGTGCTTTTATATCTTTTTTGATAAGCATCATCCTGATTTGCATGATTATCTTTGAGAACATAAGGTTACTAAGAAACCCAAAGGGTTACTTGAAGAATGGAAGTACTATGCAACAACTAGGCTATGATCCGTGTTATCTTGTTTACTCTTAGTTATAAACATTCATCAGCTGGATGGCAGTGTTTTCACTTTATACTATACAGATTTTAGTATCCCTGAATTCCTTGAATTTGTATTGTCCTGGTAAAAAGACATGAGGCAACAAAAGAGGTGCATGAGTGAGTGTAACCCAGTTTCCTTCTAAACCTTCCTTCTAAAAACTGCCTCCTCTTGAATGTCTCTATATCTGTTTATTCATTTTTTTCACTCAACGAATATCTGTGGAGTACCAGGTACTGAGCTAAACTCCAAGTTAAAAAAAATCAGTTATGGTTCCAACCTTCATAAAACTTACAGCTTAGTCAATTCACTTGATAAACTTGCCTTCTTAAGGCCTTGAAACACACACACACACATACACACACGCATGCACACACACATTTTATAGTGTTTATATTATTTTCATGGTGTTAATTAGTACAATTTACTAAGGTTTTTCTATATAAATTATCTCACTTTATCCTCAAAACAACTCAAAAGGTGGAAATTACCGTCAAACAATGTATAGATGAGGAAAATGAGTTTTTAAGGGGGTAAATAACTCACCCAAGTAACACAGTTAGTAAGCGGCAGGGTCAGAATTTTAACCCAGATCTCAGACAGAACACTATCATTTCTCTCTTTTTTTTTTTAACTTTTTTAACTTACACTTTAATTTCTGGGATACATGTGCAGAATGTTCAGGTTTGTTACCTAGGTATACAGGTGAAAACTTGTTGATCATAAAATACTTAAGGACATATAAATGTTACATAACATAAATTACACGAGGGTTCTCATCTGTTCTAGAAGTGGGATTTGATACTATTTACCAGAATTAGAATAAAAATAGGAATTTTGCTGCCTTAAATTCTTTTTGAAGAATTTGAGGATGGATAATTTTAAAAATTAATTTCTCTTGAAGTCAAACTGGCTAGCTTAAGCCTGATTCAGAATATCCTTTGGTAGTTTTGTAGCTCATGTGGAATAAATATTTTTAATTGGAATTTGGCTTTTGAACCAGTTGATAATAATCGTTTCATTATACCTTAAATCAAGATCACGCTAGGTGATCTTAGTTATTGTTAAAGTGCATGGCATTTATCCAAAGCACATTTACTGTGCATTTACTATAGGAATAGAAGTGACATTTTAATAGTGTACAGTTTGGCTGCTGCCACCACACTCATATTCCCGTTGATTTGAGAGCTACTATTTTTAATCTTTCTGTATGATTAGTTCTTAAAACATTAGCAAACCCAAATTGTCACCTCCCTGGATACATCCACCTTCCTACTGGCATAAGTGTAATATTCTTTCAAAAACATGTGAAAGATTTTCCATTACTTCGGAGACTTCTGATCTCTGAAGTATCCATTGGATCCATTCTTTCTCAGCAACCTTTACTATAAAGCAGTCCCAAACTATGTATGTGTTCTCCTGATTCCTAGTCCCTTACCTTGTTTTACCTGGTTTCTGACTTTCTTTACTTCTGAATTGTAGTTGCTGTGTTTTTCCTGTGTTTCTTCCCGTATTTCTATCCCTAGAAATAAAGAGCTTATTCATTCTTGACAATTGTCAACACTTTGGTCAACTCTGTGTAACCAAGAGTTGTACCAAAGTTACAACTAAAGGGTACCATTTGTTGAGGCCTTATTATGTGCCATGTCATACACTAGGGAATTACAAACTTAACCTAGTAATTTAAATAATTAATATGTGATTTTATAATTATCTAATGTTATTTACTATAAATTATTAAAATTACCATTAATTATGAATTATACATTTAACCTACATAGTAACCTGGTGATGAACATATTCACATAGTTCCCATTTTACAGATAAGAAAGCAAGGCTGAAAAGATTAAAGTGACCAAAGTTATATGATAAGCACCATACAAATAGCACAACCTTTGTTTTTGAGAGTCTCAGTCTAAATGTGAAGAACTATGTGATTAAGAATTAGTTGACTGTTATTTTCAATAAAAATGACAGGAGTTCAGATGAGACAGAATATTTTTATCTTGGTTTTGGAAAGCTTTTTGGAGGTGACAGAATTGAGTATTGAATGATTGATATGATATATAGGTTTCATTAAAATGTTGCAGATTTATTCATATAAATCCTGAAATTTTCTTGTTAAATTTATTCTTTCTTATTATAAAATATTTGTATATTTTTTTGTAAATAATATTTCATTCTATTTTTTTCTAACTAGTTATTGCGGGTATATAAGAAATCTATTGCTTTTTGAATATTTATTTTATAATCAGCAAACCTGGAGAACTCTCTTATTAGTTCCATTACTCTTTACGTTTGATTCTCTTGGGTTGTCTAAGTAGGCAACAGCCATATAATCTGCAAATTAAGATAACTTTGGTCTCTCCTTTCCAAAATAAATGTCTCTTAATATAGAGATATCAAATGCAGTGTGAAATCATTTTGGTAACAGCCAGCATCCTTATATTATTTTGAATTTTAATAGAAGTCATTTGAATTTTACTATTAAATATGATACTGGCTATTGGTTTAGGATGAAATCCTTTATCAAATTAAGGAAGAGTCTGTCTGGTCCTAGGTAACTAAGAGTTTTAAGCAGTAATGGATGTTGAATTTTATTTTAAAAATGTTTTTGGCATCAGATAGGTAAGATGTAGATAGGATATAGTTGTGTTATTGATTTATAGTGTTAAGGATGGCATAAGCAGAAGTGCTGCAGTGAAAATGCACACACAGGTCTGGGTAGATAAATCTGGTAGATTTGTAAAAAGAGGTGCACTCATGTTGATGAGAGATGTGAGGAGATCAGAGATGTGGACTTGAGTGGAAACCCTGAATTCCAGACTGAAGGATTTGGGCTCTACCCTATAGAATACATCATGGGAAGACAGTGAAGAATTTTGAAGAGATGGATGATGTGAACAAAAATATGTTTTGGGGAGCTTAATCTCTCATTTTTGCTCAGAATCCGCTGGCTACAAATCTTGCATGAAGGCCATTGTTAATCACTGGGATGTGAGATAATAAGAAATTGGCCACACAGTTACCTAATCACCAGCTACTTGAGAAGAGCCTATGCAGGAAACACGTTTATCAATTCCATGAGTATGGGTGGTTATATACCTGGCATGTAATACCAAAGCAGAAATAGAAGAGTGAATTCTGTTATACGGAAATGCCAATTTGAACCATAATAGAATGTGATTGAAGCAAAGAGAAACTGAAGGGAGGATTACTGGAGTAATTGTAAATATAAAAGGAGATCAGAGAGCCAAGAAAAATGAAATAAAGGTGTAACAAGTCAGAAATAAAAAAATGAAAGGTGATAGCAAATGGGAAATCAAAATTCCTTAAATGGACTGAACTAAACTGGAATGGTTTTGAACATAATTGAGTAGAATTTAGCCATGGCTCTGGAGAAAGCTATGGGCTGGAGATACAGGTCTGCAAAGGATTTAAACAATAGCAATAACTCAAATACTGAGAGTTAATAATGCATTTTCTAAGAGCCAGGGCCAGGTAAATAAGCAGCAAGAGGGTGGAGACATGAACATTTTTAAAGGTATGAGACAGAGAGAGAGAGAGGGAGAGAGAGAGATAATCACTGAAGAAATATTTTGAGCAAACCAGATATTAATGATAGAAAAAAAATATGAAGAGGTGGGGAAATTGGGAAGGTTGGAAATGGAGAAGGGAAAATGGGACTAGGAGGCAGATGTAAAAGTTAAACTAGGAAAGAAGATGAGTGTATAGAAGTACATAGGTATGTGCCCAAATTACATACATAGATAGCTTCTGGAAATAGGAAAAGAAAATGGCCTCAAGCTTCTCAGTGAAATAATAGATGGGGTTATTGGCTCAGAAGATAAAACTAGACATGAAGATGGAAGTAAAACACAACAGCGTCTATAATGTGAACTTTCCAGAGAATTAATTAGGGGAACAAAGGATTCCTGAACATTAATTAGGAGCAACTGTCTGAATCTATCAAGGGCTAGTGATTTAGAGAATGAAGTTTACTCAGTGTGTGACTGTCTCCAGCTGTTTTACAGAACACGGTGATCTAGGGTTCATGACTGGCATGGGGAATGTGGTAGAAGTTGGAGGCAGCTAAGGGCTCAAGGTCATAGTAACTCCACCATCAAAGGTCTACTTAAAGAGTCAGCCTGGGGAGAAATTCAACAATAATCCAATAGTTTATTATAGATTATATTTATTCATCACTTACTATGTACAAATCAGCAGGAGAGAAATACGAGTAATTGCTGAAATCTTTAACTGTGTACTCCCAATTTAGACACACACAGAAGTCCGGTTCTTGAGCCACCCAACCTCAGCAGTAGTTTAGTTAACCATGATTTATGTTTGAGTGTACTGTATTTTGGCATTGCTATATTTTTTGTCCCCATCCACTGAAGCAAAAAGAAAATTGGGCTAGAAATCAAGAGGTTTAGGTTTTTAACCTTAGCTCTGCCCCAGAGCTGTATAATTTGAGAAAGATTATATTAACATTTTGGATCCCAATTCCCTCATCCAAAGGAGAATGAAGTGACAGAGGAAGAATGCAGAGACAGAGAAAGAGAGAAAAATGGAATAGGAGGAAGTGAGAGAGAGAGAGATTAAAGTAGATTAAAGATGCCCTCCCAGCTCTAACAGTCCAAAATTGTGAACCAGTGAGCATTTTCCATGGTCTTAGAATGCCTTTAGCATCCTTTTTGAATGAGATTCTTTTATTCCTCTTTAATGCTTTTCCATGAAAATCCTTTGGCTTGTGTCTATTTTCTCCTTTATTTAAAAATCTCCTTTTCCTCCTGCTCCTCCTTCTTTTTCTTCTCCACCTTGATCTTCTTTAATAAGACATACTTAAAAGCATTAACATCATGATTTCTCCAATAGAAGTTATTTACACAACCCATGTATTTCATTCTTATCTTCTATTTTCCTCTTCTCTTCACTATTTTAAAAAGACATAGGTATGAACCTTATTACTATTATTATTATTACGGCATTGATGCTTCTACAATGCCTTATATACCAAAATGATTACTTCTAAGATCTCGTTTAGTTCTTGCTAGAGAGACTAGCAGAACTCTAAAGAGGCCCCTGAGTAAAACTTTTACTTCAATAGTTACCTAATGAATGTTGCCATTCTTCAATTAAGAGGGAAAAGGTAAATTTGTTCCAAGTTCCAATTAAGACAAAAAGAAATAGAATGCTTATGCTCAATTCCTTATTAATTAAGGAATCATTGATCGGTCACTGTATTATTATGCATTGGGCAAAATATGTTCTATATCCTCAGTGTTAAAGATAAATTGGTGACTACAGGTATATTCCTAGATGTTAAGATTCTCAATGCCTATATGAAGACACAGAAATAGAATTTGTTCAACCTACAAATTGAAAAGATCTAACCAAGACAAAATAAGAGCAAGGACAAAAATGGGTCTTTTTAAATTTTTATATCAATGTATTTATTTATACCTTCTTTTATACCGCTCTTCTCCAAAAGACTTGAATCAGACTTTAAAAAGGTAATAACTTAAAATACAGCATGATTAAGTAAGTCTAGTATTCCTATGCTTATGCTGAAATATGTTAACAATGATTATCTGATTGATAGCTAATCTTTAATTTTCTTGAAAAAACTATTGTCTATCTGCATTCTCAAAACTTCTCAACAATAAACACATCTCAACAATATGATATAAATAATACATATAAATGATAAAAGAAAAGAGCAATAACTTAAAATGTCTGAAGTCAAAGTGAGATTCATGTTTGGAATGCGTGCTCTGAAGTTATATGTACTTGTTAGATGCCCACCACAAATTTAATCCTGAGTTTTCTAGCATTCATTGCAAAAAGGGAAACACATCAATTTCATAATCCAAAAGATGCATAAGGTTAAAATCCCCCATCAACTTCTCAAGAAAGATATACTTAATTCTGTTGTTGATACTTGGGAAACATCCTACACCTCAATTACATGGAGTAATGTGAGAAATAGTAACTCTAGCAGCATTCTTCTAGAAAATATGGTGATAAGTTTCATGGATTGGTCTATATATCTCTTAATTCAGGTTAATAGAATTTTATCAAAGAAGAATGCAGTATAAAGCAACTGCCAGGAGGGTTAGTGTGATGCCTATAACACATTGGACAAACCTGATGATGTTTCAACCAGATCTAGAGTTTAAAGTGCCTAGAAAAATGGACAGACTGCATATCTTTCAAGCAATCCTCTATAAATATTATTTCTTTTATTCAAATTTTAGTGCATAAGCAACAATGAATTTATTATTTTCCTTCCTGGCAAGGCTTGAGAATGCAATAATATAATAAGATTAGTTCATACATACACATATTTTTATTCATTGATTAAGGTGGTAGAACAAATACCCTTTATAAAAACTGAAAGATCTTGGCAAGAATGAATCCATCAACAGATGGCCATCCCATCTTTCTCAAAGGTCATTAGGGAAGACCTGTGGAGAGCACAATCTTCCTCTAACAAAGCGATCTTGTATTTATTTTAACATTCCTTTTTTTTTTTTTTTAAGACAGAGTCTCACTCTGTCACCCAGGCTGGAGTGCAGTGGGGTAATCTCGGCTCACTGCAACCCCCACCTCCCAGGATCAAGCGATTCCCCTGCCTCAGCCTCCCAAGTAGCTTTGATTACAGGAGTGCACCACCATGCCCTGCTAATTTGTTTGTATTTCTAGTAGAGACGGGGTTTCACCATGTTGGCCAGGCTAGTCTTGAACTCCTGACCTCAAGTGATCCTCCTATCTTGGCTATTTTAACACTCTTAAATGGGGTTCTGGCTTTATTTTGAAAATGCAGACTCACAAACTGAGGTTAGATATTTTTTAAAATTCAAACTCAACACTACACCTTCACGCAGCTTCCCTTAATGTTAAATTCTTACATAATCATGGTATCTTTGGCAAAACTAAGAAATTAAGCTTGTTACAATACTGTTAACTAAAGTACAGACTTTACTTGTATTTCATTAGTTTTTCACTAATGCTGTTTTTCTGTTTAAGGATCTGCTCCAGGATACTACACTGCATCTAGTCAACATGCCATCTTGGTCTCCTCTAGACTGTGACAATTTCTCAGTCTTTCCTTTTTTAATACGTATTGAAAGTTTGAAGAGCCTGGTCAGATATTTTGTAGAATGCTCCTCAATTTAGGTTTGTCTGATGTTAGTTCATGATTAAATTGGGGTTATGAGTTTTGGGGAAACATAACAGAGAGGTGAAGTACCTTTTTTATTACGTCATATCATAATGGGCACATATTATCAACATAATTTATCATTAGTAATGATAACATTGATCACTGGCTTAAGGTGGGGTCTGTCATGTCTCTTCACTCTAAAGTTACCATTTTTTCTTTTCATACTCTATGCTTTGGAAGCGAAATTAACTCCAGGCCACATTCAAGAGAAAAGGAATTAAGCTTTGCTTTCTAGAGGTATATTACTTGGAATTATTGGGTATGAAAGATTTGTCCCTTATCCTCCATTTATTTCTTATTCAGTTCTTTATTTATTAGTATGGATTCATGGATTGTTTTAAATTCACTGGATTTTAATTCAGTGCTATAGTTGTTTATTTTATTGCTCAAATTTCTTCAGATTTGACCACTGGAAGCTCTATCATGTTGGCTACTGTATCTTTTTGACATCTGTCTTTGTTCCTTTTCTCTTTTCTTTTGTCCTTCTTTTAAAAGTACTTCCTTTCATCCTGGTACTACAAGATACTTTAGGCTCATCTTATGTTTTCCCAGTCCCAGCCCCTAACTAAGCCATATCTCCAGGGCTCTTTCTTAACTCACTCATTTTTAATTCATAAACTCTGAATCTTAAAATGAGTTTTATATTTACTTAAGTGTCTGAAGGCTAGCGAAAACTTGCAGATGATTCATTTTATGTATATGGATTTTCCCTTGCTCTTTTAATTTTTACAGTTTCAGAAATCATGTCAGATATGCACTTGAATAACTTACCAGTTATCAGAAAGCTTATTGTTATGGTTTTAACCAGATGGATGTCATCAGCTCAAGGTCTAAAATGTTGAATATTATTCCTGTTCAATCAGATCTTTTGTGACCAGGAATAATTTAATTAAGTTCTACTCTAAGAGATAGTGCAGTGGCAATTTATGTTTTTGAATCAAATGGAAGAGATTAATGTAAATTTCTTGGCTTGCACTTTCTAAATATATTTTCTAGTTTATCTAGTCTGAAATATGTTACCAACATTGTTGAGCTCTGGACAGCTGGCTAAATGCAAGCTATTTTCCCCCGAGAGCCATATGCTCCGGGAATCACTCTGCTGATAGATTTATAACCCTTTGCTGTGATCAGGAGAAAGTAGGTTTGTCTAACATATACTATACACAATCCAGGCACAACTAGGAAAAGCAACAATTTATTGCCACTTTTTTGATCTTATGAATACAAAAAGGACAGAAAGTAGATTGTCAAGGTGGAAAAAGACAGACTATATAGTGCTGTTTTTAGGAGATCACATTTTTTCTGAAACATCTCTTTGTTTAATCCATTTATTGCTTTAAAATATGAGGGCAATTTTCCTGATAAATTGAATTTGCTTCTCTAACTTCTACATCAAAATCACTCATAGTACAACATCCTAATATTTAAAAGTTAGAGAAAAAAATCTTCTTAATAACCTTATTGTCTCCATGATGCAATATTTGTCTGATTTAGTGCTACAATGTGTTCTTTTTCATGATGAGTTGCTATGGTAAATGGTCAAAAATCAGTAGTTTCACTGTCATGTTTCTTAGTTTTAATGGACCATATACTACGAGGAGACATAAACTGGTGTATATAACAGTACAAATATGTTGGTGAAGGAACTAATTCATGCTTATATTTGAACACAGAGAATCAGTCTGGCCTTAAAAATATAATTCATCAAAACCTTTGTTTCAACATTTCTGCTTTTGCATTATTAAAAGGAATTTCTGATAACCTCATTTCCTGTATAGTCTGAAGGGGCCACGCTGGTCAGGTTTCCAGTCTACTTTATCATTCACAATGTCTTTAGCTCCATGGAAATGAGCAAAATAGATATAGGAGAAAAAGTGGGTTCCAATAATAATGATGATAATATTCACCAGGTGTTATACTGTTACCAATTTTTCCCAACTCAGAAAGAGCTTCTTTGGTGTCATTTCAAACACCTAAGTGCTTTCACTAGTAGGAGCACTGGAACAGTGAGCAAGGATGAATTGCCAGGTCATCTTCATACATTCAAGTCATCTGAGGATTTTGAGGAAAGATAGCTCTCCCTTGACCCAGAAGACCTCTGTGAATTGCATTTAGTCAGAGATACTGGAAAATAAAAGACAAACAAATACAGTAGGGGGTTGATGGGATGGCAGCAACTTCATTAGAGAACTAAAACTTAAGAATGGTTTAAATGTAAGAATATTAAAAAGTCATAGTTTCTTCTAGTGTTTCCAGTTTTATTTATTAGGTGCAGAGCCCCAGGAGAGGGAAAATACTGTGCATAGAACAGAAGGCAGAGATCCCATGAGTAGCCAAGTTTCACCTAAACTCCCCCATTCCAAGAGTACCAGCTTCAACCAAAGATACACTTTGTATGGCAGAAGTATTTTCAAAATCAGAAGGATGCTGAGAGATTCTCCCATTTTACAAATGATGGAACAAGAGGTACTAACTTGTCCCAGCTCTCCCAGATTAAATGCCCCCTTCTACTTTTAGAGCCTTCACAAAAAGATAACTGAATTCTTTCCTCTGTAACCTCTTACAGAGCATATTATTGTAAACTATCATGACATTTCTCCTAACATCTAGTATGAATCACTCATACTGTAGTTTATTATGTTTCTTCTAAGAAATAGAATAGAACAATATACATATATTCTTGTTTGTGCATCTTTCTCTCTCAAAAACAGTCTTGAACTTAAGATGTGATTTGGAAGAATCCATTTTTAGAACTGACAAAAAAAATCTTATTCACACACTCCATTAACCCTTCTTTTTCAAGAAGGTCCTTCCTTCACTCCACTAAAGCTGAAGCATTTCTTTTTACAGACTGTTCTCCTACAAGCATATTGTTGCCTTTAAATTTTTAACAGGAATCTTTTTACTTATGCTGACTTTGATAATCAAGACTATCTGAAATGTATCAAAAATACCTAATTTTAAATTTTTTTCACAGCTTTCTTGAGAATTGCTCTGCAGAATGACAACATTAAATTCATAAAACAATGGAAATTAAGACTTGCAAGGGAAAAGGACCTTTGGAAACTCTCTTTGAAACTGCTTGAGAACAGGGAATGTTTGGCAAGAACTTATCTCTGGATAACAATGTAACACAATTGTTGTGCAGAGTCTTAATTATGAAAGTTAAATTTCCCTTATCAGGAATGTGTAAACTAATGAATCTAGTTATTAGTTCACACATTAGACCATATGTTGTTTGCAATAGAAAAAAGGAGTATTTTTTCCCCTCTAGGGAGAATCAGCCAAGTTATAGAATATGTTTTTAAAACTATATATTTGTTAAGCATTAAACACATACAGTTCAGAGAGGACCTCTCTAGTACACCTACATACTGTAGGTATACAATGAAGGTATGACTCTCCAGTTGCCTTATAAAAAAGAATCACATAGCACGCAGTTACCAAATTATTGAGGTATCCAAAAGTAGCTACGTAACACTTTTGATGTCTATTTATTTATTTATTTATATTGCTTTTTAAATATTTTATTTTATTTTAAGTTCCAAGATACATGTGCAGGATGTGCAGGGTTGTTACACAGGTAAATATGTGCCATTGCCTAGGTAATAAGCCCTGCATGCATTAGCTATTTATCCTGATGTTCTCTCTCCCTCTGCTGCCCCGACAGGCCCCAGTGTGTGTTGTTCCCCACCATGGGTCCATTTGTTCTCATTGTTCAGCTCCCACTTGTAAGTGAGAACATACGGTGTTTGATTTTCTGTTTCTAAGTTAGTTTGCTGAGGATAATGGGTTCCAGCTCTATCCATGGCCCTGCAAAGGATATGATTTGGTTCCTTTTTATGGCTGTATAGTATTCCATTGTGTATATGTAACATATTTTCTTTATCCAGTCTATCATTGATGGGCATCTGGGTTGATCCCATGTCTTTGTTATTGTGAATAGTACTGCAATGAAAATACATGTGCGTGTATCTTTATAATAGAATGATTTATATTCCTTTGGGTATATACCCAGTAATGGGAAGTAATGGGATTGCTGAGTCAAATGGTATTTCTATTTCTAGGTCTTTGGGGAATCTCCACACTGTCTTCCACGATGGGTGAACTAATTTATATTCCCACAACAGTGTAAAAGTGTTTTCTCCACGGCCACACCAGCAACTATTGTTTCTTGACTGTTTAATAATCGCCATTCTGACTGGCATGAGACGTCATCTCATTGTGGTTTTGATTTGCATTTCTCCAGTGATCTGTGATGTTGAGCTTGTTTTTACATGTTTCTTGGCCACATAAATGTCTTCTTTTGAGAATTGTTTATGTCCTTTGCCCACCTTTTAATGGGGTCGTTTGTTTTTTTCTTGTAAATTGTTTTAAGTTCCTTGTAGATTCTGGATATTAGACCTTTGTTAGATGGGTAGATTGTAAAAATTTTCTCCCATTCTGTAGGTTGTCTTTTCACTCTGATGATAGTTTCTGTTGCTGTGCAGAAGCTCTTTAGTTGAATTAGATTCCAAGTGTCAATTTTTGTTTTTGTTGCAATTGCTTTTGTCATTACCTTTATAATAATCTTTACCTGTGCCTATGTCCTAAATAGTATTGTCTAGATTTTATCCTAGAGTTTTTACAGTTTCAGGTTTTACACTTAAGTCTTTAGTCCTTCTTGAGTTAATTTTTGTATAAGGTGTAAGGAACAGGTCCAGTTTCAGTTTTCTGCATATGGCTAGCCAGTTTTCCCAGCATCATTTATTAAGTAGGGAATCCTTTCCCCATTGCTTTTGTCAGGTTTGTTGAAAATCAGATGGTTGTAGATGTGCAGTCTTATTTCCAAGATCTCTACTCTGTTCCATTGGTCTATGTTTCTGTTTTTATACCAGTACCATGGTGTTTTGGTTACATAAGCATTGTAGAATACTTTGAAGTTGGGTAGCCTGAAGCCTCCAGCTTTCTTCTTTTTTGCTTAGGATTGTCTTGGCTATATGAGGTCTTTCTTGGTTCCATTTGAATTTTAAAGCAGTTTTTTCTAATTCTGTGAGAATGTCAATAGTAGTTTAATGGGAATAGCATTGAATCTATAAATTACTATAGGCAGTATGGCCGTTTTCACCACATTGATTCTTCCTATCCATGAGCATGGACTGTTTTTTTTCATTTGTTTGTGTCCTCTCTGATTTCCTTGAGCAGTAGCTTGTAGTTCTCCTTGAAGAGGTCCTTCACTTCCCTTGTTAGCTGTATTCCTAGGTATTTTATTCTCTTTGTAGCAATTGTGAATGGGAGTACATTCATGATTTGACTTTCTGCTTGGTTATTGTTGGTGTAAAAGAATGCTTGTGATTTCTGCACATTGATTTTATATCCAGAGACTTTGCTGAAGTTGCTTATCAGCTTACGAAGCTTTTGGGCTGAAATAATGGAGTTTTCTAGATATAGGATCATGTCATCTGCAAACAGAGACAGTTTGACTTCCTCTCTTCCTACATGAATACCTTTTATTTCTTTCTCTTGCCTGATTGCCCTGGCCAGAACTTCCAATACTATATTAAATAGGAGTGGTAAGAGAGGGCATCCTTGTTTTGTGCCAGTTTTCAAGGGGAATGCTTCCAACTTTTGCCCATTAAGTATGATATTGGCTGTGGATTTGTCATAAATGGCTCTAATATTTTGAGACATGTTCCATCAATCCCTAGTTTATTGAGTTTTAACATGAAGGAATGTTGAATTTTATTGAAGATCTTTTCTGCATCTAATGAGATAATCTTGTGGTTTTTGTCTTTAGTTCTGTTAATGTGATGAATTATATTTATTGATTTGTGTTTGTAGAACCAGCCTTGCATTCTGGGGATGAAGCCAACTTCGTTGTTGTGGATAGGCTTTTTGATGTGCTTCTAGACTCAGTTTGCCAGTATTTTATTGAGGATTTTTGCATCGATGTTTATCAGGGATATTGGCCTGAAGCTTTCTTTTTTTGTAGTATCTCTGCCAGGTTTTGGTATCAAGATAATCTTGGCCTCATGGAATGAGTTAGAATTCCTTTTTTTCAATCGTTTGGAATAATTTCAAAAGAAATGGTACCAGTTTCTCTTTGTACCTCTGGTAGAATTCAGCTGTAAATCTGTCTGGTCCTGGGCTTTTTTTTGGTTGGTAGGCAATTTATTACTGCTTCAATTTCAGAACTTGTTATTGGTCTATTCAGGAATGCAGCTGCTTTGTGGTTCAGTCTTGGGAGGGTGTATGTACCCAGGAATTTATCTATTTCTTCTAGATTTTCTAGTTTATTTCCATAGAGGTGTTTATACTATTCTCCAATGGTTGTGTTTCTGTGGGGTCAGTGGTGATATCCCCGTTATCATTTTTTATTGCATCTATTTGATTCTTCTCTCTCTTCTTCTTTATTAGTCTAGCTAGAAGTCTATCTATTTTATTAATTTTTTCAAAAAAACTTCTGGATTTATTGATTTTTTTGAAGGGTCACTTGTGTCTCTATCCCCTTCAGTTCCACTCTGATCTTGGTTATTTCTTGTATTCTTACTAGCTTTGGGATTTGTTTGCTCTTAGTTCTCTAGTTCTTTTAGTTGTGATGTTAGGGTGTCAATCGGAGATCCTTCTAGCTTTTTAACGTGGGCATTTAGTGCTATAAATTTCCCTCTTAATACTAATTTAGCTGCATCCCAGAGATTCTTGTACATTGTCTCTTTGTTCTCATTGGTTTCAAGGAACTTCTTGATTTCTTCCTTAATTACATTATTTACCCAGGAGTCATTCAGAAGCAGGTTATTCAATTTCCACATAGCTGTGTGGTTTTGAGTGAGTTTCCTAATCTTGAGTTCTAATTTGATTGTGCTGTGGTCTGAAAGATTGTCATGATTTCAGTTCTTTTGCATTTGCTGAGGAGTATTTTACTTCCAATTATGTGACTGGTTTTACAGTAAGTGCCACGTGGTGCCGAGGAGAATGTATATTCTGTTGTTTTGGCGTAGAGAGTTCTGTAGGTATCTATCAGGTCCACTTGATCCAGAGCTGAGTTCAAATCCTGAATATTCTTGTTAATTATCTCTCTCAATGACCTATTATTGAGAGTAGAGTGTTAAAGTCTTCCACTATTATTGTGTGGAAGTCTAAGTCTCTTTGTAGTTCTGTAAGAATTTGTTTTATGAACCTGGGTGCTCCTGTATTGGGCATATATATATTTAGAATAGTTAGCTCTTCTGGTTGAATTGATCTTTACCATTATGTAATGCCCTTCTTTGTCTTTTTGATCTTTGTTGGTTTAAAATCTGTTTTATCAGAGACTAGGATTGCAACCCCTGTTTTGTTTTTGCTTGCCATTTGCTTGGTAAATTTTCCTCCATCCCTTTATTTTGAGCCTGTGTGTGTCTTTGCTGGTGAGATAGGTCTGTTAAATACAGCACACCAGTGGGTCTTGACTCTATTCAGCTTGCCATTCTGTGTCTTTTAATTGGTGCATTTAGCCCATTTACATTTAAGGTTAACATTTTTATGTGTGAATTTGATCCTGTCATCATGTCAGCTGGTTATTTTGCAGACTTGTTGATGTAGTTGCTTCGTAGTGTCATTGGTCTTTGCACTTCAGTGTGTTTTTGCAGTGGCTGTTAAGTTTTTCCTTTCCATATTTAGCACTTCATTCAGGAGCTGTTGCAAGGCAGGCCTGGTGGTGATAAATTCCCTAGGCATTTTGCTTATGTGAAAAGGAATCTATTTCTGCCTTAAAGGATTTTATTTTATTTCTTCACTTATGAAATGAAGTGAAGTTTGGCTGGATATGAAATTTTGGGTTGAAATTTTTTTCTTTAAGAATGTTCAATATTGAACCCCGGTCTCTTCTGGCTTTTAGGGTTTCGGCTGAGAAGGTCCACTGTTAGTCTAATGGGCTTCCCTTTATAGGTGACCTGGCCTTTGTCTCTGGCTGCCTTTAACATTTTTTCCTTCATTTTGACCTTGGAGAATCTGATGATTATATGTCTTGGAATTAATCTTCTCATGGAGTATCTCACTGGGGTTCTGTGGATTTTCTGAATTTGATTGTTGGCCTGTCTTGTTAGGTTGGGGTGTTCTCCTGGATGACATCCTAAAGTGTGTTTTCCATCTTGGTTCTGTTCTCCCTGTCTCTTTCAGGTATCCCAATCAGTCATAGGTTTGGTCTTTTTACATAATCTCATAGTTCTAGGAGGTTTTGTTCATTCTCTTTCATTGTTTTTTCTCTAATCTCGTTTGCCTTATTTCAGGAAGAGAGTCATCAAGCTATGAAATTCTTTCCTTCACTTCATCAGTTCAGCTATTGATATTCGTGGTTGCATTGTGAAGTTTCATGTTGTGTTTTTCAGCTCCATTGGGTAATTTAGATTCCTCTCTAAACTGGTTTTTCTGGTTAACAGCTCCTATAATGCTTTATCATGGTTCTTAGCTTCTTTGCATTGGGTTAGAATATGCTCCTGTAGCTCAGTGAAGTTCGTTACTACCCTCCTTCTGAAGCCTACTTCTGTCAGTTAATCTATATCAGCCTCTGCCCAATCCTTTGCTCTTGCTGGAGGTGTTGCGATCATTTGGAGAACAAGAAGCACTCTATTTGAGTTTTCAGCATTTTTTTATTGATTCTCTCTCATCTTCATGGGTTTATATGGCTTCAATCTTTGAGGCTGCTGTTCTTTGGATTGGGTTTTTGTGGGGGATTTTTTGTTAATGTTGTTGTTTTGCTTTCTGTTTGTTTTTCTTTTAACAGTCAGGTCCCTCTTCCATAGGGCTGAGGTGGTTTGCTGGGGGTCCATCCAGACCCTATTCACTAGGGTCCCTCCTGTACCTGGAGGTGTCACCAGTGGAGGATGCAGAATAGCAAAAATGGCTGCCTGCTCCTTCCTCTGGGATCTCTATACCAGAGGTGCACCAACTTGATGCCAGTGGGAATGCTCCTGTATAAGGTGTCCAGTGACCCCTGTTGGGGGTTCTCACCCAGTCAAGAGGCACAAGATCCAGAACTGCTTAACAAAACACTCTGGCTGCCCCTTGTCAGAAGGGGTGTGCTGTGCTGGGGGAAATCCCACTCATCCAGATTGCCTGGATTCTTCGGAGCCAGCAGGGGAATGACAAAGTGTGCTGATTTGTGGAAACTGCAGCCGCACCTCCCTGTAGGGGCTCATCCCCAGGGAGATCAGAGTTCTGTGCCTAAACCCCTGGCTGGAGTTGCTGAAATTCCTGAAGGGAGGCCCTGTCTGGTGAGGACAGATGGGTCAGGGTCCAGCCTAAATAGGCAGTCTGGCCATAATCGGCCATGGCCACTGTGCTGCACCATGGGTAATTCCCCCTAGGTCCAAACCATCTAATCTCCCTAGCACCAGCAGGGGAAAAAATAGCAGACTGGAGCTGCAGTGATGGCAGCCGCCCCTCCCCCCAGGGATCTCAGTCATCTTAAGCAGCAGGCAACCACACAGATGATGGCTGCCCTTCTCCTCCCCTCAGGAACTCAGTAGTCTTAGGCAGTCTGTGGCCAAGTGGCTGCAGATAATCTGCACAGCTCTGTGCTTGAGACCCAAGGCCCTGGTGGCATGGGCTCATAAGGGGGAATCTCCTGATGTGCAGGCTGCACAAATCCATGAAAAAAAGTGTGGTTTCCCCGGCAGGGTAGCATGATCACTCACAGCCTCCCTTGGCTGGGGGTGGGAGTTCCCCTTGCCCTGTGTGGCTCCCAGGTGGGCCATCACACCAGCTTGCTTTTCCTCACTCTCTGTGGGTCGCACCAACCACCTGGTCAGTCCCAGTAAGAGAACCTGGGCACCTCAGTTGCTGGTGCAGGATTCACTGACTGTTTTTGTTCTTCTCAGTGGGAGCCTCCATTTGCAGCTGTTTTTAGCTGGCCATCTTGGTCCCTCCTTCCTAATTTCTTTTGATGTCTTTTTCAATCCAAACACAGAGATATTGAGTAGAACATCTTGTTGACTAAAAGAATGACTTTGGAGCATTGTGGGCATTATTTCTCTCTTTGTCACTTTCCTTCTAGCAAAAGTTTAGTATCTGGCATTATATAGCTGATGCTAATTTAATGCTCAAGATGATGTGTCAAGCCTTTTTGGCAACTTTGATAAAGAGTTCTTTAGGTGCTGTCATTGTTTCATAGTGCTGGAGTTGGAGAAGTCCTTGGGTGTCATCCAGTTCAGTCATCTCTTTTCCCAGGTAAGAAATTCAGTAGAGACAAGTTGAGTACTTGCACAGGACATCCAGCTTGCTAATGGTAGAGCTTCAAAGAAAACCCAGATCTTCCAACTCACACCCTAGTGCTCTCTGACTACAGTTCACCAAAGCTGCCCCTTGGGCCTCTGAGTTGGAGGTGGGGAGAACTTCTAGTTCAAAGTCATGGTGTCATGTTGGCACCATGTCAAACTCAATGTACTGTAACCCCAAACACTGGAGGAGTGAAATAAGGCCTGGGTCCCATAATAAGAGTGCAAAAGCACTAGGGAGTGCTCTCTGGGAGATCACATGGAACCCCATGGAGAGAGGGGGAAAATAAAACAATTTCTGGGCTTGGGGAACATGTGACCCTCTTTTTTGGTCTGGCTCCTTTATACTTGAAGCTGGTAAGGCCTTGAGTAAGGCCTTTAGTGGTTACATTTCAGTGCCTTAAACAACAAAAGCTACTATTGAGTGCCTGTTATATGTCAGAAACTACGTTAAATTTTAACTGCCTTATATAATTTAATCACCACAAAATTTCTGTGTAGAAGATATTATTGCTATTATCCCCAGGCTGTACTTCCAAACTTCCATCCTGAGCCTGCTTTCCCAGAACTTCATATCTAGTTTTTGCCTCTTTGTCTAGCAACTATACTGTGTTTGGCTCTTCATTCTGGCTGCACCATGGACAATCATACGAAGGACTAATCTCCTTCAAATCTATTTCTTACTCAAGCTCCAGAAACCTTTCACTGGTCTGGTCTTCAGACCAGACTGAAGCTTCAGAACATCCTGGAAATAAAATCTGCTGGTCTTGGACCTAGAGCCTCTGTTGTGAAGCTCCCTCTTTCTGAGAGCTGGGAAAACCCACTGACCCCACCAGCCTTTGCAATCCGTCATATAGTTGTGATTCAATGTCAATTTGTCAGCTATTAAATTCTGTCTATTCAGGTAGTGATATGATGTGACAGTACAAAGTTCACTAGCTCAGAAGTTGTTCTGGGTTTGAGATTCCCTTGAGTCCAAAACTAGCTATTTGACCAAAGTTCTCAAAATACTTCATGCTATTTTGCTCTTTTGTGACATTGCACACACTATTTTCTCTACTTAGATCCCCTTTCTTCCTTTATTTATCTGGGAATGTTACACTCATCTTTCAAGCTTCAGCTCAAATATCTATATTGTTGAGACTTTCCCAAGCACTCTGCTCCTTTCCCACTGCTGAAAGGCTGTATATGTAGAGGAAGAAAGGAAATTTTAAAAATATGGAGTTCTAAACTTATCAGGAACCTTAGAGATCATTTAATCAAAATTTCTAAACTTTTTGATGCAGAACAGAAATTAGGACCCAGGTTTCCTTACTTCTAATCCAAGGCTGTCTTCCTCACACTAGGTTGTGGCTGTATCAAATTGTGAGTTTAATATTCTATATGCAGAGAAGATGCATATGGTTTGTGGCCCCAGGACCCCCCAATATTGCAGTGTGTAGAACAACAACTGCTCTTGATAGCGAGGTTGAGATGAGCATTCCACTTTGTGTTTCTGAACTGAGGCATATTAATGGAGCAGACTGAATGTTAGAATAATATTATAAAAAAAAGGGCAGCATAACCTGCCTGCCCAAGAATATGCACATCACTGAAAAATGAGGGAAAAGCAATAGGACCAATGAGGAGAGAGATAGTTCCATAAGAAAAATGATGACAAATTGATCTTTTGAATTAACACATAAAGGAAGGATCTCTAGCACACTGGTTCCTCTATAGCTAGCAGTTAAATGTCTACCTGTAGTTAGAAAAAGTATTCACTGGACAGTAAAGTGACCAGTAATGTTTGAGAAAATAAAAAGCTGTTTAAAAGGAATAATAGCTTCAAACAGGCAGTAAAAAGTTCAGAGAACTCATCAACAAAACAAAAGCAAGCAACTTGCTAAAGACAATTCATTCTAAATGTATCTTTGTCTCCAGAGGGCAAAATATTGAGAGCAAATTCTCCAACAATTGAATTTATGGTAATGGAATGTAAGCACATCAGCCCACCAGGACAAAGCACTCAACAAATAGGAGAACAGGAAAAAAATAACTGTGCCCTTCAGAAATGCATTTTTTAACTTTAGGTAACAGGAGTTGAGAGATTTCTTGATGAAAAATGCCTGAAGTCTGCTATCGCATTAGCCTTTATGGTTGAGAATTAGAGGATTCACTAAAAGCACCCAGAGATCAAAGCAGAAGGTGAATGCCCTGAGTCTAATAGAGTGTCAGACACATGAGGAGAAGCAAAGGCACGTTTTCTGTGAATGCCAAGTGCATGTTCCATAGGATAAAAGGAGGACAGCTGTTTGTTATCCCCTGATGCGGTTATCTTGACAAACTTTTTTTGGCAGTTGTTTCATCTTTACTGCATAAGATAAAAATAGTAATATCTGTTAGGGCTGTACAGTTTTTTAAATGCCTCAACTTACATGACTTTTAATAGTCTGTGCTCACAGTTACCTTGTGAGTTAATGCATTTTTATTGTCTGAGCTGATCTGTAGCAAGTCATAACCCCTTCTAATTTGTCCCCAGCTGTCACCCACTTCCATGGGATCCTAGCCCTGTTCCTTCCTGTTAAGCTAAGGCCTGACTTGGTCTCTGACCCTTAACTCTTCACTCCCCTTTTCTGACCTGCCTCTGCTCTTTGAACTTTTAAAAATGCTCATGGCTCACAGCCAAACACTCCAAAGATTTGAAATCAGCGATCTAATTCTTTATGCTTTTCATGCCTCTTCTCCCAGGAAATTCTTTCCTAAACCCCACCAGTGGGTGGGAAATAAACCCTAGTAATTCCATGATTGGGCAATATTCTAGCTGGGCTTATATTTTAGGTAAGGAAACCAAATGTGTTTATTTAAAATCAAGATCACATACCTCATAAATAGATGAGTTACAAACCAAATTAAGCCTATCTTCAATCATCAAGAGGCTAGCCATTGGCCATCTTTTTTTCTTCTTTTTACTCACCCTCCATGTGTCACTCAATAACAAATTCTATTTCAGTGTAATTAACTGTACCTCTTCTAAAGAATTCAAGACTGGAGCTGTCTCCTACTTATTAACTTTGTAGTTGTAGAGACAGTGCCATGGGTTGGGTTGCTTTGGCTTGGTACAAGTTAATGTAAAGATAAGACAGAGTTATATAGTAAATCTACTAATACACATGACTTCTGATAAATTCTCTAAAAGGAATTCAGTTGGTGGCAATAAGGATTAAGTCACTAGAATGTAGGATGCATAATTATCACCACTTCTAGAGAAGCAATTAAGACACATGTCCTTAGATATCTGGATTTTAGTGTCTTTGAGACATGCCAAGAAGAGTATATTTCCTAGATATCTCATTGATGAAGCCTAAATGTGATACCTAGAATAGATGCAGTCACTGTAGTTGTGGATGTTAGCTATGACTAGTACTCTGAAAATCTTAAGTTTGGTCTAAAACCTGGACCCAAGTTGTCTTTACAGTGTATAACATAGACTAAATATATTTTTTATTTTTATTTCCCTTTCTGTTAGGTACTTTGAGAAGCTGCCTTTTCTATTAATTAGTTTGTAATACTAACAAAATTGTGGATGTATTTGATTTCAGCATCTCCTCATCTTCCTTTGTCAGTTCCCTGCTCTAATTTGCCTTCACCCCAGTTTCCCAGGTGACAACCTCCCTCCTGCTGTCCATGGCTGTGCAGTCTCCTGTGATGGACCTTCCTGATGATGCTCACTCTCTTAGGGCAATATCCCAGGTGCTGGACTTTTCTTACCTATAAATAAAAAAGAAACCTTCCATTGTCCCATTTCCTTTGGCTCTCTGTTAGGCAATGTTAAACTAATTGATTCATTTAAGAGTCTAGAGTTCATTATAAGTAAATGTGGGGATATATTCTTTCTAGGGAAACTAATATTTCAACGGGAAAATTCCAAAAGCATGACATCTTAAACAAATTAATGATGCAAATGTCAAGCCCTCTGGCAAGTGGTTGGATCAATGGGATCCTTCTCTTGCCCAAAATACAGACACTCTGCCTAATTATAAGGCAGGTCATGATTTTGACCAACAAATCTGTTTCTAATGCTTCATTTAATGTGGAGATTTTAAGGTAAGAGTAAGTGCACTGATTTAAATTTTATTTTCATAGGACCTCCAGCGGGGTACCGGCCTGAGTGTGGGCCTGAGCAGCCTGGCAGCCGGCTGTGCCATCATCTTCGTAGGGGGTGCCAGTGTGCGGGGCATCGCCTAGCAGCCCCGACTATTTGTGGGCATGATTCTGATACTCGTCTTTGCCGAGGTGCTCGGCCTCTATGGTCTCATCATGGCCCTAATCCTCTCCACAAAGTAGCCCCTCTCTGAGCCCACCAGCCACAGAATATGATGTAAAGACCACCCCTCCTCATTCCAGAACGAACAGCCTCACACACACACACACACACACACACACACACACACACACACCCCGGGCAGCCGCCCCAAGTAGCTGGTCTTGTACATTCACCATACCCCAAGTACCCATCTTCTGCTGCCCCAGCCTTGCTCTCAGTCTCCCGGTGCCGCGGACATCTGGGCCCACTCATCACCCCGCCAGGTCCCCGGCTGCCTCATCCTCCTAGAGTGCTCTGTATATGCGAATGAATTAGAGTTGTCATTTCTCTTCACTGGATGTTTATTTATAAAGATCTGGCCTGTTCCCGCATCTGGGGAGTCGCCCTCATCTCCCAGGTATCTAGAATGTTAGCTAGAGTGTCCCTTACGGCTTCCCGTTACAGAGACTTCCTGGGTGGATCCGCTCTCACCAGCCCTTGCCTCTGCGCAGAGCTGTGGGCAGTAAACTTCTTGGATGTGAGAAAAAACAAAAACAAAAAATTAGAGAATCTCTTTTATCTTCCCTAGGAGTAACTGCAATTTAATTGTTCTTTCTCAGTTGTGTGTACATAAATGTGTATATGTGCTTATGGCTGTGTGTACAAAATATACCTTTATAAAACCACACATTTCCCCAGCACTCCAAAGAGAATCAGTGTCCAATTTAATTGCTGTCCTAGATGTGTGTTCTCTCAACAACTGTCTGGAAATGGTAACCATGACACGTTACTGCTCCACATTAATGGTAATCTGTCTACTGGCTTTTTTGATCAGTCTAATTGTTACCGGAAAGGGGTCCCAATCTAGACCCCAAGAGAGGATTCTTGGATCTCGCTCAAGAAAGAATTCTAGGCGAGTCCATGGAGTAAAGTGAAAGCAGGTTTATTAAGACTGTAAAGGAGTAAAAGAATGGCTACTCCATAAGCAGAGGAGCCCCAAGAGCTGCTGGCTGCCCATTTTCATGGTTATTTATTGATTATATGCTAAACAAAAGATGGATTATTCATGCTTCCCCTTTTTAGACCCATATAGGGTAACTTCCTGACATTGCCATGGCATTTGTAAACTGTCGTGGCGCTGGTGGGCGTGTAGCAGTAAGGATGACCAGAAGTCACTCTTGTTGCCATCTTGGTTTTGGTGGGTTTTGGCCAGCTTCTTTACTTGCAACCTGTTTTATCAGCAAGGTCTTTATGACCTGTATCTTGTGCTGACCTCCTATCTTATCCTGTGACTTAGAATGCCTTAAACTCCTGAGAATGCAGCCAAGCAGGTCTCAGTCTTATTTCACCCAGCCCCTATTCAAGATGGAGTTGCTCTGGTTCAAATGCCTCTGACATAATTATCTGTGGTTAGCTGTCTATATTAGTCCCTAAACTTCACCCTCTTCCATTACCAACTCTGAACTGACCTCTAACTGCACAGAGTGATAAGTCCTGCGTCAGGTAAAAGACTGAAGCTCCTCTGTATTAAAAAGTGTCCTCTTTGGAAAATCAGGAACTACTGCAGAGCTATTGAAAGAAAAGCTATGGTGTTCTGAACTTAAAATTCCCTCCCTAAAATTGCTATGAGCTCTAATTTCAGTCTCTTTCCTACTCTGATCCCTTATATAGAGCAGAAGATGGCCAGAGACTAGCTACTAGTCTTACTTAGTCACTCTTCATTGATCAATTGTATCATTAGTTGATGCATTCATTCATTCACCCATCAAAAACAGATTTTGGATGCCTCCTGCAGCCCAGATACTACTTTGGATCTCAGAATATAGCAAGAAAATGTAATGATCCTACCTTAATAAGGAGCTCACAGTTTAGTTGGAGGAGACAGATGAAGAAATCAATAATTATACGCAGGATGATGAATGTTAATGATAGAGATATGAATACAGTAACAAGGAAACACAAAGAAGGGGAAAAGTTGGGAAGTGGTACTAAAGCAGAGAGCTGAGTCTTTAAAGATAAATAAATTGGTCAGGCAAATAAGGGAGAAAAAGACATTTTGAACATAGAAAATAGCAGGGCAAAAGTGAGGAAGCATGACAGAACAAAATATTCTTGAGAAGCTGCAATGGGGAGTGTGTGTGCCCGTGTTTGTATATGTATGTGTATCTTGTGTATCTTTCAGGGGAAGTTGGGAAGGATTGATCAGTGATAAAATTTAAAAAGTGATCCAGGGTTTCATCATGATGGGTATGTGTTGCATATTAAACAACTTTAACTTTGCCTTGAAAACTAGGATGACGCTTAGGATGATTTTAAGCAAGAAAGTGATGGATTCGCATTTACATAGCTTATATAACAGTTTATGGCTTCACCCTTCTATGTACCACCTATATCCTCACAAAGCCTTAAAGCCATGAGCAAAAAGAGGTCAAGGTCCTGAGAGGCTTCTCAGACCATAAGCAAGACCAAAAGGATTAGGTTGCATTAAGCAAATTAATACTAGCATCTATGGTTTAATCTCATTGAAATTTTATAAATTTCATACAAAGCCAAGATTAAATTAAATTATATGCAGAAAAATATCCTAAATCAGATATCAGCTCTAGGGTTATTGAACTATTTTCCATCTCATTTTAGAATTTAATTGAAGAAAACATATTCTGTGTGGTACACCACTTAATTTCTATTAATAATAACACCCTTTTGGAGATGTCCTTAGCTGACTTAGCATTGTCTCCCAAAAGCAGAAAGATAAATAACAAGTGGATTATTCATCAAGTGACATTGCTTTTGTCTGGAAACATATCCCATTGCTGTTGGAGGTTTTAAAAATAGTTAAAAGTCCTAAATTGCCTGAGTTGCAGTTTTCTCAGAGGAATATATAATAAATCATCCTCCAAGCCAGACTGTATAAACAAATAGTTTCTGTTCTAAAAAGGGCTTGCTCTGAGGTCCAGAGAGTCAAAACAATTTTCAGGGAAACTCACATAATATTGTCAGCTTTTATAAATTATCTCTTGAACTTTAGTATTTTAAAAAAGCAATCTTTAGACCCAAGCAGTGGCATCTATTGTTGTGTTAGTCTGTTCTTGCATTGCTATAAAGAAATACCTGAGGCTGGGTAGTTTATAAAGAAAAGAGATTTAACTGGCTCACGGTTCTGCAGGCTGTACAGGAAGTATGGTGACAGCATTTGCTCGGCTTCTGGTGAGGCCTCAGGGAGCTTTTACTCATGGCAGAGGGTGCAGAAGGTGAAGCAAAGAAGGCGTAGACATGTCACATGGTAAGAGATGGAATAAGAGGGAGGGGTTGGGGGGGGCAAGACAGGGGATGGTGGGGAGGTCTCAGACTCTTTTAAACAACCAGATTTTGTGTGAACTAACAGAGCGAGAACTCACGGATCACCAAGAGGATGGTGCTAAGCCATTTGTGAGGGATCTGCTCCCAAGATACAATACTTCCTACTAGGCCTCGCCTTCAGCATTGGCAGTCACATTTCAACATGAGATTTGGAGGAGACAAACATTCAAACCACATCAACTGTGGTCTGTACTTCTTACCTACACATACCAGGGGTGACTTATAAGGCAAAATAATCAGCATTTCATGCAACCAATCCCTGAAAGACAGAAGGTGGCTAATTTAATTCCTACGGGCTGAGCACATCCACAAATATAGACACTTGGCCCTAGCATGGAGAGGTGATGAGAAACTTCTTTAATACTAAATAAAGCAGGAAGCCACCATTGGATATTTCAAGGGCTATAAGTTTACAAGAAATCTGACAGATTTTGATCTGTAAGTTAGAAGCTGAACCACAGAGATTTAAGTCAGAATGAGTAATGCCAGGAGATGAAGATGGTCAAGAACTTAGCACTGACGACACTTAGCTCTTATTTACTGCAATTCCCATGTCACTGCAAAATTTTAGTATCATTGTGATGATGACCAGATCACATCTTGTGCTTTTCCCAGAGAGGCTACTGATGTAGTAACCCCTTTAAGCTGATATTTTTCTAAATCATAGTTCAGTATTTGTTTATAGAGATATCTCAGGTGTGTTGAAGGAAGGAAAGGAAAAGAAGGTCCCATTGTCAGTTCCAGATTCTGTCTTCCACTCGGAAGAACAGAAGGCTGAAGTTAACCTGCTTGACCTTCCTTAGACAGCATTTTAGGTACCATCTGTTGATAGTTGAGCATATCCTTTCAGGGTCTATTCCTCCATCTGAAGTGGCTTATGAAAATGCTGCTTGAAAACACATGCAGACTCACTTCCCGTCTCTCTTTATCCAGGAGTTCTGACAAATAAATTTTCTTCATCTCTTAACATTTTATGTGACATTTTAGTGGTCCAGTCAATTGCCCAGTTGATCTGGCTCTGGTCATAATTGAATGCCATCTATCTGAAGAAACACTACACACAGTCAATGCAGCTTGCTGCTTTATAGCATATTTATAGTTTACCAAGCTTATTCAAATAAATTTACTCATTCACATACCTTTCCGAAATAAGAGAGAGAGAGAGAGAACAACATGCCCAAAGTCATACAGCTCATAAATGGCAGAGCTTGAAACTCAAACTCAGGTCTTCTAACTGTAAATTTCCTAATTCATCCACTAAAGCATACTTCTAGATTGAGCCTTATGGAACACTTTGTGCCCAGTGGTCATTGTAACGGGAGAAAAAAAAAAAGATAACCTTTACCTTCAGATAGGTATGATATAAGTGAAGGAGTACTTACAATCTAGTTCCACAGGCATGGGATCTTTGATGATGTTGCAAAATGTACTGGTCTAAAATAGACCCTATACAATAAATTATATTTATCCTACAGTGTGGCAGAACAGATTTTGAGTGCTCACAACACAAAGAAATGATAAATATTTGAGGTGATGGATATGCCTATTACCCTGGTTTGATCATAACACATTGTATACATGTATCAAAATGTCCCCCTGTATCCCATATATGTGTACAATTATCACGTGTCAACAAAAATAAAAGGAAAAAAATAGACCCTATAATAATAATTGTCATTAGGCAATAGATAGATACTGCTGTTGATAAGTAAAGTAAATACTAAGATACTGATGAATAGAGTAGTGAAGACTGACAAGTAAAGTAAATGATTCCCGGAGTAAACTGGATGATATGCAGGCTCCTTTAACCCCTGTGTGTCTCTTGACAATAGTGGAAATTTTTGTAACTAATTGGTTATTTAATAATGTGACAAAGCTGAATGTTTCACTGTGTCGCGAGCAATTTGGCACATTGAACTAAAGGAAACCTTATTCATAGTTAACAAGAGTACAACCTCTAAGTCTTTTTAAAGTCACATTTATTTACACCTAGTTTTTTTTCTTTAAAAAGACAGGAAACTTCAAATAGAGTAATATTTGTAAAGTTAACAAAAAGTTTGAAGTATATATTTTTTACACATTAGTTTTATCACTTTCATGTACTCATAGTATCCAGAGCTAGGTTAATATAAAGTTCATAATTAGTATATTAAAGTAAAAACCTAGAACAGCTTAACTTTTATCAGTTCTAGAGGAAAATGTGCTTATTGGGCACTTAGTAAAGAGCCCTGGAGATTTTATATATGTGTGTATATATATATATATACACACACACACACACACACACACACACACACACATATATATACACACACATATATATACACATATATATATATACACACATATATATGTATATGAGGCCCTGCTCTCAAGACATTTAAGGAGTGGCTTCATTGTGTGAATATGGAAGTTAATACGGTGGCAGGCTTAAAATGCTTATGGCAGCTCTCCCACTTCCTATTAAAATATTCATAAAAATATAAAAGCTTTTTTTTAAGCTGGCAACATCACTGTAAATCCAAGATAACAGAAGACCATATGCCAAATCTGGGTGGAATTTCAACTAATTGCATCAGCCGTGTGGATAAAATCAAGAAGTACATTCTTGAGCTGCACAACACATGCTCTAATCTCTGAACCAGAACAGGCCAGACGGACCCAGTAAAGTTGGGGAAAAGCTTTTATTCACCTTCTCTGTAAGTGCCTAACTCTGAAACAGTGAAGATGTACTGACTAAACAAACAAGTACCCATTCTGTAACTTCAGAGGAACCAAATAAAGCCAAGGTTTTACCCTCTCCACATTTATTCCTATTATACTGTTTTTATTATCATCATTTCAAAATGGTAATTTCCAGAAGGTGGCACAGAAGAAAGTACATAGGAATGAGAAGAGACTCATTGAAATATATCATATTTAATCCTCCAAACCTAGGCAGAGACAAGAAGACTGTTAGAAGCACAAGTAGAAAGCGATAGTATTTCATGTAATTCCACTGTTTAAAAAATTATAAATTGCATCATACCCTTTTGTTTAGTGATAGAATCTGACAGAGCAAGAAAAGATCCAGAAAACTTGCACTAAACACCTGCATTCTAACAAGGACAGAGACCAAACTTAAAGTTTGTTTAAGAAAGATAATTTTTCAGACCCCCAGAAGTAGATGGTGGAGACCTAGAACATAGCACCAATCCTTCTTGATGCAAATTCTAAAATTTAGCTGATTAAAATGTCCCCTGTCAGCAACCAGAAGAAACGCCAACATTAGGCCCATAAAAAATGCAGCAATAAAGAGAGTATTGTGAAGATTTACAAGGAAAAAACTCTTAATATGATTTTCTGTAATAAACCGAGGAAAATTTTGTTTTCATTTGCTTTGGATTTATTTTGTCTTTGCTTTGAATCTTCAAAATATTGTGAAAGGAGAGTACTCCCAGTTTCAAAATGTCAGTAAAAGATTGTGGTTTCTCCTTTCCATTCTTAGATATCACACAAAACTCAAAGAAAATAAACAATAAGAGTACTATCTCCATTTTCAACAAAACCAAGAAACAACTATAACTTACCAAAATTTCTGAGAAAGAGCTACTCAGTAAAGTCCAGCAGACTCATGAAAGAAATGTAGAACATATGCTTATGTCTATAAATATCAGACAAACCTGTCAGAGCACAGATCTCCAAAATAAGCAGACTCCTAACTAATGAGCCCTGGTTTGAATTAATGAGAATAATATTGCTTGGTAGCAATCACTTCTCTAGACTCATTTTGCTACAATATCTCAAGCAACAGGTAAATCAAGGATAGGTAAGAAATAAAACAGAGAGGCCATGTTTGCTGAAAGATATTTGTCAGCAAGGCAGGGAATAAAAGATTTTGCATATTGTGAGTCACACTGCCAGGTTAATTCAGTGTGTTAGGAAAAGTAAAGGCAAAAAAAGTCAAACACACACACACACACCCACACACACACTTCTGGGTCATAAGGAGAATTTCCACAAGCTTAAAACATAGTCTTTATTCTCAGCCCATAGGAAGCTTCAAAGTGAATTCCAAGTCTAAGAAGTCCTAACTTCACTCAAATATGAATTGTAATAAAATAAAAAAAACTAACACAGAACTATGACAAAGGTACTACAAATAAACAAAGGAAAGAAATATAGAAATAACTAACAGATAAAATATACTCATTCTAAAAATTTTTGATGGAGCACATAATATTGCAGGCAAGAGAATTTTCATAAAAATAAAGATTAAAATAATCAGAACCTTAATTACCTTTTAAAAATTCTCTCTAAAATAAGAAGGAAGATATGAGAAAGCAACAAAAGAAGTCACAAAAACTAACTTAAACTATAACAGAAATAAAGGACAAATTAGGAGCAGAAATTGGAAACTGGCAAACACAGTAAAGGATGCAAATGATAGGCTTGAGGAAAGAAGCAAAATAAAATAAAAACAAATAAAATGAAAAATGTTATTTACACTGTTGGTGGGAATGTAAATTAGTTCAACCATTGTGGAAGACAGTATGGTGATTCCTCAACGATCTAGAACTAGAAATACAATTTACAATAGCAAAGTCATGGAACTAACCCAAATGCCCATCAATGAAAGACTGGATAAAGAAAATGTGGTACAAATACACCATGGAACACTATGCAGCCATAAAAAGGAATGAAATCAAGTCCTTTGCAGGGACATGGATGAAGCTGGAAGCCATCATCCTCAGCAAACTAACACAGGAAGAGAAAACCAAACACCACATGCTCTCACTCATAAGTGGGAGTTGAACAATGAGAACACATGGACACAGGCAGGGGAACAACACACACCAGGGCCTGTCGTAGGGGCGGGGAGTGAGGGGAGGGAACTTAGAGGACAGGTCAATAGGTGCAGAAAACCACCATGGCACACGTATACCTATGTAACAAACCTGCACATTCTGCACATGTATCCCGAAACTTTAAGTAAAATAAAAAAAAATTTTTTTGAAAGAAAAGTGTTAGAAAGAACATTATATGGACATCAGGCAAAGAAAACCCAACATAATTATAATTGATGTCTTCCTCTGTTCCCTCTTTCTCCACCCCACCCCCCCCAAAAAAAAAGATCTGAAATAATAGGACGAAAAATATTTTAAAATTTTTGTAGTTTTGGCTTTTTTCAAGATGACTGACTACGGACATCGGATGTCAGTTCTCCTCAGAAAGATCAAAGTTACTGGTGAATGAACAAGTTCTGAACAGAAAACTGAGGAAAGAGGGCAGGTGTGGTGGCTCACGCCTATAATCCCAGCACTTTGGGAGGCTGAGGCAGGTGAATCATTTGAGGTCAGGAGTTTGAGACCAGCCTGACCAACATGGTGAAACACTGTCTCTACTAAAAATACAAAAATTAGCCAGGCTTGGTGGTGCACATCTGTAATCCCAGCTACTTGGGAGGCTGAGGCAGGAGAATAGCTTGAACCCAGGAGGTAGTGAGCCAAGATTGCACACTGGACTCCAGCCTGGGAGACGGAGCAAGACTCTGTCAAAAAAAAAAAAAACAAAAAAAAAAAACAGAAAATTGAGGGAAGAGAATCAAGATCTGTTGGAGTGCCCTCAGGAAGAAACTAAGGTGCAAAAATGGAAATCAGAAAGAATCAGAAAGAATCTAGTAGAGATTGACCCCAAAGGAACTAAGACCCCCACAGAAAGGGTCGATGGAAGTGTTCCCTGCTTCCCTTACCCCTCTGACAATCTGCTTACTGCCAAACTGCTAAAGAGACCCTCTGCCCTCATGGCCTAAGACATTGCTATCACTGGTAATTGGGGAAATTTCTGGGGACAGAGAACCAGGTAGCCAACCTAAGAAAATGTACACACGCTCTCCTCAGAGCCAAGCTGAGAAGGTGGGCACCATACTGGCTGTACATCCAATGTGGGCCACTGCCCTGCCAGGGATTCTCTGCCTTTGAGTCAGCACACCACCAGATGCTCTGCAAACATACTCCACAGCCCACTCTGATATTGGCAAGCATAGGGGACTGGTGGGTCCTCAGTTACCTGGAGATCTAACCCTCAGAGTGGGTCTCTTCTAAGGGAAGGCAGGCAAGACTACTAAATCCCCTTTGGGACAAAAGAAATGGCCAACACCAATTGCGGAAGGGGCCAGTATCTATGTCTAGGAAGGGACATGGAAGAGGGAGTCATCTACCACCTTCACAGCACACTGTTGTGAATGCAACAGTGGTTCTTCATGCTGAGGGTCAGCATGTTTGCACTCAGAGAAAAAATTTTTTATGTTTTTCCTAGTGGCTACACTGCTAGTGAAAGTGAGTCCATGCCACTTGGGCTTAAAAAAAGAGCAGGGCCCAACTCTCCCTCCCTACACAGAGCAGTAGAATCTGGCAACAGAAGACAGAAAAGTTATGGAGTTGCCTTCTCTGGACTAGAGTAAGAGGTTCTACCATAAGCCGATTTTGGTGGTAGCCATCAGAGGGTCATATTTGCAGCCCACAATGGTACTGCACCATGAAACCAAAGGACAAAGTCTTTATGAACTGAAGTCATGAGCGTGCAACAGGGGTGTGATAGATAATCAGAGAACATTCCTGCCAGCTCAGGGTGAGATGCTGGTGCACCCCACACCCCTTTTCCAAGACCTCAGTGCAACCCAACATGATCCCTTTCCCCTAAGGTCCCCTAACAAGGAAGGTGTTTCCACTCAACATTAGCCTACCTGAGGGCAAACTTAAGCAGTGTCTACTTGTCTGCATACTGAACTGCATCACCAAATAAAAATCCTAGTGCCAGAAGGACTTTAGTGCAAATCCACAAGATAAGCTCCCTGAGACCCCTGTACCCTAAGTCCCACCAGAGATAGTGTGTTGGCTCTTATGTCCAATACATTGCTACAACAAGCACCATCTGAGAAAGCCACCAAACAGAAATTATCCACAACCAAGGAACCCATACAGAGCCTTGGTTCCTGGAAAACACCCAGAAGTAAAGCCAAACAATCATAGACAACATACACAATAGTTATACACTCAAGAGAGAAAAGAGTTTAAAAATAATAAAGTCTCATCCAAACAATAACAAATTCAAAAATATGAAGTGACAGCTCCCTCAGATGAGAAGGAATCAGCACAAGAACACCAGTAATACAAAAAGCCAGAGTGACTTAAAGGATTGCACTAGTTCTCTAAAAGTGGATCCTAACCAAATTGAAAAGTCTGAAATAACATATAAATAATTCAAAATATGGATTGCAAGGAAACTCAATGAGATCTGAGAGAAAGTTGAAATTCAATACAAAGAAACCAAAAACATGATTCAGGATATGAAAGATGAGACAGCTATATTAAGAAAAAAACAAATAGAACTTCTGGAATTGAAAATTTCACAAATGGAATTTCAAAATACCATTGGAAGCTTTAAGAATAGGCTAGATGAAGCAGAAGAAAGAATTTCAGTTTAAAGATTGGTCTTTTGAATTTACCTAGTCAGACAAAGATAAAGAAAAAAGAATTTTACAAAACAAATAAGGCCTTTGAGAAATATGAGATTACACAAAGCAAAAAACCTATGACTTATTGGCACTCCTGAGACAGAAGAAAAAGTAAGCAACTTGGAAAACATATTTGAGGGAATAATTCAGGAATATTTTCCTAATCTTGCAAAAGAGGTCAATATCCTGACACAAGAAACTCAGAGAACACCTGCAAGATACTATACAAGATGACCAACCCTAAGGCATATAGTCATCAGACTATCCAAAGTCAATGCGAAAGAAAAAATCATAAGGGAAGCTAGAGAAAAGGGCCAAGTTGCCTGTAAAGAAAATTCCATCAGACTAACAGCAGACTTCTCAGCAGAAACCTTACAAGCCAGAGAGATTGGGGACTTACTGGTACCATTCCTTCTGAAACTATTCCAATCAATAGAAAAACAGGGAATCCTCCCTAACTCATTTTATGAGGCCAGCATCATCCTGATACCAAAGCTGGGCAGAGACACACCAGAAAAGAGAATTTTAGACCACTATCCTTGATGAACATTGATGCAAAAATCCTCAATAAAATACTGGCAAACCAAATCCAGCAGCACATCAAAAAGCTTATCCACCATGATCAAGTGGGCTTCATCCCTGGGATGCAAGGCTGGTTCAATATACACAAATCAATAAATGTAATCCAGCATATAAACAGAACCAAAGACAAAAACCACATGATTATCTCAATAGATGCAGAAAAGGCCTTTGACAAAATTCAACAACGCTTCATGCTAAAAACTCTCAATAAATTAGGTATTGATGGGACATATCTCAAAATAATAAGAGCTATCTATGACAAACCCACAGCCAATATCATACTGAATGGGCAAAAACAGGAAGCATTCCCTTTGAAAACTGGCACAAGACAGGGAGGCCCTCTCTCACCACTCCCATTCAACATAGTGTTAGAAGTTCTGGCCAGGGCAATTAGGCAGAAGAAGGAAATAAAGGGTATTCAATCAGGAAAAGAGGAAGTCAAATTGTCCCTGTTTGCAGATGACACGATTGTATATCTAGAAAACCCTATTGTCTCAGCCCAAAATCTCCTTAAGCTGATAAGCAACTTCAGTAAAGTCTCAGGATACAAAATCAATGTACAAAAATCACAAGCATTCTCAAGCATTCTTATACACCATAACAGACAAACAGAGAGCCAAATCATGAGTGAACTCCCATTCACAATTGCTTCAAAGAGAATAAAATACCTAGGAATCAAACTTACAAGGGACGTGAAGGACCTCTTCAAGGAGAACTACAAACCACTGCTCAAGGAAATAAAAGAGGATACAAACAAATGGAAGAACATTCCATGCTCATGGGTAGGAAGAATCAGTATCGTGAAAATGGCCATACTGCCCAAGGTAATTTATAGATTCAATGCCATCCCCATCAAGCTACCAATGACTTTCTTCACAGAATTGGAAAAAACTACTTTAAAGTTCATATGGAACCAAAATAGAGCCCGCATCGCCAAGTCAATCCTAAACCAAAAGAACAAAGCTGGAGGCATCACGCTACCTGACTTCCAACTATACTACAAGGCTACAGCAACCAAAACAGCATGGTACTGGTACCAAAACAGAGATATAGATCAATGGAACAGAACAGAGCCCTCAGAAATAATGCCGCATATCTACAACTATCTGATCTTTGACAAACCTGAGAAAAATAAGCAATGGGGAAAGGATTCTCTACTTCATAAATGGTGCTGGGAAACTGGCTAGCTATATGTAGAAAGCTGAAACTGGATCCCTTCCTTACACCTTATACAAAAATTAATTCAAGATGGATTAAAGACTTAAACGTTAGACCTAAAACCATAAAAACCCTAGAAGAAAACCTAGGCATTACCATTCAGGACATAGGCATGGGCAAGGACTTCATGTCTAAAACACCAAAAGCAATGGCAACAAAAGACAAAATTCACAA
Source organism: Homo sapiens (assembly GCF_000001405.40). Lineage (NCBI taxonomy): Eukaryota > Metazoa > Chordata > Mammalia > Primates > Hominidae > Homo > Homo sapiens. The sequence goes on from NC_000003.12 coordinate 111,491,732, forward strand.
ATGGGATCTAATTAAACTAAAGAGCTTCTGCACAGCAAAAGAAACTACCATCAGAGTGAACAGGCAACCTACAAAATGGGAGAAAATTTTCGCAACCTACTCATCTGACAAAGGGCTAATATCCAGAATCTACAATGAACTCAAACAAATTTACAAGAAAAAAACAAACAACCCCATCAAAAAGTGGGCGAAGGACATGAACAGACACTTCTCAAAAGAAGACATTTATGCAGCCAAAAAACACATGAAAAAATGCTCACCATCACTGGCCATCAGAGACATGCAAATCAAAACCACAGTGAGATACCATCTCACACCAGTTAGAATGGCAATCATTAAAAAGTCAGGAAACAACAGGTGCTGGAGAGGATGTGGAGAAATAGGAACACTTTTACACTGTTGGTGGGAGTGTAAACTAGTTCAACCATTGTGGAAGTCAGTGTGGCGATTCCTCAGGGATCTAGAACTAGAAATACCATTTGACCCAGCCATCCCATTACTGGGTATATACCCAAAGGACTATAAACCATGCTGCTATAAAGACACATGCACACGTATGTTTATTGCGGCACTGTTCACAATAGCAAAGACTTGGAACCAACCCAAATGTCCAACAATGATAGACTGGATTAAGAAAATGTGGCACATATACACCATGGAATACTATGCAGCCATAAAAAATGATGAGTTCATGTCCTTTGTAGGGACATGGATGAAATTGGAAATCATCATTCTCAGTAAACTATCGCAAGGACAAAAAACCAAACACTGCATGTTCTCACTCATAGGTGGGAATTGAACAATGAGAACACATGGACACAGGAAGGGGAACATCACACTCTGGGGACTGTTGTGGGGTGGGGGGAGGGGGGAGGGATAGCATTAGGAGATATACCTAATGCTAAATGACGAGTTAATGGGTGCAGCACACTAGCATGGCACATGTATACATATGTAACTAACCTGCACATTGTGCACATGTACCCTAAAACTTAAAGTATAATAATAATAAAATAAAAAAAAGAAAAAGGAATGCCAGTCCTCTCAAATTAAGCTTCAAAAATGGAAAAATAAAATTGTTTCCAGACAAGCAAACACTAAGAGACTTCATCGCCACCAAACCTCTTCTGCAAGAAATGCTCAAAGGGGTTCTAAACATGGAAACAAGAGAACAATATTTGCTACCATGAAAGCACATGTATAAGCTCACGGATCTTATAAAATAATTACACAACAGAGACTACAAAACAACTAACTAACAACACTACGTCAGGAACAAAACCTTCATATCAATATTAACTTTGAATGTAAACAGCCTAAATGCTCAACTTAAAAGAACTAAAGAGACAAATTGGATAAAAAAAATAATAATAATAAAGACCCAATCTTCTGCTGCCTTCAGTAGACCCATCTCAAATGTTATGACACCTACAGACTCAAAATAAAGGGATAGAGAAAGATCTATTATGCAAATGGAAAAAAGCAGGGGCTGCTATTCTTCTATCAGATAAAACAGACTTTAAGCCAACAATAGTAAAAAACAGAAACAAAAAACAAAGAAAGGCATAATATAATGATAAAGGGTTTAAATCAACCAGAATATTTAAATATCATAAATATATATATATGCACCAAACATTGGAGCACCCAGGTCCATGAAACAAATACTACTAGACCTAAGAAAAGAGATAGAAAGCCATACAATAATAGTGGGGGGACTTCAGCACTGGACAGATCATTGAGGCAGAAAACTGAACATCTCTGGACTTAAATTGGACTCTTGACCCAATGGATCTAGGAGACATCTACAGAATATGCCCCTTAACAGCCACAGAATATACATTTTTCTTATCTGTGCATGAAACATTCTTTAAAATTGACCACATAGTCTAAAGCAAGTCTCAATGAATTGAAAAAAAATTGAAATCATATCAATCATCTTCTCAGACCACAGTGGAATAAAATTAGAAACCAATACCAACAGAAACTCTCAAAACCACACAAGTTCATGGAAACTAAAAAATTTTTCCTGAATGACTTTTGGGCAAACAATGAAATTAAGGAAGAATATTGCTATTCACAATAGCAAAGACATGGAATCAACCAAGATGTCCATCAATGGTGGACTGGATTTTTAAAATTTAGTACATATACACCATGGAATTATACACAGCCATTAAAAAAGAATCAAATCATGTTCTTTCCAACAACATGGATGTAGCTGGTGGCCATTATCCTAAGTGAATTAACATAAAAATAAAATCAAATACTGTATGATGTCACTTATAAGTAAGACTTAAACAATGGTTGCACAGGTACATAAAGATGAAAACAATTGACACTGAGGACCCAAAAATGGGGAGAGAAGGAGGGTAAGGTTTGAAAAACTACCTATTGGATACTATGCTCACTACTTTGATGATGGGTTAATTAGAAGCCCAAACCCCCACATTATGCAATATACCCATGGAAAAAAACTTGCACATGTAACCCCTGAATCTATAATTTTAAAATAAATAATAAAAATATTCATAATTTTGCCAATTTTTAAATAAAACCATTCATTTTTAGCTTGTAAGGGCACACTTCATCATGGAAACAGTGCTTACTCACTTATCAACACTAAGAAATATATTCTGTTAAAACTATCACCTTCAAAGGTAAGAAAAGGAGACTGAATTTAAAGCTAATAATTTGTATGAGAAAAAATATTAATTTCAGACTTTTTCATAGCAACTTTTAACTCTAAATGTTGCTATCAAATTCTTAAGGAAAGAAAGTTTTGTCCAAGGATTTCATACCTACCTAATCTTTTATTAAGATGTAAGGGTAAATGACAAGTCATTTGGAATATTCTAGGTCTGAGATCCCTTGAGCCAGACTTACAAATGCTTGACTACATAAGGAAAACTTCAGCCAAACAAATACAAATGTTGAAGGTGTGACAATGAGCATTTAAATCATTTAGCTATAGATCTGAACCTTAAGCAAATATAAAGAAATAATCCAGAACAGAATATAGAGTTTATATGCCCAGAAAATGTAAAAATTAAGAATCTAATGAATAAATTAGAAAAAGGAATTTCCAAAAATCCACCAAAAAACAAAGAACAATAAACTAAACCTAACTAAATAACTAGGAATTAATAAGATCAAAATCAGACATTGGTAACACTAATAAAGACAAGAGCTGACTCTGTAATAATAATGAAAATAGCAATAATAAAATAGAAAAATTCATAGGTTACTAAGTCATGAAAACTGGGAGATAGGACAGATTTTTTTAATAACTAAAAGGATTATTTTATTAGTTTTAAGAGAATACATTTTAGGATAAAACACGTGATTTTTCTAGGAAATCATGAATATCCAACACTGACCTAAATAACAGAAAATACAACCAGATCAATTACTATAGAAGAAATATGTGAAGATGTTATAGACCTAATTTTTAAAAATGCACTAGTTCTCATGTAGTATCACAAGGAAATTCTACTAAAGCTCTAATGCAAGTATAATTTTAATTGCTGTTTAAAATGTTCACCAAGATAGAATAAAAAGGAAATCTACTAAATTAATTTTATAAAATGAGTATATAACATTGATATTTAAACCACAGGTAACAAAAAAAATAAGAAAGAAAAAACAAGATATTTACAAAAGAAAAGAACCAGATGAACCTTAAACTTCTTTGACATTGAGCACCAGAAAATCATAAAGCAACAGAAAATCTTGTGACCCAATAATTTGAGTTAGAAAATGTTGTCATTCAGGTGTGAAGGTAACAGAAAAGCAATATTTTAGATATACAAAGGTTTGTAAAATAAATAACCTACTCACTGTGCCGGAGAAATCTGTTTTTAAACGTTTTAACTAAGGAAAATAAAATAAATAATTAAAAAATGGGGAAAATAATGGTATAAAAAGATTATGAACACTGAAGCTAATTACATTATATATACATGATATAAATGATATATAAATCATATATAATGCAATTATGTGTGTGTATGTATAAGTCTGATGCCAAATAGCCATGTGCCAATTTATTTATTTAAACAATAAATATGACAATAAATAAAAATTTAATACAGAGATGTGGGGATGAGGGGGGAGCAACTTCTGTAAAGCCACTGAATCAAAAGGAAGCCAAGGATACAATTACAGACTTTTGAGTTCCTGTAGGACGATTGCAGTTTCTTAAATATCCCTATACATTATCAAAAAAGCATGTAGGTCCACATGAAGAGTAAGTAAAACCATCCACCATAAATTCTTACAGCATAACTAGAAGACAATGTAATGCATCAAATGACATGTGTATAGGGTAATAAATATTGCAAAATATTCCAACGGCAGCTTATGCATGGAAAAGCGTAATGTAAACGTGAGACTAGCTTAGCAGAACATAGATAAAATTACCCCCGATAAGGATCCCATCCTTAGTGGGAACACACTTAGAACAGGTCTTAGAACATAGCTTCTGAGTAATCCAAGGGAAATGGCTTAAAGGGTGAAAGATAACTTTTGGAATTCTTGGTAAGATATAATTTCTGGGGGAAAGGAGGCAATCTAGAAAGGAGAGGCATTCTTTGAAGGCTTAGTGATAAAGGGAAAGAAGGAAGTCAGCAATGGAAATTAAAGGTCCTACAGAAACAAAAGAATCCAGAGATTTACAAAAACATAGTTGTTCCTCTGCCTCAAAACAATTCCATCAATTTAAAAAAAATTGCATTAACAAATCAACAGAAGAATGCTCTCTTGAAGCAAGAAACCTAGTAAATAGTAAACCTCCCAAACACTTCACCCCTTCACATTAAGGCCGGTTAGAAAAAAATAATACATATTTGCCTAAGAACTTAAAATGGCCCACACCGGATTCCCTTATACATACTGCTAGTTGCCACATGCTGTCTCTCTCTCTCTCTCTCTCTCTCTCTCTCTCTCTCTCTGCCATTCACTAGGAATGAATGAAAAACGTGTGGCAATAGCCATAAAAACTGCTACAAGACGAAACAAAAACAAAAAAACAAACAAAAAATAACAAAAAAAAAAACTATGAGAACAAAAACGTTTCTACTGATGAAACTTCTCCCCTACTAAAACTAACTACAAAGCAGAGATCTGTGTAGTAAATTCTTGTAATTTTATGTTACCTTGGCATCCATTTTGTAGAAGCAGGGCTGTCACTCTTTACAGTTTCCTGTTCACTGCACCCAAATGGCTCAAGCCATGGCCAGAGATAGGAACCAGAGATAGATAGGCCAGAGATAGGTGGCCAGAGATAGTGTTACCAGCAGGTCTTTGTTCTTAGAGCTCCCAAGATGGTGGTGGGCCACTCCCAAGATGGGGCCGGCTGCTCCCAAGATGGCAGCAAGCCTTTTGTTCTCTGACGTGGGGTTCTTGGCCTCAGGGATTCCAAGGAATGGAACCTTGGGCCATGCGGTAAGTGTTATAGCTCTATTAGAAGCTGTGGGTCACGGAAGAGAACCATGGAACCCAGAGACTAGTGTTCAGCCTAATTAGGATGAACCCGGGCACTTCCCGGTGCAGGAACAATGGCGAGCCTCTAGCCTGATTGGGAGCAGCAATGAGCACCTCGCTGAATCAGAAGCTCAGTGGACACCCTGCCAAATCCAGAGGGATGAAAGTCAACGGCAGGTCTGCGACTGTGGCGTTCAGCCATGGTGGATGGAGAGCGAAAGCTCAGTTTGAGCCGGCAGAAACACGGACCAGAAGAATGTGCAGTTGCAAGATTTAATAGAATGAAAACAGAGCTCACATACAATGGGAGGGGACCCAGAGGGGGTTGCCCCTGCTGGCACAAAGGCCTGGATTTATTTTCCGATCATTGTCTCTCCCCGGTGCTCTCAGGCAGTAGATGATTTGACTATTTCTTTACCTCCTGCTTTTACCCTAATTGGTATTTTAGTGAGCACTATTTACTACCTGATGGGTCCGGTGTGAGCTGAGTTACAAGCCCCGCGTTTAAAGGTGGGTGTGGTAACCTTCCCCAGCTGGGCTTAGGAATTCTTAGTCGACTTAGGAAATCCAGCTAGTCCTGTCTCTCAATAGGACTACCCACTCTTCCGCTGTTTCCTTTTAAGTGAATCTGTCAGATATTTGCCTAAGAACTTAAAATAACCCACACTGTATTCCCTTATACATACAACTATTTGCCACATGCCCTGTCTCTCTGCCTGACTCCTTCATTTCTGCCTCACATGACCCTAGGACAGAGGACTGCCATCCCACCTTCCTTGCCCAAGATTTGTAAGTACAATCTTTTAATTGTTTCCTTTTGTGCTGGAGTATTGAATTCCCACCTTCCATCTGAAGAATCAGGGGCTACGCCAGGCCTATCTTTCCCTGACATGGGACGGGGAAGCACAAAGTTGAGCTCCCAGAACCAGAGCAATGGTCAGGCAGGCATAAACTGAACACAGGTCAGACAAGAGCCAAAAGGGCATCTGCCAGTATAAACAAGTTTCCTGTGTGAGAAATCTTCCTGGTCACAGGTTAGACAACTAGACACTAGGCTGTCTGCCAGGTAAAAGATGTGTCCCGTGAAAGACACCTTGTAAACAACCATATCCAGCTCCCCTTCATTTCCCCTTAGCTATCCACACAGGTGCTGGAACCCCAATTTAACTGGAGGCTCTGAAAACAATCTGTAACATAACACCCCATCTTGAATTAAATATTTTAAACAAATATTTTGCAAAAAGAAAAAATGTTAAATCAGAAAAGCAGAATTAAATAAAGTAATATACGAAAAAAAGATAGTCCCCAGGAGGGAAATTAAAGAAAAAGGCAAAAACATCTTATGTAGGAAGAATAATTTCAAAGTACTCAAGAGAAAATTGATTTCTCTCAAAGCAGAAGTTTAAAAATATATGAAAAATTCCAAGAAAATGAAAACAAAATAAATAAGGTGAAAACCATCAGAGAGAAAGAAGACTGGGCATTATCATTTGGGTTTCTGGCAAGAAAAACAAAAACAATGAAATGAGAGAAATCACATATTTAATCACATATTAAACCACAATCCAATAAAACTTTGTATAAATAAAAGAAAACTTGGATATATTTGTGTACCTAAGAAGACTAACCCAGAATGGTCAATTGTAATATATAGACATACATCTAAGACACAGTATAATAGGCCTATTAGACATTAAATATATACAAGCAATCTTCTGGGCATCCAAGCAAAAAAGGCCAAATCACTTACAAAGGAAATAAGATCATAAAACAGCATACAAAGCAAGAAAACTGTGCAAGAACAGTTTTAAGAAACTCAAAAAAGGAAAATATGAGCCCAGAGTGTTATATGTAGGCAGACTGTTTTTAAAGTACCAAGCCTATAGGGAAACAGTTTGATACAGATGGAAACTCAGAAAATATTCATGAACTCTTCCTAAGACATTTATGAGATACAATTAAAACAGTGACTATAGGAAAATACATAGCTCTACATACTTATGATACTTAGATAAATAAAAATAAATGAATTAAATTCCCAACTCAGAAAAGTAGGTAGGGGATGGGGGAAGCAGAAGAAAAATTTTTTAAAATATAGAAGTAGAAATTAATAAAACAGCAAGCAAAAATATAACAAAATTGATAAATCAATCAAAATGCTTGTTCTTGAGGAAAAATTAATAAACTAGATAAACTACCACCTAATCTAACTCAGAAAAAAAAGGAGAAAGCACAGATATATGAATTTAAAAATGTTATGGGGGAAATAACCTTGAAACAAAGTAAATTTTAAAAGATTCTTACAGACTATTTTGTTTGACTCTATACAAATATATTTGAAAAATTAAATAATTGGATAGCATCCTTGAAAAATGCAATGTACTAAAATTCACCTTAGTAGAGATAAAAGGCTTAAAACAATTTTTCACAGGAAAAATCAATGTAATAACAATTACCCCAAAGAAACAGAAAATCAAGGTCAAGATATAGTAACAGGGACATTTGAACATCTTTGCACCTGAACATAGAAAAAGAGAAATTCTAAATTACTTTAATTAAACACATATAATATTGATGTCTAAATCATATATAAAAAGAAAACTTATAAACCAGTCTCATTTTGAATATTAATGCCAAAAATCAAAATAAAATATCAGCACATTCCAATAGTATATTAATAAAATATACTATGATCAAATGTGATTTAGTCCAAGATGTTTTAATATTAGAAAATCTCTTAATATTGTTCACTACCATTAATGCCTAATGAAAAATAATATATGACTATTTCTATAGATAATAAAAAGAACTTTGACAAAATTCATCACCCATTCCTACTAAAAAATATACACTCAGTAAAATAAAAATTGATTCTTTTTTAACACTAAATACATATGTCAGTTCTAAAGCCATATTTCCACTTAGAAGAGACACTTCAGTGGTTGTCTAACTAAAGTCAAGAATAAGTTAAAGATGCCCACTATTTCTTCCATCTTTTAACAATGTATTACAGGTATTAGTAATTAAAATTAGATAAGATAAATGATTAGAGACATGAAAGACGGAAAATAAAGAATCAAAACTATATCATTTTGGAAAAGCAAAGATAAAATAACTACAAAACTCAAAAGAATTATTGATAAAACTAACACAAATAATAAGGTAGGAAGATATAAAATTAATATATGCTAATAAAGAGCCTTCAGATATACCAGTAATAACTAGTTAAAAGATGCAATCCTATAACGGAAGAAAAACCCATTTTATTTTAGCAACAATTTAAAAATAAAATACTTAAGAATAAGCTTTAAAAGAAATAAGCATCGTGATTCCAATTCTGGTATGGTGGCATAAGTCTTCTATAGCCTGCTACTGCAGCTGAATACAACTAGAAACCCTGGATAAAATATGAAAAACGAATTAGGGCCCCAAAGCTAAACAAAAGCAAAAAGATTGTGGAGGGAAATTAAAACTTGAAGAAGGGACCATACAAAGTGAGTTTCCCAGTTTGCTTTCTGCCTCCTATGTTAGGCTTTTCCGTTTCACAGACCCTAGTTGCCAAGCTGCAAAGTGATTAGGGCAGAGCGCTGAAACTCCGACAACCTTATTTTTCTGGTTAGAGGAATCAGGAAAAAGAAACCATGGGGGCTGGAGCATAAGGAAGAAAATCCCAGATCAGAAAGATTTACAGAAGGCATCCCCTAATTATGCATATAAACCTACAGATCTCTGGCTCACCTCTGAGTTACACACGTGTGGGACAGACCCAAATCAGCACAGCAAAACCTTCAGAGCTCAACTGATATGTGAACAACAACTAAGAGAAAGTGAGACAGTACTTGGGGTCTGACCCTAAATGAGTTGACCGCCTGCTTAAACAAGTTACCAAATTCATCAGAGGAACATACAGGTCCTGGGGGCTATACAATGTAATTTTCTATAAGGTGCAGAACACAATCAAAAACTACTCAGAAAATTTAACCAGTTCTCAAGGGAGAAGACAATCTACAAGCACTAACCATAAAATGTCTTGGAGTTTAAAGCATGAGCTAAAGATTTTAAAGCAGCTTTTACAACTATACCCCATGAGGTCATGGAAAATACATTTAAAAGAAATGAAATATCGGGTGGATCACGAGGTCAGGAGATCGAGACCATCCTGGCTAACACGGTGAAACCCCGTCTCTACTAAAAATACAAAAAAAAAATTAGCCGGGCGTGATGGCGGGCGCCTGTAGTCCCAGCTACTCGGGAGGCTGAGGCAGGAGAATGGCGTGAACCCGGGAGGCGGAGCTTGCAGTGAGCCGAGATTGCGCCACTGCACTCCCGCCTGGGCCACAGAGCAAAGACTCCGTCTCAAAAAAAAAAAAAAAAAAAAGAAATGAAATATAGAATTTCTCAGCAAAGAACTACAGCCTATGAAAATGAACTGAATAGAAACATGACTTGAAAAACATAATTTCTGAAATTAAAAAATTTACCAAAAGACCTCAATTAAGGCATGAAAATGACTATAAGTCAGTGAAACATATATCAATAGAAACTATCCAATATGAAGAAGAAAGAGAAAAGAATAAAACAAACAGAGCCATTGTGACCTGTAGGTGAATACAAAAGTCTAAATGACATGCTATTGAAGTGCCAGAGAAAAAGGATTATGTGGCAGAAGAAATAATTGTTGAAAATGCTCAAATATGATAAAAGACATAAATTTACATATTCAAGAATCTCACTGAACCCTAAAGAGGATATAACACAACTAAAGTAAAAAGAACATGCCTAGACACATCGTAATCAAACTGCTGAAAAAACAAAGACATATAAAAACTTTTGAAAGCAGCTACAAAATGATGCATTACATACAGGGGAATAATGATTCCAAATGACCACAAATTTCTCAATATAAACTAGGGAGGCTAGAAAACCCTGGAGTAGCATCTTTGTGGTGCTGAAGGAAAATAATTTCAACACAGAAGTCTATATCCAGCAAAAATAACCTTCAAAGCAATGATAGATTCTAAGATACAGGAAAACTAAGTTCATCACTTGTTTTTTGTTTTTTTTGTTTCGTTTTGTTTTGTTTTACAAGAAATACTAAAGGAAGTTCATTAGGTGGAAAGGAAGTGATAGAAGAGAGAAACTCAGATCTTCTGGAATAAAGGAAGAACAAAATAAATGGCAAATATTGGGTAAATATAAACATTGTTTCTCCATTTGGGTTTTTTAAAATACATAATTCTGTTGAAAGCAATAATTAAACCATCGTCTGCTTGGGTTTTCAAAATATGTAGATGTAAACATAAGATGACTATAATATAAAGGTCAGTGACAGGAGGAACCTATGTGGCTGCAAGATTTCTACATTTTATTTGAAGTGGTACAATATTAACTCAAGGTAGAATCTGTAAGATTAGGTAATATTGTAATCCTTAGATCAAGCACCAAAAATAGTATACCAAAAGATACAGCCATAGTAAGAGGTCCTAACACCCTCTCTCAGCAATTGCTAGAATAATTACACACAGAAAAGGAAGCTGTGAACACTATCAACCACCTTGATGTAATTGATATTTATAGAACACTACATCCAACAACTGCAGAATACATATTATTTGCAATGAATATTAACTTCATTAACATAGAATATGTCCTGGGCCATAAAAAACTCAGTACATTTGAAAGAATTAAAATTATTCAAAGTATATTTTCTGAATACAATAGAATTAAATAATCAATAACAATAAGTAGAAATGATCAAATACCTGAAAATTGAACAACAAAGTTGTGAATAATTTATGCGTCAAAAACAAAAGCACAGGACAATTAAAAAATATTTTAACTGAATGACAATGGAAATTTGTGGTATGCACCTAAGGCAGTGCTTAGATAAAAAATATATAGCTTTAAATATTGTATTAGAAAAAAAGAAACATCTAAATCAATACCTAAGGTTTCAACTTAAGAAACTAGAAAAAGAAGAGAAGTAAACCCAAGTTAAGTAAAAGAAATGAAATAAAGATTAAAGAAGAAATCAATGATTTAGAAAACAGACAATAGAGGAAATTACATCTAAAAGTTGATCCTCTGAATAGATCAGAGGCCGTAAAAAAGTACTTTTCACAAGACAAATCTGCCTATTTTTGTTTACTTCTGTTTTCCTGTAGAGAATAAATTGTTTCATAAAACAATAACAATTTTATTGAGGTATAATTTACATACTATGAAATTCATCCATGTTAAGTGTGCAACTTAGTGATGTTTGGTAAATTCCTTGAGTTGTATACTCTTCAACATAATTGTTTTAGAACATTTTTATCACTTACAGTTAATCACCATTTCCACCCCCAGCTGCAGGCAAACCACAAGTATAATTCTTGTCTCTATATATTTGCCTGTTCTTTATACATACTTCTTAGAATCATATGATATCTGTTCTTTTGTGACTGACTTCTTTCATATAGCATAATTTTTCAATGTTCATCCATGTTGTAGTATGTGTCAATTTTTTACTAGTTTTTAATTGCTGAATAGTATTAGAATATATGTATATAACAAATTTTGTTTATCCATTTAGACTGTTTCCCCACTGGGGATATGAAATATTCTGCTATGAATATTTACATGCAAATCTGTGTATGGACATATGTTTTTGTTTTGGGAGAGTAGTTATATGATTTTAGGAAACTTCAAAACCATTTTTCAAAGTGGCTGTAACTCTTTATATTCCAACCAGAAATGTATGAGGGTTTTTATTACTCAACACAAATGCCAACAGTTATTTATTTCTCTCTTTTTGATTATACGGTGACTGTGGAGTATTAACTCATTGTGGTTCTTTTTGGTTTTGTAAATAAAGTTTTATTAGCACATGGCAACAGTTGCTGGGCACAGTGGCTCAGGCCTGTAATCCTATCATTTTTGGGAGGCAAAGGCAGGAGGATTGCTTGAGCCTAGGAGTTAGAGACCAGCCTGGGCAACATAACAAGACTCTATCTTCACAAAAAGAAAATAAAAGAACTCAGCAATATTCATTTGTTTATGGATTGTTTATGGTTGATTTTACTCAACAATGGCAGAGTTGCATTGTTACAATGATGATCATATGGTCCACAATGCTTACACTAAATTATGAGCTTATTACTACTTGGCGTTTTACAGAAAAAAGTTTTCTGATCCCTGGAATAGATCAACAAAATTGACAAACTTCTAGTTAGATTGATTAAGAACAAAAGAATACACACATAAATCACAGTTATAATGAATTTTTTAAAAAGATTATCATTACATATTCTCCAGGCATTAAAAGGATCATAACTTAAAATTGACAAGTGTTCTTAAAAAGTGGTCCTCCCAAAATTGGCATGAGAAGATAAAGAAAATCTGAATAGTCCTATACATAATAAATTGAATTTATCAAAAACCCTCCCAAAATGGAAAGTCTAGACCCAAGTGGTTTTACTGGTAAATCTTTTCTAATCTTCAAGGAGAAATAACACCAATCTTACACAAGATTTTTAGAATGTAAAGAAGGTTAAATTACCCCATATTATGGGTAATCTCTTTTGTTGAAGTTGTAGCATAATCCCAAGTACCTCAGAATGTGACCTTATTTGGAAATAGGGGCATTTCCAAGGTAATCAAGTTAAAATGAAGTCATGAGGGTGAATTTAATCCAATCTAACTGGTGTTCTTATAAAAAGAAAATCTAGAGGTAGACATGCTGCAGAGAGAATGTCTTGTGAACATGAAAGTAGGCAGTGGGGTCATGCCTCTACAAGCCAAGGGACACTAAAGATTTCCATTAAACCACCCAGAATCTTGGGAAGAGGCAGGAATCAGATTTTGCTTCACAACCCTCAGAAGAAACCAACCCTGCCAATACACTGAAGCTGAACTTCCAGAGCTATGAGACAATAAATTTCTATTGTTTAAGCCACCCAGTTTGTGGTACTTCATTATGGCAGCACTAGCAAATTAATACACTCCCCAACTTGTTTTATGAGGTTCATATTACTCTAATACTGTCAAAACCTGCCAAAACCATAAGAGAATGAAAACCAAAGAGAAAGGAAAGAAAAAATTATAGTCCCATATATTTTATGAATGTACATGAATACAGATGCAACAACTCTTTGCAAAATTTTGGCAAATTGACTTCAACAATATATTAAAGGAACAATTAATTATATGGCCAAGTTGAATTTATCCCAGAAATATAAGACGGTTTAACATTCAGGAAATCAAACAGTGTAATTTGCCATATTAATAGAATAAAGAAAAAAATATTATTATTTCAATAGATACAGAAAAAACATTTAACAAAGTTCAACAACACTATTCACAATTTTTTTTTAAATCCAGGAGACTAGAACCTTTAGCAATTTCCTTAAATTAATAAAGAGCATCTACAAAAAGCTGAGACCTAACATTTTACTTAATGTTAAATGATACTATTTCTTCTGAGATGAGAAGCAAGTAAAAGATGACTAATTTTATTTTCTGTTCAGCATTGTACTGGAAGCCTAGTCATTACAATAAGTCAAGAAAAATGGTATTAGGATTATAAAGTAAAGCAGTCTCTGTTCATAGATGGTATGATTGTTTATGTAGAAAATGCCAGAAAATATTTAAAAAAAGCTACTAAAACTAATAAATTGCTTGAGCATGATCATAAGACACAAAGTTAATATACAAGATTAAATATTGGCCTATGTTATAGAAACAAACAATTGGAAATGAAAATTTAAATAATCTCATTTAAAAAGCACCAAAAAATTAGAATGTGTAGAAATATATCTAATAAAAGACAACCAAAATCTCCCTGCCTGTAAATACGATCATTCAATTTATAAAAAATGTAACCCAATAAGTGAGGGGAAAAAAAAGCCTTTTCATATAGTAGTCCTAAATCAACTGACTGTTTGGGGGAAAAAATGGATTTTTACTTCCTGCCATTTGTAAAATTAACTAAAAATCTATTATAGACCTAAATGTAAAACTCAGAATTATAAAACTTTTAGTAGAAAGCACAAAGAAATTCCTTTCAATTTTAGGGTAGGAAAAGTACTTTTTAAATATAACACAAAAAAGCAAAAGCCATAAAAATAATGTGGACATATCCAAAATCATAATTAAGGGGGAAATAAAGGACAACCCATAATATAGGAGAATATATTCAGGATACATATATCAGACAAAGGACTTGTATTCAGAATATATAAAGAACTCACACAACTTAATAGTAAGATAAACACTTCCTGCTTCCCACTTCCACCACCAATAGACAAAAGATTTGAATGGACACTGTATAAATGAAGATATACCAAAAACAAGCTCATGAAAAGACGGTCATCACTAGTCATTCTGGAAATGCAAATTAAAACCACAATGAGATTCTACTATACACCCACTAGAAAGACTAAAACTAACAAAACTGACCATACCAACAGTTGGCAAAATCTGAAGAAAGTGGAAGTCTCAAACACTGCTGATGAAAATGTAAAACAGTAAAACCACTTTAGAAAACAGTAATTTATGAGGAAGTTGAACACACAGCCAGCATAAGGCTGATCCATTCCACTTCAAAGTATGGACTCAAGAAAAAAAAAAAAAACATGCCCACACTAAGTCTTGTATGCTTATATTTATAGCACCTTTATTTGTATAGCCAATAACTAAAAACAACTCAAATGATCAACAGGTGAATGGGTAAACTGTGGTATATCTAAACAATGGAATGTTACTCAATAATAAAAGTGAACAAACTATTGATTCATGTAACAGCATGGGTGAATTTCAAAATTATGTAAAAGAAGCCCGGCCAACAAAAGTGTCCATACTATATAATTTTATTCATGTAAATCTAGAAAATGCAAAGTAATCTGTAGTACAGAAAGTAGACTGGTGATTCCTGGGTAGCAGGGTGCAAGGATGGATAAATTACAGAAAGGCATGAAGACATTTTGCGGGGTAATGGAATTGTTTTATATTTTGAATCTGGTCTTAGTTTACAGGTCTGTACATGTCAAAACTGTTCAAGTTGTGCATTTAAATAGGCATAGTTTATTGTATTCCAATTATACCTCTATAAAGTTATAGAAAAGAAATAAGCAAAAATTATAAAAGGTAAACCTGAAAAGATCCTTGAGAGATCCAAAATGGATTTGAACAAATGGAAAAACACTTCTTGTTTTTTAACAAGATGATTCACCATCATAAAAATGTTACCATCAATTTAATCTTACATCAATAACAATAGTTGTCTTCTGGAGCTAGACAGTTCATTTAAAAGTTTATATGCAAAAATAAAATCAAGGAATAACAAATAGGAAAACACTAAACAAAGCAGTAAGGCAGGACTAGCTCTACCAGAAATTAAAATATACACAAAATCCTCTGTAATTAAAACAGATGGTACTCACATATGACTAGGCAGGTGGACTAATGAAACAGAACACAAAATCCAGAAATAGACCCAAGCACATCTGGAAACTTTAGTATAGGAATAGACTGAATCTCAATTCACTCAGTTAAAGATGGACTACTTAATAATTTGTATTAAAACAACAGAATAGTCATTTTGGAAAAGATAAAAATTAATTCCATGCCTCAAATCACACACTAGGATAAACCCCAAATGAATCACATCTCTGAAGATAAAATAAAACCATTCATATTTCTAATATAGAATATTGATCGATTTTTTTTAATTCAATGGTGGTTAAAAACTTTCTAAATGTGATTAAAAATCTAGATGCAATAAGATTAAAAGTCTATAAATTTAATTACATAAAATTATACTTAAAACACTATAGACAAAAAAGCAAATGACAATCTGTTAAAAAATCATTTCCAACATATATCTCAGATCAGAATAGGTAGGTAGATAGATTATAAAGTTGCAAATTTGGAAAATTCTGGTGTCTGGTCTGATATGTAAAAAGTTTGGAAGCCATCACTCTATCCTCACAAGGTAAAGCTGAACAAACAAAAAAACAGTAATGCTTAATTGATCTATCAGAGAACTGAGGTCACAGGGCAAACCACTGCCCTGAAAACTGGAGAGACAAAATACTGAGAACCACAGCTTATTGAAATTAGAAACCACTGCTGGAGCCTATTAAAAATAACTAAATTAAATGGTATTTGGCTAATTGACAGAGACTGAGCATGGAACTAGCTTGAGAGATAAGAACTCCAAGAGGGCCCAGAACCATGAGGCTCTCAGGGTAAGTATCAGAGAAAAATTTATCATATCTGTTGGGGGGGGAGAGGATAAGTAACCATTCTGAAATAAGTCCAGAATGCTCTGTTCTTAACAAAGGCCTGCCCTCAAAGGAAACTATTTAACCAGAGCCTACCTACCTGGGCCTTGCCACAGCCTAACTTACCTGGGGAAAGGGAAAGAAACAACTCTAGTCTCCTTTCGCTTTCCTGTTTCACCTAAGTAGGGGAAAGGGAAGCAATGATAAGCATTTGTGAAGGTCATAACCCAGGGACACAAGCCCATTAAAAGACAGAAACCTAATCATGCAACTACAGAATGCTTCCTTTCCCCCATGTGTTACTGCCAAATCAACAGGGCTTCTGTATAATAACAGAGGATTACAGCTAAGAGAACTGCAAGCTTCAGATCCTATTTAAGAAGTCTCTAAGGAAACCTAGAGATGACAGAACAACAGAAAACCTAGAAACAACAGAGACAACAGAAAAGACACTAGAGGACAACAGGACAAAGAGGACAAAGACACTAGGACTCTATAAGACAACAGAAAGGACACTAGAGAAAATTTTAACTGCTGACGCATGCAACTACAACAAACAATAAACACAGTTTAACTGCTACCCAGATACATAAAACCTCACACCGAAGATCTATTTACCTCAGTTTCTTTTACCTATACATCAGGTCCAGCTTTCAACAAAAATTTACAAGGCATACTGAAAGGCAAAAATAGTCTTGAGAGACAAAGCAAACTTCATAAGCAGACTTACATATGGCAGAGATTTCAGAATTATCACACCAGAAATTTAAAATAGTTTTAATTGATATGCTCAGGGTTCTAATGGATAAAGTGGTTAACACACAAGAAAAAAATGGGTAATGTAAGTGGAAAGATGGAAGTCTGAGAAAGAATCGAAAGGAAATGTATGAGGTACATGGATGTGCTTTGGTCAGGAATAGGCCGAGGCAGACATCTGGGCCAGAGTGACTCTGTGAGTTTGGAGCGCAGGTGTATAACTCCACTTGTTTGTGTAAGCTCCTGGTTGGCTTTCAGCCACTATTGTCTGTAAAAGGTATAACTACCCTGCTGATGCTGTGCACGGGGCTTGTGCTGGCATGCCCAAAGAAAGAGAGAGAGCCAGAGGCAGTCACCTTGAAGGCAGGTAGAACAAGCAGCAGAATAAATACCAAAAAACTATACTTAGACCTATTATATTAAACTGCAGAAAATCAAAGACAAAGAGAAAAATCTCAAAAGAAGCCAGAAGAAAAACACCTTACCTATAGAGGAACAAGGATAAGAATTACAATGGACTTCCATTTGGACAGTATGCAAATAAAAAGGAAGTGGAATGAGACATTCAAAGTGTTGAAAGAAAAACCAAACTAACACCCAAAATTCTGAATTGGGTTATTTTTCAAAAGTGAAGTATAAATAAACACTTTCTCAAACAAACATTGAAGGACTTGGTCTCCAGTAGACCTGCCTTGTAAGAAGTGTTTAAAGTTTTTCAGAGGGGAGGAAAATACTATAGACAAAAACCTATTTATATCCAAAAAAAGGAAGAACATTAGAGAAGAAATAAATGGAAGTAAAATGAAATCTTTTATTTTTATTAATTTTAATTGATCTAAAAGATAACAGTTCAAAATAATAAAAGCAACAATGTACTAGGTGAGTATAGTTTATGGATAAGTGAAATGAATGACAGCAATGTAATAAGGGACAGGAGAGAAGAATTGGGAATGCTTCATTGTAAGATACCTGTATTATTTGTGAAGCAGTATAGTTATTTAAAAGTGGGCATGCTGTTTCTGCTATGTTTCTGTTCATCTGCACTGAAAAGTTAACTCGTTTCATTTAGATGCTCCAATGGACCCTATAGCATGATGTCTTAGTCCATTTGTGCTGCCATAAGAAAATACCACACACTCAATAATTTATAAATAACAAAAATTTATTATCTCAAAGTTCTGGAGGCTGGAAAATCCAAGATCCAGACACAAGCCTCTGCATCTTCACATGGAGGAAGGTTGAAGGGCAAGAGAAAGCAAACCCACCCCTACAGCCCCCTTTTTAAAGGCATTATTCCATTATTTAGGACAGATCCCTCATGACCTAAACACCTCTCAAAAGGCCCCATCTCCTAACACTATTATGCTGAGGATAAAGTCTCTAACATATGAATTTGGGGGGCACATTTAGACCATAGAAGATGAATACGTCCATGAAAAATAGTTGATACATTTGAGCTTCCTTAAGTGGAAGAGTTCTTGCAATCCTCCTCTAGTTGTGCTGAGAGAGACAATCTATAATTTCACACCCGCATGTTCTTAAATAGGTGAATTACGTGATTCTGTAACTATTTCATTCTGTTCCTTCCTTTCTTCTACTCTACCATTAATTCTTGACTAACTAGTACACACATTCTACATAAATAATTGTTTATAGCTATAATAAGTGTAGATTAAGATAAAATATTTTATGATGTCTCTTGATACTACTAAAATTCCTTTCTTGAAGAAATATGTTAAGAGAAAACATTTTCTAATAGATAAACATTTCTAATAAATAGGTATTTATTATTTCTAATAAATAAACATTTCTAATAATAAACACACATCATTATTAACAAACCAAATTTCAGAGCCTGTATTATAATCTGCAACTATTCCATTATATGTTTGCTGCCACTTTCTTCTACCTGTAAATTACCCAATTGTTTGAATCTCAATATCGATCATTTCTCCCTCACAGTGACATTGACAGAATTAAATTAGATAGACATAAAAATAATCCCCACTACATTGTCTTACATAAAAGTGGAATAAGGAGAATATCTTCAAGGAAATTAAAAGTTCTCTTTGCTTTTTAGAATTTGTTTTCCTTTCAAAATTTAGATTTACATTTCATACAACATTAGGTAAAAATAAGAAGGACCAGTGATCTGATTCTGCTCAAATCACTGCTTATGTCTGCCATTAGTATTAGAAAGAAGGATATGGCCTGGTACAAAGGCACTGCACCTCCTATCCAGATGATACAGGAGAGAATGAGAGAGTATAATGATAAGCAACTGGGCTATAATAGAACACTAGGAATGAGCTGATCTTTTTCTCATTGTATTTCTGCTATTAAGTCCCAGCTTATCTTGGTTTTACTTTTAGCTTCCTGTTATTGATAATGCATTCAGTTTAGAGACAACTCTATCTAGATTCAAGCTGTGGTTTTAATGCAGAAAAATAAAACGTTAAGCTTCTTGAGGGGAGTGATATGGTGTGGATGTTTGTCCCCTTCAAATTTCATGCTGAAATGTCATCCCCACTATTGGAGGTGAGACCTAGTGAGAGGTGTTTGGGTTATGGGGGCAGGTCCCTCGTGAATGGCTTGGCGACATCCCCATGGTAATGAGGGAGTTCTAGCTCTGAGTTCACATAACATCTGGTTGTGTAAAGAACCTGACACCTCCCACCTCTCTCTCTTGTCCCCTCTCTCACCAGGTGATATACTGGCTCTCCCTTTGCCTTCCACCACAATTGAAAGCTTCCTGAGGCCTCACCAGGAGCAGATGCTAGTGCCATGCATCTCATACAAACTGTAGAACCATGAGTCAAAATAAACCCTTTTTTAATAAATTGCCCAGCTTCAGATATTTTGTTATAGCAGTGCAAATGAACTAACACAGAGAGGATTCATGTGTTACTCACTTGTTGTCTCTCCACCACTTAATAGTGCTTACTACATAGGAACTTCATAAATTCTTAATGTTTGGATGAATAAGCCAAAAGATGTGCGAAAAATTATGCAGATAAATCTCTGATTTTTAATTTTTCACTAAGGAGAAATTTATACTTAAAATCTGAATTAACAAAATCTTATTCTCTTTAAACAAAGTTGAAGATAAGATAGGATTAATTAAGAATATATGAGGATTAAAGGGATAGTAACTCTCATTTGCCGGAAATGACATCACTCTGAAGAAGTTTTGTTTTTTTTTCTATTCTTTATTCTTTACTTCAATAACTATTTCAGCAAGTTTTCCTGAAGAGTCCTTTGTGATACAGTCAGTTACAGCCTTCAGCTGTGCTAAATAAAGGAACAATTGTAAATTTAATATTGGAGGTCTCTCTGACATACCATTCTCTTGTGGGGAGGTAAGTGAGAGGGGAAGGTGGAGAAAATATCATGATTACTTTTTCTCATTGCCTCCTTTTTGCTTTTGCCCATAGCGTGTTTTACTACCATCCATCAGAGTTATGTCAAGAATAGGCTTTACCCAAAATAGCTGAAAAGTAGCATAGTTTATCACTTATCCTCACCAGTGAGTCAGTTTGAAACTCACTGTCTTCTACTAGGTCAAAAGGAATTGCTAATATTTTTAGAGGACACGATGGATGGCAGTTAGGATTTTAACAAAAGGTGACCAAAATAAAACATCAACATCATTTTCACTTCTGAATTGAAGAAGAATGGGAAAAGCATAGATGACATTTCTTACTCAACCTGATTTTGCCATTTATTTTGAAAGGGAGAGGGAGGGCAATGGGGATAGATTCCAAGCCATCATTTAAAAATGTGACTACAGGCATTTGTTATTGACATGTCATTGCATCGTGCTACTTGAAAAAATTTTAAATGCATTTTTCTTTCCATGAGTCTGATTTAAGTTTGTCTGTCCAAAATTCCTTCAGGAATGCTCCCCTCTTTGTGTCTTCATTTTTCAAGGGATGAGAAGTTGACATAAGGGTTTTACTGAATTTGGTCTTGAAATCATAGGAAGAAAATTGGTGTTTTGTTGAATCAGCCCCTCTACTATTGAGCGTCTCTCTGAAACTTTTATGTTCTTCCTAGCTGACTCCTGAACTAACTAGAACTACTGGTGCTTCAATTTTGGGATGCATTCAATATTTAGCTTTTACTTTATCACTTCAGAGTCATCTAGTTTCAAGTTCTTTAGTTCCCACTTCCCTAGCAAAATGGTTTATAAATTGGCATAAAAGAAACACTCAAGGAATCAGCAGGAAAGTTGAGGAGAGTCAAGGAATTGTCAACTCCCCTCCCATCCACACTTCATTCACACAACTTCTGCCTTTATTTTCTGTATATATTAAGGTTAATCGATATGTTATATGGATTAAGGGAACCACTGGTTTAAGAAGTTGAAAACCATTGCTCTACCCTATTTAAAGCAACAGAAGAAAAGCAGAATCATAAAAATTTAGAACCAAAAGGGATTTAAGTGACAATCCAACTCTCTGATTATATGGATGAGAACGTTGAGCTAGGGAGAAATGAAGAAACATGTCTGAGTATACATAGTGATTTGCAGATATAAATCTATTGATTTCTACTCTAATATCCTTTCTTATTTTTCTATAATGTCAGTGATGCTTAAAGAATGAAGACTGAGGAAATATCTTTCCAAGGGCTGCCTAATTTAATGTTATTAGCTACTTCAGAGATACTCTAGATCACATCAAACCATATTTATCTGCATACATTTATGCATTCATCATTCCATCTTTAGCCAAAGAGATATAGGCCAATAATAGAAATCTGTTCCTGACTATATAGTTGTTACAGCACAAATACTGTAATAAATCCATCTAATTCTCAAGCACTCAGAGTCTAAATGATAGAAGCCTGTCTTTCAGGGACTATATGGAGAGCATGTATTCCAGATCCTACATGGAAGAGAACACTGACCAGTGAGTAGACACACACATAATACAGGGCTTCTGATCATAGATTACTGGGGACTTCCAAAAATAATTTAAATTAAAAAGAGGAACTTCTTGCCTAGATTTTGCTATGAAAACTTGGATATCAGCATGTCAGTTTGGAATGCATACTGTAACTTTTTGCAATAAGTGATCTATGAGCCTTCAAGCCATATGTCTTCATTCCTGGATTTGTGTTATTCTCTGGAAGGGCATAAAATAGGAAAAACACGGTGACATTAGCACAGTCTTTTGCTATTTGCTTTATAGCATCACCAGCTCCAACACCAATCCTCCAGCTCTTAAGGGCATCTCACATGTGCTTCAAATAGTTCCTTTATTGACCACAGTGGGTAGGCCTTCTTTGTATACTTCTGCTCCGGAGCCACTGCTCTGCTGTCAAGGTCTCCAGTGTATGTGGACCATGTTAAGGTGCCCTGTATCTGCTGGCAGAGCCCATTGTGATTCTCTCTTTCTCACCAGTACCACTGCTTTCATGAGTATTGCCCTCACCTCCACAGGGCACTGATGCTGCCACTAGGCATGGACACTGCCTCTCCCTGGTACTGCTTTTTTTCAGAGAGTGCTATCAGATGCTTCTGCTACAATATGCCACTGCCATCTCAATGCACCCCTGACACACACTCTGGCTACTGTCACCTACATTGGGCCTGTTTTTGCACAGAACCCTCAAGAAACCCTGTCCAATACTACATGGGGCTCTGTGAAAAACTGCATTCTTCTCTTTCGTGAGATATCAAAAAAGGGCTGTTTGGGTCCCATGCTCTACAGAATTTTTATTGAAAGCTGTGATGAGATAAACTTTTTGACATATATGTGTTCACAGCTTTTTTCTTCCTTTTTTCCCCTACTTTAGCTCCTTTGCCTCTCCCCTCTCTGAAGAGATGATGGGAAAAAGATCTAAGTAGATGGATTAATTTGAGTAAAGCAATCAGGGAAAAAGAACCACATTCCTGGAGGAGCGAGGCCTGTAGTAGAAAGCTATGCCATACCAGATGCATATTGTGAAAGTTCTGTGCAGAGAAAGGAGATGATGGACCAGGATGGTGAAGAAAAGGCTATGTAGATGGGAGAATTCTGTTAGGATGCAGTGGAAGGACAGCAAGAATTTGGAGAAAACAGCATGTTTTCATTAGAATAGCTGTGAACAAAGTTTCTCTATTCACATGATGCTTCAGAGATAAATTTTTACATTTCAGCCTGTACCAGGTGCAGCTTTATAGACACTATGTAATATTTCAGTAGTTATGTACTGTATACTACCATATTCTCACCCTATTCCTCTCCTCTCTAGATACCAAGACATAAGTTCATAAGGATTAGGTCAGGAGACAAATATGAAGGAGAGGCAACAAGATGTCCAAAGAATTCCCACTGCCTCCTGAAGCTGAGACTTCACTTCACAGTCAAGTCTGACTGTCTCTTTCCTTCCCTGAGACAAATTCTCCCCAAGATTACTCTTAGTCCCACAAAATTCTGGCAGATCCAATCCTGAGTCGGCTAGCATTGACCAGATTTGTCTGAGCCCCAGCCAAGAAGGAACAGAGTTTAGGTTCAACTGAGACTGCCACTATCTTTCATTTCAATAAAAAGTATAATTGTCTCTTGGATCATGGCAAATAACTCTTTCATTGTTTTCTCATTCTGAAATTTCAGTTTTATAAATCCCCAAATTAATTCAGAGAAGCTGAAGATGAATCTGCTTTAGAAGACTACATGCTTCCCAAAGTATCCCAGTTGATTTAGGGGCTAATTTATTGTAGGTTTGTGGGCTCACTAGCTTTTAGCCTCATTTTGCTTCCCATATCAGCATCTGTATTTGTTTGACAGCCACTGGCTGAATGACTCTGAGAGTTATGAAGCCATTTGGATGGCCCAGGGGCCACATGGCTCATCTGAGGTGACACTGTGTGTGTTTATTATTTGTCATCAGGTTAAGATGTGTCTCACATAAATTAAGCTCAGGGACTGAGTCTACCAGTTCTCTGGAAAAATAATTCCAAGTTTTTAGTGATGTAAGATTCTCCCCAAACACATCAATGTCTTTTGCTTGAAGTCCAAACAGAGATGATGCCACTTCCTGATAGAAAGGAGGCTATTGCTACCATGCACCAGGCACAGCACTAGGAACAGGGGTCACCGAAGAATATGCCAGTCTCTATTCTCAACTCTAGGAGCCTGCCTCTCTAAAGGAGAAAGACAGGAACCCCCACCTGGCAGAGTAAATACTAAATGGAGGTATGCTCAAAGTATAAGGCTAGATTCTCGTGGATGGGCGATTAAGTTTGACTCTGCAGGAAGGAGTAGCTTATGGTAGAGCAGAATGAGGTGATGATGCTTAACTGCCCTCTTTTATATTGTATCTGTGCCATGAGGTGATGCTCTTGGCTTAGAAGCCCTCACACTGCCATTTATACCAGTCCCTTAGATCTCGGTCAACCCCTCCCGCCCTGAATTAGTGCAATGGCTACACATCAAAGCATTTGAGAATCTTTTGAAAAATAGTGATGATCAAGCCTCACCACAGGCTGACTGAGAGAGAATCTCCAAGAAAGGAGTCTGTGCAGGTCGGGGGAGCATTAAAGCTCTCTTAAAGCTGTCTCCCCAGAGGGACTCCCTAGATGTACAGCCAGCCAGCCTGGCACAAGCCTTCAGACTGGCCTCTGGAAACCATTGCTCCAAATGACCTCCATCAGAATCCCATACAGTCCATCAGTGGGGCTGGGGAGTATTCCCTGAAGTATGCCACAAGATGTTATCTGCTTTTAAAGATTGGACTGCGAGCACAACCTGAAGAGGAGACGCCTATGGGAAAAAGTGGTGTACGCTAAACTTAGAATTCACCTGTCTATTTTTGGTCCCATCCATCATGTCTAGACTCTCATTTGTCACCATCGGGTAGAACTATTTAGGACACAGTCAATCAGACCACTGTGAGCTATGAGGATAAGTGTATGAGATCAGATCTAGGTTAGCTTCAAAGTTAGCTCTCTCGGCTCCTCCATAAATTCCTGGAAGTATTTATTGGTCATACTAAGTAGTCCTTTTTCCATAGGGATTTGGGTACATGCCAGGTTTGGCCATTTGCTCAGACCAGTGAGCTGACTGAAAATATGCAAGTACCCCTGAACCTTCAGATTCACAGGCACCCTGGCCATGTGCACTTCTGTGGCACAGCAGCAGTAGTGCCAGCTTGGTAAAGGAGGGAAGCACTGGGCGTGAGGCAAAAGAACTGGATTCCAGTTCTCACTGCCACCATGTATCTGTATGACCTTGGGTGTTTCACAGAACCTCTCTGGGTCAATTTCCTTATCCATAGAATGAGGGAACTTGACTAGAAGATTCTCAGGGTCAGACCTCTTTTCACTGGGATAATGTATGATTAATAATGCTTTGGAAATTGTTACAAAATGATTTGCATAGATATCTCTGCCTAAGCTATAGGTAGTTGGAAATGTGACTCCCAGAAATAATTTTTTAAAAGCCATTCTTTATTAATTAAAATGGGATGAAAGAAAATGGTCTAATATTTATTTGATGTCTGCTGTGCACCAGGCATTGTGTTAAGTGGTTCTCCCTTTGTGAGTTCATTTAAGCCTTCTAAAAACCCAAGAAAATTCCTGTTCCAGTTAAGAAGAACCTGGAGTATTCTCATTTCAGATAAGACGGCAGACACAAAGGGTAAAATAACTGGCCTAAGTTCACAGAGCTAGTAAATGATAGAGCTAGGGCTCAAGTCCAGGTTTTGTTATTCTAAATCCAGTGCTTTTGACAGTTGAAATTCAGTTGTAATCCTGTGGGTGGGAGAGGCCCTTTGTAAATCAACTGGCTGGTCCAGTTCAATGGAGAATGACTGTGGGTAACCACACGTGAGAGCGTTGCTATTTGTCCTGCGTTTCATGTTTGCCTTCAGGGGCCTTCATAAGGCTTGCATTAGCAACTCAGACTCTGACTGAGTTACCAAATGAATGTCCCTATCCCCTTTCTGCTCTTACTAACTTTTATTTCTTAAAGAGGAAAGTTAAAAATAAATCACAACTAAGTATTAGGGCAAAATTAATGCCGTGTCTTTAATCATGTAAATGCAAGCAAAAATCCCAAATGTAAAATCCCAAGGCAAACATAGCAGAACCCATTGTACCAGCAGAGAGGGAAAGAATACCATATTTATTAAATTTTTAAAAAAATATTTGCTAGGACATTGTATTGCAGTAGCACAGAGAGTCATGACTTTACATGTTCTGCCTTTCTATATGATTAAAATACCAATTTTGACACTGCATTAATTTCAACCAAAATTCACTCATTTTATGAAATATTCTTTAAAAATGAAGTATTATTCTAAGACTTAAAATGTGAAAAAGAATTACTTATCAGTGTTATTGGCTCACATAACATTTATAAAAAATGAAGAGACAGCTTGAAATGATTCTGAGGTCACACAGTAGAGACTTTAAGCTGTCCAGCCCCAATTCACACTTGGCACCTGGCAAACATTTAAACCACACATCTGTGAAACACTTAGCCATTCTTTGAGTAATAGGAATGCCTCATACAGAATCTACTCTGGTAGAGGAACCAGCTGGGCAGATGTGCCATTCATCACAAAGTGGAGGCCCAGCATTTTCATGGGGTGTGGAAGAGGCACCAGCAGTATTTTCTAGCCTCAATTGTCTCTTTGCCTACAGCTTTCTATCATTTACTTAACACTCAATTTCCTTTCACCTTTCACCATCACCATCATTGTTTTCAGTTCTTTTAGCTCAGAAAGTGTGGGCCTAATATTAATATCTGGATTGGTCAGTTCCAGAAGTTAAAGGTCCTTGCCAGCCTTAATCTAAAGTAAAACACACACACCCACACACACATGCATACACACAGATAGAGTGATTGCTTGTGAGCAATGTCCATTCAATCTGGGATCTATGAGATCCTTTAGACACTTTATTTCCTGTTTTGTTCTCTTAATTTCCCTGGTTTGGTTTCAATGTAGACTCAGGTCTGGTCAATAGATAATGTAGATACCGTATCACTGGCTTCTGAGAGTAATTGTTTTAATGAGGCATCTGACAGGCTCCTGTTGGTCCCCAGGAAGCACAGCAGAAGGGATTGTGTTTATAATCGACTCTAATCCGTTCTAATCTTTCACTTTAACCTCACCAAGAATTAAGTGATTGATTTTTGGTCTCTTGAAAGAAAATAAAGACCTCCTGAGACAAAACTTGGCAGCTGTCCAAAGACAAAGAAACAATTGAGGGCTGGCACCATTTGTACTTGGATATGGGGAACTGTCTTGGTCTAAGTAGGTCATTTCCCTCCCACCAGTTCTTGGTTCCTATTTGAGCACTCGCATTGTCCTGGGTCAGGAAAGTTAGACAGAATTTCACAATAATTTATCTACCTCAGCGTCAGACACCTGTAAGACAAAATATGGCAAATATGGCTAGGCCAGGTTATTCCTTGGCATTCTGCTTCCTCTAAGACGTATCTCACTCCCTTGACCTAAAGTCCAAAGGCTGTAGTTCCCAGATTACTGCTGTCAGACAGCAGGAACTACCCTTTTTCTCACTCCACTCAGAAAGACATGTTAGTTCCCCTCTAAAAAAGTTTATTTTCCCTATAAGTTGGTGTTGGCTGGAACAACAATGTGCTGTTGGGGTAAGAAGTAGCTGACTACTAAATTGGATGTTATTCACACAAGTGCTCATCTTTTAACCTACTAGTGAAATTGGGGCTGAAATGATAAACTAATGAAAATAGAGAACAATACGTAAGCATTGAGGGAAAGCTGACCTCCTCCTTCCTTACCTCTCTTGTCCCCTCCAAACTTCCTATTCTCACCATTCCTCAGCCACTTTTTTAGTTTCTATTTTTCCATATAGTTCAAATATGCAGTGCCAGAGGAGTGGTGTGCACAGAGACTGAACTTCAAGTCAGAAGGCAGAGGGAGAGGATTCTTTGGAGAACAAAAAAAGAGAATGAGAGATAGCAAGAGGGGGAAGCAATTAAGTATATTTGACAATAGACCCCATTGTCAGCATATTTAATTGTCTTCACGCATCTTTTTGTACCTAGGCACCTCAGCCTCCTAACATCACCACCTGGCCAAGTTGCAGCCTCCTATCCAGCATTCTCCTATCTTGCTCCCTAACACCAGGTACTGTTGATTTCAGTCCAAAGTCAGCCCTTCATCTTCAGTCACACTTTCACCTATGCTCAGAAATATTTTTTTTTTGCCTCCTGTCACCATCCTCCCACTAACTAGTCCAAAATTCCCTGTTCCACTTTCCTTAGGGCTCCTTCCTCACTGATTTTCACAAATAACCCATCTTCCCTTCTATTTATACATAAGGTTGGAGGTTCAAGTCAGAACTTCAACTTTCTTACTCTCCACATCTCAATTTTACCATAATTTCTCTGATAACCACCCTGCTATAGAGCAAAAACTTCCCTATTCAGTCTGCGTACCCCATCAGTGCTCTATTGCACTCTCTTAATCTCCCAAATACTTCCCTGTGAGTTTTTTCCTGTTTCTTGAATTATTAGTCTCTTCCTCTTCACTCTCTGCTTCCTACAACCTAATATAAATTTCGTCTTATGAAAAAAGTCTCATCCCAATAATACTTAACTGCTTCCCCCTCTTGCTATCTTTCATCCTCTTTTTTTTTCTCCAAAGAATCCTCTCCCTCTTTGCCTTCTGACTTAAAGTTTAGCCTCTGTGCACACCACTACCCTGGCACTGCATATTTGAACTTACTAGTGATAAATGAAGTTGGGAGTGTAGACAGAGAATAAAAGAAGAAAGAAAACAGGACTGCTGAAAGGTTAAGATTGCAAGAGTAGAAGATGGAATCACCTACGAAGAAGATGGGAAAAGGCTAGCCACAGAAGCGTGTATGGAGTTAGGAATGGGGGCAAGAGAGCACAGCCCTGGACTTACCCTGAAAGCCAGACCAAGGTCCACAGAAGCCCCACTTTCTGAGCAAAGGGTGTCAGGAGAGGAAAGAGCTAACCTCCATTCCAGCCAGGTGGGCTTTACCCAATAGGTCTGTGGTTGCATTGCTGGGACAGAGAGGTGAAGACCAGTGCAGCAGGTGTGAGGCTGGCCTTTGTCCTGCAAGACACTGCTGGATAGAGGGGACAGTCAGCTGCTAATGCCAGGGGGACCAGCAATCCTGGAAGGAGCTAATAGGAGATGAAGGAATCTTCTGGTTAAGAGATGTGGTGCCCCCTCACCTCTCTCTTCCTACCCATCCATCCACAACTTCTAGCCCCAGGAACTTTAATTTTTAACAAAGCATTACTAATATCTAGGTTTTGTACTGATTTGATTGCCTCCTGTTTTCTCGGCATCCATGTCAGAAGTGTCTTTGAAATTTAAATTAATGAAAAATATTGGGTTTTTTTCAACCTATCAGCAAACATTAGGACTTTTATTATCAAACTTACATTTATAAGAAGAGTAGCCAGACCAAGGCTCAAGTATAATTTAAACGGAAAAAAAAGTGCTTTATTGTTTTGTCACACTGAAGCCTTGAGCCACACAGATCAAGTTTATGTCAGAAAATTATTAAAGGACCAAGTCTACAACATGTGGATTTGGGGAGCATATGTCATATTTGATGTGGGAAAGAGGAATATCCCACAATTGGATATAAAGGATACGTCAAAGGCAAGTGTATTTCATAACAACATAAGAGGAAATGAGAGGGAAAATCAGTGCAGAAAGAATCTTTGAAACTTAACCAAAAGAAAACAGCTCCTCACTCAGATAGACAATACGGTCCCTGAGTAAATGTCATCTGTAAGAATATTTATCTTTGTGTTCCCACTTTCTTTGATGATATCATTATTCTAGGCAAAGATCATTCCTGTCCGGCCCGCAAACATCAGCAGCACATAAACACTAACTTGCTTAGGGAACTCCACTGGCAGCAGAGCCCAGGGAAATTGTGTCATCCATTTAAGATGTCTCATACCACAGACACACTGTTATCCCAGGCCATTGCTGGCTTCCTTGAAAGCAATAAGCAGACAATACAAGAAGCTGGCAGGAAATCCAGTATCTAAAACCCAATATGAGATTGTGGGCCCAATCTAATAAGAATAGATTCATCTGGCTTTATTCCCATTTTGTCACTTGCTTTGTGGGGAAAGTAAAACACGATAAAGCAGAGCATTATGGCAACCTCTGAGTGCATATTGACTCCTCATTCCCTGAACTTTTATGCTGAACATCTTGAATCATGCAAATTAGTGGGGACTCAGTTTCTTAGCTGTACCTTTCTTTCTATTACAGTGGAAGCTTAAGAGACTTTCTCAAGCTTAGCTTAAAAGATTCCAATATTGAATGTTCTGAGGCTTCTTTAAATTCACAAGTGAATTTGATGAAAATTTAGACATTCATCTGATGTATGTTAAAGAGTCTAGAGTCGTCATCACCCCAGGAAGCAACTGGGGCAGATGCATTGGCTAACTTTCCTATGACTTCTATGGGATCTATGCTTTTAATAAAACTTAAATTTGATTTGAACAAAATTGATAAGGGGTCAAAAGGACAGAGAATCTGAAGTTGAAGCTTCTTCTTGTTTAGTAAGGGGTTTTGTTTCTTTTAAGCAGATGGATTTATTAAGATTTTTATAGCATTTCTGTGCTCAAACCAGTAGATCTGTGTATTGGGTAGCTGTTTACTTTAGACTTTTATGTAAGCCCTAGCAAGATCTTCTCATTAATCCAATCACAGCAGCAGGCTGTGATTAATTTACTGCAGCATTGATTTTTTAAGGAGCATTGAAAAGACCTCCTTAGTTCAGGGAGAAAAAATGCATTAAGGGATTACAGACTACATCTGCCAAAACTAAGATATTTATTCATATAATTTATTATAATTTTCTGTTTTACATGGCCTATCATTTTCTATATATTTCATGGAAATCTTATATTTTATAACTTAATGGCAGGCCAAGTCATTTGGTGATGACTATTAAACTCGTATTGAATCAATGAACTAGGAGGCCATTTTCATTTATGTAATCTTTAGCAGTTTACCATTTTACTAATGAGGAAATGCAAGCCCAGAAAATTAAATGACCTATCTATCCAACATCACTGAGTTGGAGGAGAGCTATATCTAGAAACTGCCTTCCTTCCCTTGACTCCTCTCTCTTGCTTCTTACTTTTCTTAGCATTATTGTGACTTTGTTAGCTGTGCTATGGGCCAGACACTACACCAGAAACTTTCACATATGTAATCCCTTTGAATTTTCACAGCAATCTTGAAGGAAGGCATTGTCATTACCATAATTTTATATGTAAGGAAACTAAAGCTGAAAGAATTTAAGTTACTTGACCAAGGTCATTCAACTAAAAGCTGGGTAAATCCTAGATACTAAGCTAAAGTTTGTTTCCACCCAAATTCTAAGCTCCTAATTGTACCCCATACATAACATTGCTTAGAAAGATGACATTGCAGTGTTCTGCCACTTTTGCCATTTCCCCAACTTCTTCCTTAGGGCAAAAGGTGACTTTCTAAATTGTTCATGATGTGAGCTCAAATCTTTGCCTGAAAATCACTTTCTTTGACCACCTTTTGTTCCATATATCACTGACTGTCTTAGGGGTCCAAAACAGAGCTGGGAACTTTGGTTAATGATGGATGGCACTAACCAGTATACAGATCACTCTTCTTCAGCTCTTTTGAATCTGTACAGTTGATACGGGGAAAGAAAAATAAGTTCACATTTGTTTTCATCAAGGAAAGAATTAGGCAATTCATATAAAATAACATTTTGGCCAAAAGTTGTTGTTATCATTAGAAAAACAAAAAGGACTATGCATTTTATGCTAAGAATAGCTTGTTTTGCACCTGGCTTACTTGGATGCCAGGCACTTTACATGTCATCAGTCTTCACACATACCCATTTAAGAGATGCTAGAACACAGAGGCTTAGAGAGATTTAGCATTGCTGCAGGAAGTCAGGGACCCCAAACAGAGGGATCGGCTGGAGCCACGGCAGAGGAACATAAATCATGAAGATTTCAGGGAGAGTTATCAGTTCCCTAATAATACTTTTATAATTTCTTATGCCTGTCTTACTTTGATGTCTTAATCCTGTTATCTTTGTAAGCTGAGGATGTATGTCACCTCAGGAACACTATGATAATTGTGTTAACTGTACAAATTCATGGTAAAATATGTGTGTTTGAACAATATGAAATTAGTGCACCTTGAAAAGGAACAGAATAACACTGATTTTTAGGAAACAGGGGAAGACAACCATAAGGTCTGACTGCCTGCAGGGTCGGGCAAAAAGAGCCACATTTTTCTTCTTGCAGAGAGCCTATAAACAGACATGCAAGTAGGGAAGATATCGCTAAATTCTTTTCCTAGCAAGGAATATTGATATTAATACTCTGGGAAAGGAATTCATTCCTGGAGGAAGGTCTATAAATGGCTGCTCTGGGAATGTCTACCCTATGTGGTTGAGATAAGGACTAAGATAAGCTCTGGTCTCCTGCAGTACCCTCAGGCTTACTAGGATTGGGAAATTCCATCCTGGTAAATTTTTGGTCAGACTGGTTCTCTGCTCTCAAACCCTGTTTTCTGTTAAGATGTTTATCAAGACAATATGTGCATCACTGAACATAGACCCTTATCAGAAGTTCTGCCTTTTGCCCTTTGTCCTGTTTCCTCAGAAGCATGTAATCTTTGTTCTGCTTTTTGCCCTTTGAAGCATGTGATCTTTGTGACTTATTCCTTGTTCGTACATCCCCTCTCCTTTTGAAATCCTTAATAAAAACCTGCTGGTTTTGAGGCTCGGGTGGGCATCACAGTCCTACTGACATGTGATGTCACCCCCGGTGGCCCAGCTATAAAATTCCTCTCTTTGTATTCTTTCTCTTTATTTCTCAGCCAGCCGACACTTATGGAATATAGAAAGCACCTACGTTTAAATACTGGGGGCAGGTTCCCCTGATATCTGGCACACCAATGTGGTTTTCTTTTTCCTAAGTGCATGTGGGAACCCAATTCCCTTTGGTAGGTGTGGAGAAATTTTCATTGGGCTGGCACACAGAAATGCTTGTTCAGCTCCCTGATGATTGGTGAGTTGTCTGTGTATTGTCCAGGGTAACTATGGGTCACATGGAGTCTAAACATTATGCTTATCTCTGCTATATTAAATTCCTGTTAAAACAGGGAGGAGTTTGAGTGCCCATAGAAAATATGGTCACCCTATTCAGGGCGGTGGAAGAACACTGTCCTTGGTTTCCTAAAAAGGGAATATTAGAACTCCACAGTAGGGGGCAGGGCGGTCGATCTCTGTAGTACCAGTCCTCTAAATTTACTACCTAATTCTTTCCCTTTAATTGTCCCCACGGGGGTTATTGGCCCTTTACCTCAAGGTTCAGTGGGCCTGGTGTTAGGCAGGGCATCCACCTCTGCTGACGGTATCATAGTTCATACTGGTCTCATTAATTCTGATTCCTCTGATGAGATTAAACTTATGGTGTCTGCCAAAGTTCCTGTTTCCATTTTGGCCGGTGAGTCAATTGCTCAATTACTTTTACTACCTAATATTATTTTAAACAAAGGAGATAAGACATGGGGCCCTGCGATGGGCTCCGGCAGTGAAAAAGCTGCTTATAGGATTAATGTAATTTCTAAACAACAGCCCACCTGCACCATACACATTCAAGGAAAAAAGTTTGACGGCCTAGTAGATACTGGGGCTGATGTTTCTATTATTTCCTCTAATTTATGGCCTTCCTCCTGGCTTAAACATCCCGCTAACATGGGACTAGTAGGTGTTGGAAAAGCTGATGAATTTCACCAGAGCACATTTATCTTGCCTTGCACTGGTGCTGATGGTCAAAAGGGTACAATTCAGCCTTATATCACACCAACCCCCATTAATATTTGGGGTAGAGATTTGCTGGCGCAGTGGGGGGCTGAAATTAATATTCCATGTAACTCTTATAGTGTTCCCAGTCAACATATAATGGAAAACATGGGGTTTGTTCCCAGACTTGGTCTCGGTCCAAGACATGAAGGAATTACTAAACCTCTTCAAGTTACTGTAAAAGAAGACAGGGCTGGTTTAGGTTATCCCTTTTAATGACGGCCACTGCCATGCCTCCTAATCCTGTAACTTTGTAATGGAAATCTGAAACACCTGTTTGGATTCAGCAGTGGCTGCTCTCTAAAGAAAAACTGGAGGCTTTAACTCAATTGGTTTCTGAACAGTTATAAGTTGGAAATGTGGAACCGTCTCTTTTGTCCTGGAATTCTCCTGTGTTTCCAGTAAAAAAAAAAAAAAAAAAAAAAAAAAATTCAGGTGAGCGGAGGATGGTAACTGATTTAAGGGCCATTAATGCTGTAATTAAACCTATGGGACCTGTCCAACCCGGCGTGCCTGCCCCTGCTTTAATACCTAAAAATTGGCCTCTCATAGTGATTGACCTTAAAGACTGTTTCTTTCATATTGTTTTACATAAATCGGATTGTGAAAAATTTGCTTTTACTGTACCATTATCAATAATCAGGAGCCTGCAGCTCATTATGAATAGAAAGTACTTCCTCAGAGACAGGCTGTGGTGGAATGGGCCAATCGCACTTTCAAAACTCCATTGTCCAAACAGTCTGAGCAACAAAAGCATAATGTAACCACTCCCCACTCCCAATTACATTTAGCATTGTTTACTTTAAACTTTCTAAATGTTCCTAAAGACAATACTCTGACTGCAGCTGAACGCCATTATACAGGGAAAAAATTCTCCCTAAATGGAAGCAAGCCAGTATTATGGAAAAACTCCCAGACCAATACCTGGGAACCTGGAACAATTTTAATGTGGGGACGAGGGTATGCTTGTGTTTCACCTGGAGATCATCAATCCCCTGTCTGGGTGCCCACTAGAAGACTTAAACTTCCTGTAAATACTGACAATGAAAACCACAAGGAAAAGACATCTGCGTCAGAGACCGCCATCATACCTGGTGAGATCTGTGCCGACTCTGCAGAAACTGGCATGCCAAATCAAAATGGGTCTGGTTTAATCCTCCCTAATGGCAATGGAGACCCCTCTAACTAATCCCACTTCTCCTAATTCCCTTTCTTTTTCTCCTTATGAACCTAAAAATCTCGCCATTTCTATTAGTCTGAAAATAACAACCCTCTGTTCTTCTCTTCTTCCTTCAGCACTGGACCTTGCTTAAATTGGTTTTATTTAATAATTCTCCTCCTTATACTTTCTGTCTCACCAGTTTCCCCTCAAACTGATTTACCTGCTACACAAAATTATTCTTATTGGGCTTATGTGCCTTTTCCTCCACTTATTCGAACTTTCACCTGGATGGATGCTCCTGAGGAAATCTATACTAACGATCGTGTGTGGATGCCTGGAGCTAGAGATGACCGTTGCCCTGCTCAACCAGGAGAAGAGGGCATTGCATTTAATGTTACTATGGGTTATAAATACCGTCCTCTGTGCCTCGGACATGCACCTGGTTGTATCCATCTAGAAACTCAAGTCTGGTCTGCTTATCTTCCAGAGAGATTAGCTACAAGGGAAGGAGGACATTTGGTCTCCGGCCTCTCCCTTTCTCCTTTAAGACAAATAAAAAGGGGAGTAATAGGAGATACCCCATACTTTCAATATAAACCTGTAGGAAAACCATGTCCTAAAAATTTTGAGGGCCCATCTAAAACTTTAATTTGGGAAGACTGTGTTAACTCACATGCAGCAGTATTAAAAAAAACCCATATGGTTTAGTAATAGGCTGGGCACCAAAGGGCTATTTAAAAAACAATTACTCCTCTGGCAGAAGGGAATGCCTGGAGGGTACTTATTTTATTTCTTATTGGGAGGGCGAGGATCATCATCCTACTTTGCGTAGGAGGTTCAGCTCATTCTTTCCCTTAAAATGGGAATATAAGGGCATTACCCCCCACCTGAGGCCTCATATGATATTCCCCATTCTGAGCCCAGAACACCCAGAACATAGGAAATTGGCTATTGTCATGTCCAGACTCTGAGTATGGGAGGGGGAAACTTTTCTGTCTGTTGTCCCCACTACCGCCCCTTGCATCCGTGATTCTGAACCCCATGGTAAATCCCCTTTGAACCCTTTTCCTCTTTTTGATGCTGATCCTACTTTATGGGACTCCAATTGGCATAATAATAATTCTTCTCAACCCGGGTATACCCCTCCACCTCTTCAGCATCCCTGGGCACCTCAGATTGCTTCTTTACAGCGGAGAACATCGGGCATTGCCACCACCACTCCTCTCCCTCAGTATCGACATAGATTCAAACATTCTGCTTTGTTTACCTCCAACCTGACTATTCCTATACAGAGTTGTGTTAAGCCTCCTTACATGCTGTTAATGGGAAATATCAAAATTTGGACAAACAGTCAAACTGTCCAATGCAATAATTGTCATTTATACACTTGTGTTCATTCCCATTTTGACTTCAGGAAAAGTGTAATGTTGGTTCAAACTCAAGAAGGAATCTAGATACCAGTAACTTTACCCAGACCTTGGGAATCTTCCCCCTCAGTACATTTAATTAATGAAGTGTTACAACGAATTCTCAAAAGATCTAAGAGATTTGTTTTCACTGTAATTGCTGTGATCATGGGCCTAATTACAGTCACTGCACTGGCCACCACTGCCAGAGTGGCATTACACCAATCTATTCAAATGGCTCATTTTGCTAATGATTGGCAAGCCAGTTCCACCCAAATGTGGAATTCTCAACAAGGCATCGATCAAATATTAGCTAATCAAATTAATGATTTAAGACAGTCTGTTATTTGGCTTGGGGATCGGCTTATGAGTCTCGAACATCACATGCAAATGCAGTGCGATTAGAATACTTCTGATTTCTGTATCACACCATATTCCTACAATGAGACTGATCATTCATGGGAAATGGTCAAAGGACACCTTCTGGGTAGGGAAGATAATTTATCCTTGGACATAACTAAACTAAAGAAACAAATTTTTGAAGTCTCTCAAGCTCATTTATCCATTGTGCCTGGAGCTGAGGCGTTAGATCAGGTGGCAGAAAGTCTTTCTGGACTAAATCCCACAATTTGGATTAAGTCTATTGGGGGCTCCACTGTAGTAAATTTTGGGATTAGGTTTCCCTGTTTAATCAGCTTGTTTTTAGTGTGCCAGACCAGTCAAAGAATCCTGTGTCAAAACCAAGAGAACGAACAAGCCTTCATCACCATGGCACATTTATATAAAAAGAAAGGGAGAGAAGTTGCGAGAAGTCAGGGACCCCGAATGGAGGGAACAGCTGGAGCTGCGGCAGAGGAACATAAATTGTGAAGATTTCATGGACATTTATCAGTTCCCAAATAATACTTTTATAATTTCTTACACCTGTTTTACTTTAATCTCTTAATCCTGTTATCTTCGTAAGCTGAGGATGTACATCACCTCAGGACTACTATGATAATTGTGTTAACTGTACAAATTCATGGTAAAACATGTGTATTTGAACAATATGAAATCAGTGCACCTTGAAAAAGAACAGAATAACAGCAATTTTTAGGGAGCAAGGGAAGGCAACCATAAGGTCTGACTACCTGTGGGGTCAGGCAAAAAGAGCCATATTTTTCTTCTTGCAGAGAGCCTATAAACGGACATGCAAGTAGGGAAGATATCGCTAAATTCTTTTCCTAGCAAGGAATATTGATATTAATACCCTGGGAAAGGAATTCATTCCTGGAGGGAGGTCTATAAACGGCCACTCTGGGAATGTCTGTCCTATGTGGTTGAGATAAGGACTGAGATACGCTCTGGTCTCCTGCAGTACCCTCAGGCTTACTAGGATTGGGAAACTCCATCCTGGTAAATTTTTGATCAGACTGGTTCTCTGCTCTCGAACCCTGTTTTCTGTTAAGATGTTTATCAAGACAATATGTGCATCACTGAACATAGACCCTTATCAGAAGTTCTGCCTTTTGCCCTTTGTCCTGTTTCCTCAGAAGCAAGTGATCTTTGTTCTGCTTTTTGCCCTTTGAAGCATGTGATCTTTGTGACCTCCTCCCTGTTCATACATCCCCTCCCCTTTTGAAATCCTTAATAAAAACCTGCTGGTTTTGAGGCTCAGGTGGGCATCATGGTCCTACCGATATGTGATGTCACCCCCAGCAGCCCAGCTGTAAAATTCCTCTCTTTGTACTCTTTCTCTTTATTTCTCAGCCAGCTGACACTTACGGAAAATAGAAAGAACCTACATTTAAATATTGGGGGCAGGTTCCCCCGATATAGCTTCTGTGTAAGGCCACAGCTAGAAAGTGGCAGAGCCAAGAACCAAAGTATATCTGATATGCCTTGGATCCATGTTCTGTACAAGATTTTCTCTGTGCTGAACAGCCCAAATTAGCACAGGTTATACATGTATATACACATGTGTATATATATGTATATATATATATCTCTCTCTGTAAAGTCTTAGGTGTGATTTTCAAAAATGATTTTGGATTCTGACATGGCAAAACAAGCCCCAGTGGAGAGGATTTTGATGCCTTTCTATCAATTACTTCTACTGGGGGTATAGACAGGAAGTGTCTGGAGGCCAGGCTGGATGCTGCTTAGTCTCTGCAGCTTAGAGGTCAGTACCGAGAAACCACACCTGTTGAAAGGTTGGCTGTTGGTGCAAATCACTGAGGAGGAAGACTCCACACTGCTTGTCTCTACTGTCAAAAGAGAGGATTCAACACTGTGGGAAACTTGTGCCATCCCAGGATTGCTATGGATTCATTACTTTTTTACTTTTAGCACATGTTCCTTTTTCTCTAGCCACACTTAGATATTTTTTCTTAATTTCTGTTCTCAATATCCAGGACTTTTGGCTTTCATTTTCTGTTTAAAAATATATTCTCAAATCTTCTATGATATGATAAGATCTTGATTTAATTTCTCAATACCCACTAACCATCCACTTAGACTTCTGTCCAATTCTTGAAAAATATTACTTCTATTTTGAAAAGGTTTTCATTCTTCTAGTTTTTGTGTTTAACTTCTTACCTCATGTTTCTTATCACAGGGGCAATAGTAAGACAGAGAGCCCACACAATGGAGCATAAAACTTCTTTTGTTTAGGCATTGGGAGGATGGTTCTCCAAAAAGCCTCCTTCTGAGCTACTTAGACTATTGATGGTTCATCTCATGTGGGAGTATGTCTTAAATCAAGGCCCCTGGAAAACAGACACTGTGGTGAAATTTGCCTACAAAAGCTTTATCAAGAAGTGCTCTTGAGAACAACACCTACAAGGGAGTGAGGGAAGCAAGAGGGGATGGAAGGAGAAGCTGCCTTCCAACGAAGTTGCAACAGAAGCCTCAGCCCTTCCCACAAGACAGCTCTAGAGCTGGGATGTCCCTTTAGAGTTATCAAGAATTGAGGCACAAAGCCAGACCTTTGTGCATCCTCCTTCATTATCCACTCATTACCAGTGGGCTGTTCCCAGGGAGAAAGCAAAAACTTAGAGAGGCAGCTTTCTTTAGATTAAGGAAATTCTTGGAAAGTGATGCAGCTATGAGCCATCAGCAGGCAACACTCCCAGCAGCAGAAAAAATTAGTGCTTCAGTCGTGAACGGGGAAATGGGACAGTGCACCACAGTATCCACTACACGCCTCCAGTTTTCTCAGTGTTGATAGCATGCTTAATTTGCTGAAAATATTTTACTTCATTATATCTTTAGTGGGATTAATGGTGACCCCTCAAGATATATGTGAAAAGCACCTGTAAATATGATCTAATTTGGAAAAAGGATTTTTGCAGATGTAATTAAATTAAGGATCTCAAGAAGAGATCCTCCTGAATTAATGGGGTGGGCCTTAAATCCAATGACTAATGTCCTTATAAGAAACAGAAGAGGAGATGACACAGGGAAAGGAGGAGAAGGCCATGAGAAGACTGAAATAACTGGAATGAAGCTCACAGCCCCAGAAGCTGGAAGAGTCAAGGAACAGTTTGTCCCCTAGAGCCTTTGGAGGAAGCATAGCCCTGCTAACACCTTGATTTTGGACCTCTAGTCTTCATATTTGTAAGAAACTGAATTTCTTTGATTTTAAGCCACCAAGTTTGTGGTAGTTTGTGACAGCAGTCCTAGAAAACTAATACAACATCTTATACCATTTAATCGTTACATAAAATTTGTATTCTTAAAACCCTCAATAGGAGGGAGAGTGGCATCGAGATACTTATATCCCTAGGTTTCTAACTGAGGGGTTGCCAAGGCTTGGCTACACATCCATGATGAAGGCCACAGTTCCTGTTGGGAGGCTCTCTCCCTGCAGCTACCCTCTCTCATGGCTGTCTCCCATTTCCCTGCAGTCATAGGAAAGAAAGTGGCTTCCCAATGTTGCTAGCCCCTAAGAACTATGCTACCCCTGGTCTCCCCTAAGCCCTACTACATCTTTATATATAGCCCCTATATTAAACTCTATTCAATTATCACTTTTGAATGTGCCTTCTGTTTTCTACTGAGACTAGACTGGCTTGTCAACTCTGGGGTAATTTAGCTCCCAGGGAGCAATGACTTCAGTCAATGCTAAGCCACTAGTGACAGCAAAAGTTGTATTGCAGCTTTTCTGAGATTTTGTAATATTATGTGCCTATATGTAAGAGACCTGGATTTTATAATACTCATTTTCCCATAGTTATAGCATTAGATCCCTTAACCCTCTGGCTTTCAAAAAAAAGAATCTTGTCATTGGTAGAGATAGGTTTGTCATCCTTATTTTTATCTATCTTAAGTACTGCTATTGAATTCCATCCCTTAGGTAACAAGAATTTCTCTATTTTCTACAGTTGATTTGAGCACTTGGAAAGCCAGTCACAAAATGTCTTAAGATTTATATTCTCTCTGGCAGGGCAAATATGGTCTGCTTTTTTATGTGCTGCTAATTTCCTTCATCTCACATACTCCACAGGAGACCTACGGGTGATAATTGGTGGCAGATCTAATGGGCTCCTTGAACTGCTCATAGCTACTCTGGGCATCCCTCTTCTTGATAACGCTGAGATAATATCATGGGAGAAGAGATATTATTTATCTTTGTCTCCTGTACAGATCAATCCTAGTGCCAGACATTTAAGTGGAGCTCAGTATTTGTTGAGACACTCAGCAAAATTAAGAATATATCTTATTTTTAGAACTCTGACTAGTTTATTTCAATTTTGTGGACCTTGTGAAATGTGTATGCTGTATTATTTCTATTGATGGGAAATGGATTTACTTACTCAAGAGTTTCATCAAAAAATATTCATATAGTGTCTATTATGTGCTCAATACCATTCTCGGGGCTAGAAATATAGCAGTGGAGTAATCAGACAGCCTTAGCATGCATTCTCCACAAAAGCACAGCCTGAGACAAGGGCCTGCCTACAGTTACTTTGGGATGTAATCGCATGGAACAGGAGTGGGGGTGAAAAAGAGTGAAACAGGGAAGGAGGGCAAGTCAATGCAAGGGTGCAATATCAAGCAGCTTACACTATGGTCCACTGTTGTCTGGGTCCCTCTGGGCACTTTCTTAGGATCTGTGTAGAACGCATCTTAGAATCTTTCACCTGAGCAACACAAGCTCCTGTTCCCCATTGATCAAAGGTTGCCCGATGAGGTGTTGACTCCCTGCACTTCCAAGGTCACGCATGTGTATGCATGGATGAGTGGAATGAGG
This sequence comes from Homo sapiens, assembly GCF_000001405.40. Taxonomy (NCBI): domain Eukaryota; kingdom Metazoa; phylum Chordata; class Mammalia; order Primates; family Hominidae; genus Homo; species Homo sapiens. The sequence continues at coordinate 111,533,883 of NC_000003.12, forward strand.
CCTCCACCCCCACCTATCCCCCTTCCCTTGCTGAGGAGGCAGAGATGCCCAGGTCAGAAAGTAAGAGATATTTAGGGCAGCTGAGGAGAGGTGCTTTCAGGCTTACATTTGAGCAGCCTGTTGGACCCATGACAGCTGGAATGAAAAGGTGGGTGTGATATTGTGATGTAATAAGAATTATGTATTTGGTCTCTGTCCCCGGTTCCTGGCACACAACCCCTGAAACTCTTGGAACCTCTTAAGTGATAGATGTCTTTGTGTATGCTAGCAAGATGACTGATGACTGGGGCCTCTGGGATAGCCTCAGGATGGGAGGCTGGTTACCAGGGGAACCAACCATGTGATTAGAAGGTTGAAACTTTCAGCCCCACACCCTGACCTCTGAGGAGGGGAGGGGGCCTGAAGGTTGAGCTGATCACCAATGGCCAATAATTTAATCAATTATGCCTATGTAATAAAGCCTCCATGAACACAAAAGGACTGGGCTTGGGGAGCTTCCGTATTGCTGAACAGGTGGAGGTGCTGGGAGAGAAGAGCACCTGGAGACGGCGCAGAAGCCCTGCACCCTTCCACATACCTTGCCTTATGCATCTTTTCCATCTGCTGGTCATCTTCATCTTTTATAACATTATTTACATGGGTAAACATAAGTGAACTGTTTCCCTGAGTTCCGTGAGCCACCCTAGCAAATTAGTTGAACCTGAGAAGGGGGTCATGGGAACCCTGAATTATAGCCAGTCAATCAGGAGCACAGGTCACAAGCTGGGACTTGTAACTGACATCTGAAGTGAGAGACAGTCTTTTGGGACTAAGCCCTCAATCTGTGAGATCTGACACTATATCTGGGTAGATATGTGTCAGAATAAAATTATAGGACATCCAGTTGGTGTCGACTAGAAAACTGAAAAACTGCTTGGTGTGTGAGGGAAAACCGCCAGACAGCTGGTGTCAGAAGTGAAGTGCTGAGTGACTGCAAGGGAGTAGGAAAACCACGTTGATCTTTTCCTAACTTTAATGGTGGGTTGCAAAAATGTTTGGTGAGTCAAGAAGTGACTAATACATAAAGCTCCTGTCCTTCCCAGGCAAACGCTCTAGTGGAAAGTGACAATATACCAAAAAAACAAATAAATAAATAATCAACTTAATGTCTCATGCAAATAAGCCCTGTGAAAAAAACACAGTTGTTGCTGTGACAGAGGCCCATGACAGGGCTCCTTTAGATAGCCATGAAATTCAGGAAAGGCCTCTTTGAGGTGAGGACATTTGAACAACCACAGAATGAGAGAAAATATTCATGTATGTAGCCTGTGGAAGAGTTTTCCAAGCAGGGCAAATGCAAAGGCCCCGAGGTTGGAAGGACACAGAGAGCTTGAGGGACAGAAAGGAAAGAGTAGGAGGGTTGTGATACGTGAAGGAGCATGGGGTGAAGGAGGGAGGAGAGGTAGCCAGGAGCTCGTGGGGCCTTTAGGGCCATTAGCTGTGGTCAAGCATGCGTATGCCCTAGAGACATAAGAAAAGGGGAACTTGGACATTTACAGAGTTGATATTTGAAGTGTTCATCTCTCACAGGTAACTGTCATGGTCCCTGACACATTGTTCTTTGATATTTTATTTTACCAAGTGATACATCTGAATTATGTGTGCTGTGAATCACTCTGCAGGAGAGTGAGCCTAGTTAACAGCCAACACCCAAATTTCGACCTCATTTTGTGGACTTTTATTCATGATCATGTAAGTAGTAACACTCATGATCTGATTAATGTTCATTTCTGTATGAAAAAAAAGGTCAAGATAAAGCCAACCACTTCAATACTTTAAATATACATAACTATGACTTCAGGATGCATTTCCCACTGTTGGGCACCAGGTCTTGATTTATAAAATAAGGGAGTTGATTCTCCTGAGTTTCTATGGGTCTACATGGCTAAAGTGTGAAACTGATAAAATACTATTAATTCCAAGTAGATTCTAACTTTCTCTGAAGCAATAAGACATACTATTATTTTAGAAAAAAAGAGCTTTGAGGATCTTCAGCTTGCTTAAAAGAAACCTCCACACGGAGCGTTTTCTATAGTTTTTCTCCATCCTCCTCTAGCACCCCTGGAAATGTGGCCTTCCTCACTATGTGCTGGGTTATTAGAGAAGCTTCCCCATTAAGTTACAGTCATGTATATTGGAGATAGAGGAGAGGCTCAAAAGAGAAAGAGAGTTTGGAGATGTAAATATGAGACCCATAGTATCTTCCCTGAGCAAAACCAAAGGGAATAATAAATGGCTAAAGAACAGTGAAAATAAAGTAAAATTGATGCTGAGTTATATAACACTGGAATGAAGCTAATTCAATACCTTTAATTAAAAAATAGCATGCTTGGTTTCACCCAGAGTCAGTCAGAATTTCTCCAGGAAATTAAATTTAAAAGCAAGCAAGAGAACAAACAAAAACTTCTCAAAAATATATATATATAATTGTTTGAGATAAAAATCTATTTATTGTGTGTGTATGTATAGTTGAATATATATAAATCCTTATTTTTTCCTCTGTGACATACAGGTGTAGTTTTGTCAATAGAAATGTCATGGGAATGAAAAAAAATGTACGCTTTTTGGATTGCTTCTTATTTGTCAAGATATTAGAGGCAATTTGCATTTTAAATTGAAGAATAATTGGTTTTTATTATTGAATATGTTATGAAGCTCAATGTATTAATGGTGTAAAAGACTCATCGTAACTAGCACAGGATTTTTTATAAGAGACACTTTGATCTTGGGCAGGACATTTTACCTCTTCGGGTGTCATTTATTTCATCTGTAAAATAAAGGGCTCAGTCTATGCTAAATGACCAATACAGTTTCTTCTAACTCCAACATTCTGTAGGTTTTGGTAGGAAATAGAAAACCTATGTGTGCAAGCATGCTCATGCCTCTGCTTTTAACACTTTCACAAAACAGGCAAATCTTTACAAAGTTAGACTTCTTTTCTGAAGGAGAGAGCATATTTTTATGCACAACTGTCTTCTTGTTTGTTATGATTACTTTCTGGGGACTGTGGTTCAGAACAAAGTCCCTGGTCTCTGTAAGATCTCCAATCTTGAAATAAAATTATATTCATGATAAGGTTTTCATTGAGCCAGAAATGTGAAACAATGCATTTTTAAAAGATGTTCACCAACAAGGACTAATTTCTATCCTACTTACTTCTCCTCCCCAGTACTACCCCTCCTCTTCCAAGAAAAGAATTTGGTTTGGCTCTCATTTGCCCAGGAAATGCTATTAATCGCAATCTCCTATTCCCTGATAACATTACTTAATTGAGGTTTTATTGAGCTATACCATTACTCAAAGCAACAAATACAAAAGTGTGCTTTCTGTCCTCTCTCTGTCTCTCTGTCTCTCTGTCTCTCTCTCTCTCTCTCTCTGTCTCCCTCCCTCTCTTGCACTTCTGCATGCCCTATTTCTTTCACTCTTGTCCTCAAATGCAGGACTCCATTTAAAAGGAAATTACTGGGGGAAATAACAGGGAACAGAGGGGTGATTCAGTCCTTGGTTGACCTTACCTAGTCTATTGTTTTCACCAAGTACAGAAACACGACAGTTTCTATGTGAACTATAGTTGTAAAAATACAATGTGATTAAGAATATTATTGTAGCAGTCTATCAAAGAACCACAGTATATGATTTTGCTCCACACTATCTATTTTTAAGCTATAAAATCAATTGCAACCCTTCTCATTTTTCAAGGTGTTCTTTCTTTCTTCATTGACTATGAAGAGACATTTTAATAAATTTTAATGTTTTGAAGCCAGGTAGAATGTAGAACTTAAAATATTTCTTCTAATTCTGGCTATGCTAACTTAACCTTGGAAATATTAATGGTTTCTTCAATGTATTTCTGAAAAAATCAACATTTTGATTACTGAGTTATTAAATTGCCAGGGCTTTGGCAATTTCAAAATATCTCTGTCTCTGTCTCTTTCTCCATCTCTCTCTCTCTCTCCTTGTTTCAGTTTGCTACTCAAAATAAATATTCAAAGATTACTTATTATAATTATCTAATTGAATTATATAATTTTATTTCTGAAAGTAAAATGCCAGGTGGAAATTTTATATATATCTTACCTAAAATTATTTTTTGTACATCTATAAAATGAATTTTTAACATGCATGTGGTAAAAATTCATTTTCTTTATATGTACATGTTTATGAAGAAATCTAGACAAATATACACCATATAGGTCTTGGTAGTCTTTGGGCAGTTAGAATTCTTTCTTATCCATTTAAATTTTCTTTCTTATCCATTTAAAATGGTTTCATGTAATGAGCAGATATTGATGTTGTAACTGAAAAAGAAGTATTAAACTAAAATTAGTCTTTCATGGATGGAATTCGGCATGGTGAAAATGGTGATAAAACAGATTGCTATGCTGAAAGTCTCATGAAATTCTTTTTCATTACATGCTAACTCATAAAACTCATAAAATTTGAGTGAAAACCAAAAGAACTCTACTCTGATGAAGGCAGGACTGCTAGCTGTGCCATAATAGGTTATCTTTCACATCCATCAAAAATCTATTGATCATTTAATAACTGCTCCTTGATTAGGGTGGTTCTTCCAGCAAGAATCCAACTCTGTTTGTTTTCCCTTTTTCCTAATTCTGAGGCATGAAACTTTATAGGATATTTTGATTCCATGCCCAATCGTACATCTCACCTTACAGCCTCTTTATTGGTAATGACCTTGCTTTCATCATGCTTCGCCATGCCAGTCAGCCCATTCTCATCCTAAAGTGCCCAAAGAAACATAAACTCCTAACAAGTCTTCTGTTTCTCTGTTCTCCTTTCTTCCATTCATTTCACACACGCCCACCCAATTTATCCTTTTAAAATGTTACTTTAAATATATGACTCATATGCTGAAATATCTTTAGGGAGTCTCTCTGACATGAGGAAAAAACCCACACCCTTTAGCCTAGAATTCAAAGCTCTTGGACAGCTTTGTCTGCTCCAAGTCCCCTAATACAGCCTCTGCTAAACCGGAATAGCCCACTCACTAAATGGCCTTGAACTTCAACACTGTCAAGTGTTGGCTCTTCCTGTTTCTTCTGCCTGGAATGACTTAGCTTGCGGTTTCTACCAGTCTGACGCCTATAGGGCCAAGTTTAGATTCCATACTTCATATGCTCTTGGCCCACTCTACCCCTAAGATAACTCCCCCTTTGCTAAAATCCTGCCCTACCTTCTCATTTGGGCTGTGCTTTATGCTGCTTGACTTTTTTGGTGCACATGGATGCTTCCTCCCAGCTAAATGGTAACTGCCTTAAAACTGAGGGTTGTGTTTTATCTTTGGTATTTTAAAATTATCTAGAACTATGCCTCTTCAGTAATCTCTTAAGAATTGACATACAGCAAGTATTTTTTAATTAACTGAAACCTTAACCATCATGTTTTCTAAGCATTTTGGAAAACATGCAAAAGTATAGCACTCCCATTTTTATTTTTAGTAAGTGTTTAAAGATAAGTAAGTAATATTTGAGTTAACCATTATGAAAACCACAAAAGTAAGTTTACCTTTTGCTCAACTTCCTGTTTCTGAAAATGTCCTTTTCTCACTGAGTGTGTTTAGCTAGAGCATTTAAAAAGTTTGTCCAAAACACACAATCATGGCTTGCCTTTAGCAGAAATAATGTGTGTTCCTGCTTCTCTTTGTAAATAATTGAATTTGCCTCTGCAGTTCAAGAAGATCACGATTTCTTTTTGTGTGTGAAACTGACTTGCTTCTGTTTTCTCCTTATGTGCAGCAGACTATAAGGCAGAAGAAACCCTGTGCAATCGGGATATGGTGGGTAGGGAGGATAATAGAAGAGATTGACATGACTTCCATAGAAGAGTTATTTTTAAGTATAGAGAACGCCTGTCTATCCCCATGCTGAAAGAGCCTTTAGAAAATATTACCAGGATTGAAAGGCGGTGGGGGCAATTCCCATCACCTGGGATAGCCGTGCCAGTCTGCGGAGTGTTGCTGCCACCTGCTGCATGCAAACAGCCATGGAGGGGCTGTTGCCTGGGTCTTGCAGCTGCAGGACACCCGAAGTGTAAGCGTTCAGTTAATATTCTGTGGCCATGCATCTGAAATTGTTATACTTTCAGAACCTGTGTGGATCCCAAAGAAAAATTAATCAAATCTGATGGCTTCAGGCCATAGAAGTTTCTAGATATAAGAATCATTAACTAAGCCCTGAACAATACACAGAAGACAGATTTGCCGTATAGCCACTAAATGCATGGCTCAGGTAGCCCAACCCCAATGAGAGGCAAGAATTCTACTGAAAGTAAGTCTGTAGCACTGGAAAATAAACGACCATTTCCATGTTTCTGAGTTTACAGACTTTTTTGGAACAACTGTTTCACTTTAATACAATAAAAGATAGGAGAAGTCTAAATACCCCAAAGAGGGTATTGTTCTTAGAGAATTCAATAAATGTATATTTGAATTGGTTTCTACTTAGGTAAATTCCTCTTAATATGAAAAATGGAACGAGATCATAGAATCCCTTCTCCAGGCTTGTAATGTGTCCTGATTTAATAGGGACACCAACGTGCAAATCAGGATCTTCATAGTGCATCTCCAGGACTATTTTTGCTGCTATGCTTCATAAAACTTTGATTTACTAGAATTTCCAGGGGCAATGGGAAGAGATGAAGCTACCCAGAGCAGTTATGTCTCTTCCTGACCTTCTATAAAGGACTTTGAGTTCCCAGGCCTTCCCTGGAAAATCACTGTCAGTACTACCTGACCCAATATCCCCAGTGACCTGAAACTCATGGGAAGTTGGGAAGGGGTGATAATAAAGGTTTGGGGAGCACTGGACTAGGCAAGCAGTAACTACATCTAAATTCTGCAAGAAATCATTAGCTGAGGAATACTGAATAAGTATGGCAATTATCATGGCAAGTATTTGCAGTGGTGGTATAGGGGGTGATCTGGACGTCCAGGAAGACAGTCGCCCTTGTTTATTTACATGAAAACCTCTCTTCTCCCATCTAAATTTAATCTCCTGAATGGCAAAAGCATTTCCTTCTGTCTTAGCATCGTCCATATTCACCACGAGTCCTTGCATAGGAGAGATTGGTGTATACATGATGACAACCTGACGAAAATTATCTCCACCTCACCTGAAAAGAATTCCCATCTCAGGATTACAACTGGCCTTTTCATTTGTCTTTGGTCTTGCTAGGTGGTACGTATATTCTAGTAATGAGATTAGGGTCACAGGATATTTTAATCATTCATACGGTTGTATGAAGACACACATGTTTATTTGTAGTTATTCTTTGTCCATCAAACTTACAGTAGTCCTCAGTCTAATGCTTGTTTTCTTAATGTTGGAGGGTGATGACAGCCTATTTTATCTCAGGCTGAAAAACTAATACAATTAAATCAGAGAATCATAGCAGGGAACAGTCATCGTGTTCTACGAATAGCCAGACATTTTTACCAAGGGGTCACTTTCCTGAAACCTGTTTGCGGTTCTCTGTAAATAGAAGTAACTAGGCAGATGTAATAAGCCTAATAGCTCACTGAGGTGGGAATTCTCTGCCTTTGGATTCTGATTGTTACTGCCTTGCTTTGGCTTAGGCATGGATAAACTCTTCTGTGGTGAACAAAAATGGCCTCCAGCCAACCTGGTGGGAGACTTCCCTATCTGACCTCCAACCTTCCCTCGTCTTCCCAGACGAGGGGTAGAAAAGTAGCCCTCACTCCTCCACTCCCAGGAAATGTGCATTTCCCTGCAAGAGGAGAGACAATAAAATTTGGTTTGATAGCTGACACTATTCCCTGTTACTTTTCAGATTTTATTAAAATTAAATGTGTTAATTCTTTGTTCTTTCACCCCAGGGCAATTCTGGAAAGAAAACATATCTTAAGATTGAACAGAAAAACTATTATGAAAAACACCAAGCTCACATTTGTTAAATGACTTTGTGCTCTTGAAAAAAATGTATAAAAAGCACATTGCCAACTGCTCTGCGTGATATCCTTTGTTTGGATTTTAGACGCAGCTTGACTGACACAGAGATCCTGAATAAGAGACTCTTTGGATACTGAAAAGTCTCTTAAATAAGGTGATACACAAATTTCAGAGAACAATTTCAACATTGTTCTGTCGAACGTTATACTCAGTCCTGAACCACATTACTTTCCTGTCTACGTTTCATTTCCTGGGGGCTTGCCAAGTGATAAACAGACCCAGGCGTGTGTGGTAGAGTTCGGGTTTTTTAGCACGAAGTGGGTGGCTGGAGTTTGCTTGAAAACATCAATTGACTTTGTGATCATTACAGAAATGCTGGTGTAAGGTGTTCAGAAGACAATGGAGAAAAAATGGAAATACTGTGCTGTCTATTACATCATCCAGATACATTTTGTCAAGGGTAAGACTTCCAGTTGTCCCTTCTTGTCGGATGGGCCGCTTTAGGGGCGGATGGGGCCTCTGTTCATTTAAAATGCCTTGTGACTGCTGCTGAAATTGATCACCAAAGGACAAATCATTACTAAGGGTTTCAGTTATGTATTTAAGCGGCAGGTATAAGAGAGATGCTAGAATCTAGAAATGATTACTAATGAACACTAAAAATAAGAAGGGAATGGGTCATTTGTGCCACTGCTCTGAGGCATTTTCACCCATTTCCTTTCTAACAGGATCTCTGGAGTAATTGGCAAATTGTGTTTCTTGGAAATGAAATGCTCTCCAAATGGTAGCCAAAACAACTGCGGAAAAATTAAAAATTACAAAGCCATCAACGCTCAGAGATCCTTGTTTAACTTTTTTCTCTCTCAAGTACTCTCTTTCTTTTGGATATAACAAGTATTTCTCATCCAAATACTAAGGTCTTTGGGAGTTGAAAACACGTTGAATTTTAATGAGGCATGTGTAGGTATGAACCTGGGAGACAAAGTGGAATCCTTATGACAGTGGGAACGAGAGCCTAATGGGCCTATTTAAAAAGAGAAGGAAGCAAGATTAGTTCTGTATTCCACAGTATGAGAGTATCATAGTAAGCCTGAGTGTCTTAAGAATTAACTGTGCTTTTCAGACATAGCTATGAAAATATTAAGGAGAATTTCTAAATCAAAAGAGATTTGGAATATAATGCTGTAGATAGGATCAGAGCCATATTTTCAGGCAAAGGATAGCTCACAGGAAGTTACATTAAACTGTACTAACCTCTGCCTACCAAACTTTTGCATCCACAGAAGTATGATAATTCCCATTTGTCAAGTACTTTTACTTTTAAGAGGCTTGTTTCTTCTCAGTTGCTTGTCATCTTTTTATCTTTTCCTTTTGTGAGCTTCAGTGGTACTTGTCACAATAATATATATCATTTCTGTAACAGGATTCCATGTTAATTCTAAAACTGAGGCCAACACTATTGAAGGCATGTCACAGTCTCAATGCTTAACACATTTTAAGTGTCCTGTATCACTCAGTCAGACTGCTGATGGGAAAGAGACTCTACTTATGTCTAGTATTTCAGACCATCGATTAGAGGTGATACTAAGTGGAACCTCTACCTAAGGTTAGATGAGGTCCTTTCAATCCTTGTATATTGAAAGTGAAATTTCTTACTCTAATCAACTAGACTGAATTTGGGAGACAGTTTGGAAGTTATGTGGAAGGAAAATAAAATAAAATAAGTAATAATAAAGTTTAAAATAATAAGCATAACATAGGTAATAGTTAACATTAAGTATAGGTTACTTAGAAGTTATATGTAGGCTAAGAAATTTAAGTAGCCCCTCCCAGCATTGCTAACAAGTTGCAGCTGTGAGCTTATCTCAACCTTCCAAGCTTCTTGCCTGCCCCCAGACCCCCACATATTTCTGTAACTCCTGTTTTACCTTACCCCATCTCTGTCTAGCTTCAAGATTGACTGGTTAAGATAACTAAATTGTAAGTTTTCTCAGAATTGTCACGGGTTAAATAATTTACTGTCTTTGCCTGAAACCTGTATCCTGCCTTGTTTTCCCACCTCAAACGACATATAAGCAAGCCTGCTTTCTTTGTCAGAGTCAGCAGCCATTTTGGGCATGAGTCTGCTGTGGGCCTGGATGCCTGAATTAAATAAAGTTCTCTTTGGTCTCTAAAGGTCTCTTTGTCTTCCTTGGCTGGAGTTTTACTGTTATACTTATGAGGGTTATAGAAAGACCACAGACTCTGGGCAACTGAATTCATTCTTTTACTGGAGGTGTGACTTTTTTTGTTTTGTTTCGTTTTTCGTTTTTTTGAGATGGAGTCTCACTCTGTTGCCAGGCTGGAGTGCAGTGGCATGATTTCGGCTCACTGTAATCTCCGCCTCCCAGGTTCAAGCGATTCTCCTGCTTCAGCCTCCCAAGTAGCTGGGACTACAGGCGTGCACCACCACGCCCAGCTAATTTTTGTATTTTTAGTAGAGACGGGGTTTTGCCGTGTTGGCCAGGATGGTCTGGTTCTCTTGACCTCATGATCTGCCCACCTCAGCCTCCCAAAGTGCTGGGATTACAGGCGTGAGCCACTGCGCCAGGCCTGGAGGTGTGACTTTGAGCATACTGTTTCATCTCTCTGTGGCCCAGTTTCTTCCTCATAAAAAGGGGTTAACAACATCACCTATGGCGTGTGAGGGGGATTAAACAAGATAAGATATGAAAGGCCCTTGTAAACATGTATTTTTCAAAGAAATTGCTATACACATATCATTTATTTTTGCAGTTTCAGAAAGCATCACGTGTGTATTATATTCAGCTGTCGTTTTATAACCCAAAAAGCCAATTATATTAAACGTAAGAAGAATCGTCATACTAAGTTTGCTGGTGTGCTTCAATTTTCAAATAGGCTTAATTTTATTCACAGGTAGTCTGAAACCTTCAATTATATTTTGGTCAGACCAACACATAGATAAATATTTAGAAGTCAGTAATTACCTCTAGCTTCTCTACGTAAATGCCTCCTCATTTATATTGTCTCATGCATCTCTATCTGAGTGAGACACAAGCTCTACTCTATTCCTAAAGCAGCCAGGGAGAAATTTCCTCAGTTGCTCCCCTCACCTTACTGAAGTGACTAGGGTTTTTAATTAAGCGTCATTCTATGTGAATTATTTAAACTCATGGCTCATGTTCTTTCTTTTCAGGAGTTTGGGAAAAAACAGTCAACACAGAAGAAAATGTTTATGCTACACTTGGCTCTGATGTCAACCTGACCTGCCAAACACAGACAGTAGGCTTCTTCGTGCAGATGCAATGGTCCAAGGTCACCAATAAGATAGACCTGATTGCTGTCTATCATCCCCAATACGGCTTCTACTGTGCCTATGGGAGACCCTGTGAGTCACTTGTGACTTTCACAGAAACTCCTGAGAATGGGTCAAAATGGACTCTGCACTTAAGGAATATGTCTTGTTCAGTCAGTGGAAGGTACGAGTGTATGCTTGTTCTGTATCCAGAGGGCATTCAGACTAAAATCTACAACCTTCTCATTCAGACACACGGTAAGCATAACTGGTAGAGGGATGTGCTTTCATTCAGCTCTCTCTCATTCAACAAATGTACATTTTAAGAAAAGCAAGGTTAGGCTTGGTGCTCAGCATACAAAGGTTGAGCAGAAAGAGCTACTGTCTGATAAGAGAGACAGGAAGTGACCACAGCATTTAAGTAAATAAATGTAAACTTGCAACAGTGATAAGTGTCGATAATAAATACTGTAACAGTCTTGTGAAGGAGCACATCACAGAGGCCATTGAAATTGTCCTTTAGAAATTAACACCATAGCTTAAGTCTAAAGAATGAGTAGACACTACCACAATTTAGGAGGTGGGGCTGAGGCAGAGTGGGATTGTGAGTAATCCCAGAGAGAGAAAAGAGCTTGCATGAAGCTCTTTGGAGTGTTTGAAGAAATGGGAAAATGCCAGTGGGACAGCAATACAGCAATTAAAGGATAAGGCAGGTAAGGACCAGATCATGTTGGACCTGGTCAGCTTCCCTTTTAAAAGGTTTCTATTTTGATCTCAGAACCATAAGAAGACATGGAAGTATTTCCAACAAAAGGATGGCATGACATTTATAGGCTGACTGTATTTGTGTTGTTTAAAAAAAAAAAGTCATACTGACTTTCATGTGAAAATGAGGTGAAGATGGACAAGAAGGAGAAGGTAGAGACAACTCAGGAGACCACCTCAGTAGCCCAGAAAAGAGAGAGTGGTAGTTCAGGTAGATATAGAAGGAAAATGGCAAATTTTGTTCATTGGGCATAAAACAGATATGATCATAGAGAGAATATAAGACAAGGGCAGTATGAAGGAAGGAGAGAAAGAAGTTAAAGGTGACATCTGGGTGTCTGGCATGCACACCTGAATGGTGGTGCTATTCACTGTGATGGAAGGTAAAGGAAGGTTTGTGGGTGAATTTATGAAAGTGATTCTGGGTATACAATATTTAGTCTAGGGCAGGTAAAGGGACAAAGGAAGCTGCTAACTATGAAGCATTCACACCAAACATACTTTGGAGGCCTGCATTTAGAAGTGGGAATCCTAGATTTAAGTTCTAGCTCCTTTCTGAATAGAAATAAAATTTGACTTGGGGCCTGTGGTGTAAATTCTCTGAGCCCATTTGGAAAATGATTATAATAATGCCTGCCCTAAATTACCTGGTCCTAAAGTAAATGATTTTCATTTCTGCTAATGGAAAACAATGAAAGTGAAAGCCAACAGATGCAAAATGCACTGGCAGTGGACTGGTTCTAACTCAGGGCAAAGTGGCCTGGTAATATAAGAAAAAAAAATAACTCGTGAAGGTCATATTAAAGGGGGCATAGAGCTGTCCAGAACAAGCAACAGGTATGGATTTATAGCCTCCTCTCCATGTCTTATAACTTACTTGCTTTAAAAATATGCTGTTGGAACAGTCCACCTATAGGCCAAGGTCCCATCAACTACTATCTTATAATGCCCAATTCCCTTGCTGTTTTCCAGGAGGAAAACACACCACACACACACACACACAGACACATACACACACACACACACACACACACACACTTCAGTTCAATTAAGGATGGAGTGGAGTGGGATTGAAGTAAAGAGAAATGGAAGACCTATATAGAAAACTGTTTAGCTATACATAGTTTGATTCAGGTAGCCTGTATTTGGATATTGGCTCTATCATTTACCATACGTTTCATCATTCCCAAGTTGTTTCAAGTTTCTTACATAACAAATATGGATAATTATAGTGCTTTCTTTACAGGTATCACTAGCTTGGTGATTAAATGAGATAATCTGTGTAATGCACTTAAACATATAGTTCCTGCTAAAGGATAAGAGTTTGGTAAATGGTAGTTTTCAATTAAGAATAGTAATAATTATATTGAGCAAATTCTATTTCTCAGTTCCAATTAAATATGAGCCCTGCTCCTTCTTTTTATATATTGACCTCATTTGGAACCCAGTAAGACATTTGCCATGTAATGTTAGTACAAGTACACATTGACCTTGGTTTCATACATAGTTTTTTTTGTACATTCTGCCTGAACCAGTAAACAATACTATTGCCTCACGGAGGACTCAGTGTTTCCTTCATTGAGACTTGGCAACATGGACTGATGTACCTTATAGGAAATAGAATAAGTGATGCCACAAAATGAAGACAGCAATGGAGAACAGATAGTATATTATCCAGAAAGGAGGATGATGTTGCCTTTAAAGAAATGTATTTCTTAAAATAAAGAGAACCAAGGGAGTTAAGCTTGTAGCTACTAAAAACTGCAGGTCACTGGAGAGGCAGAAACCGTATCTATACTTTTTGCGGTTGGAAAATTTCCGGTCTTCTGAATGTAACTTTGCTGCTGTCATCTGGATCAGATGAAAAGCAATGGCCTCAGTGTTAGAGAAATGGTTCTGGTATTGTGATTTTGGGTACAAAGGGAGTAAAATAGAAAAGAGCAAAACAGAAGGGGGAAACATCCTTCACCACAGAGTGACCACAAATGTAAGCCTGGTACGGAGCTACAGAGTAGGCAGCTGACTAAAGGGAGGCAGTTGCCATCTGAGAGCTCTGTCAAGTTCACAACCAATAGCATATTTTCTTTCTACCCTTTACTGTTTTGATCTTCTCTTGCTTCTTCTCCTCTCACTTGTACAGTTTTCTTCTTATGCCCCTGTGCAATCTTTAAGTTTACAAGCTAGTTGGGTAAGCAAAACACACCTGAAGTGCAAACACTTATATAGTACATAAACAAATGCAAATTGAAGTGGTGCATAAGAACCTAATTTGAAAATGCTGAGGGACTTGAAGTGTTTGAGTTGATCATCTCTTCCTGTTTCTTTTCTGTTGCTGTTTGAGTCATTCTCTCTTGTCTGCTCACAACACAGTGTGTGTCTAAATCCTGTTCCCATGTTCCCCAAGGGCCTAGCTGTGAAAGGATTCTGTTCTCTTTTCACAATATTTTGTCTCTGTGTGTGTCTTAGTGCTCTGAGATTGTGGACAAGAGTGGAAATATAATAAACAGTGTGAGGTTTGCCTCTTTTTCGCTTTCACTTGACAGAGTTTCCTCCTAGGTTAGGAGATTTTCAGTCACTCCAAGAAATGCAGTTCTCTGAGTTAAGCCTTGGATTGTCATAATCTAGATTTCATTCATTTGAATGCTACTGGATCCCATAATGCTTCAGATTGTAAGATTTTGGTGCATTTTAAAATTTGTAGTTATTAAGATCAGTTATAAGAGTATAACATGGCTTTAATTTACTAGTTCACAGTAAATGCCTTGGTGGGCTGTTAATGTTATTGGAAGCAGTAGTAGCAGTGAATGCGGTTGGAGAAGTCATGGTCCTGGAAGTAGTAGTAATAGTAGCAATAAAATTTTGATACTACAATGTTGATAAGCTTGGTCTAAAACATGTTGTTATCCTGTCTAGTTTGTATTGAGCCTGAATGCTGGCTCTTCTTAAATTCCTGTATTTAGTCTTTATCCAACAAGTGTTTTTGAGTGCTTACAGTGCTAGACACTGGGCACTAGGCACAGAGTAGGCATATATGCATGACTGTGTCTTCATGAATCACAAAGTTCAATAGGAAGAAGTTGACATTCATCAAATAAGCAAACAAATATCAAATTGCAACAGTGAGAAGTGCTTCAGAAGTGAGGAAGTAGTGTATGAGAGGGTATAATAGGAAAATCAGAAAAGACTTTCTTTACTTTGTCCTTTCCTTTCCCTTCCCCCTTATTTTCATTTCCCTCTCTTCTCCCCTCCCCTCTCTTCCCCTCCCCTCCCCTCTCCTTTCCTTTCCTTTGGAAGCGCTGCTTCAACTGGAGTTAACCAAGTGAACACAGAGCTTTACAAAGAACAGGACATGCAAAGGTTCTATGGGGGAAGGAAGTTATAACAACTGGGTAGGCAGGGGAGATTTTAAAAGGTATTATGGCTGGAGCAGAGGGATTACAGGTGAGGCAGTTGACGATAAGGTTAGAAAGATTGATTAGTCCATTTAAGGAGTTTTGTCTTTATCCTAAGAGCTGTGGGAACTAATTAAAAGGTGGTTGTTTTGTTTGATTTTTTTTGTTTTGCATTTCAAAAATGCATCTTTGTGGTTCAAGTGTAGAGAATGAATTGGAGAAGGCAGAGACGATAGTGTGGATCAGTTAGAAGACAACAGCAGAAAGCTACATGAGAGATGCTGGTACCATTAAGTACAGTGGCAATGAACTAGAAATAGAAGAATGTTTAGATTAGAAACTTGTGTAGGAGATTCTCCCCACAGGATCAGTGGTGGATTGCCTACGTGAAGGAAGGAATAAAAAGCAGCGTCAAGGATGATGCTTTAATTTCTAATATGTGACACAGAAAAAATAGGGGAACATTGTATTAGGGAACACTGGAAGATGATCAGATCATACAGAAATTATTTTGCATTTAATCTTATAGATGTTGAGTTAGGCATGAAGTTGTGACATACAGAAGACGTTAGGTAAACTGGATATACAATTTCAGATCTAGGAGAGAGGTTTAAGCTGAAGATACAGAGTCATCTGAGTGTGAGTGTTAACTAAAATTCTGGGAGTGAAAGAAATCCTCTAGGAAGAGAAAATCAAGCAAGAAAAGCCATGTGGCACTTCAGCAGAGTCCATGGTGACGGATGGAGAAAGGTGAGTCTTCAGAGGATAATGAAGAGCAATTAAAGAGGCAAAAGTAGAATCAGGAGTGAATTGGGTCACAAAAACCTGGAAACATATTACATAAAAGGAATAGCCATCAATTATAAAGTTTCTAAGAAGATAAAATAGTTATTCGAATGTATTTTAAAACATGAAGTTTTTTTTATCACCTAACAGGAACTGTTTGATGGCATTATGGAATGGAAGTCAGGCTGGAGGGAGAAGAGGAATGAGTGGGAGGCAAGGAAATGGGGACAGCACATTGATATGACTTTCAAGAAATCTGCCAGTAGTAATAGGAAGAGTAGATAGAGGTGTTCAAATGCGGGATTCTGTTGATACTACAGTAGTGATGGTGGTGGTGGTTTCAATTAATAAGAAACACTTGACTGTGCTTCAAAGTTAATGGGCAGGATCTAGTTGAAAAAGGGTAGTTAAATACACAGTATGGAAGATAAAATAATAAACCAAGGTTTCTAAGAAAATGGGGACAATGATACTCACAACACAAGTAGGACTACCCCGATATTGAAAAAAAAAGAACAGTTTTTTTTTATTGTAACAGGTGGGAGGGAAAATAAGATGAGTGCATATGATGAGGGAGGTGCTGTCTTCTATTTCTCTAAAATAGGAAACAAAACCATCTTCAGCTAGAGAGAGGAAGGAAGCTTCAGAAAAGAAGATTGAGGAAGGTTTGAAACAGCTGCTATGGATAGAAGGGAAATGGATTCACTAAGTTAACACATTTGGATTTTTGGTCTGTGTTGAACATCCATTTGGGTATGGTATGAAATGGTAGTGAAAACAATTCGCACAAGGCTTTCTCCAGCAGTGATTGGCTGCTTGAGTCTGGGCATTAAAAAGTACATAGTGCCACATTTGGATTCCTTTTTAGATTGTTGCCAAAAGGAAAACAAAAAGGCAAAGGATTTGGGGTATAAGCAAAAATATTATTGACATAATGCACTATAGAACTTTAGCTTGATAATAAGAGATGCAAAGAAAAAATAAAGCTGGTGATTTGGAAAAAAGTAGAGTGATTAACTCATTAAAAGACCAATGAGGTTGGAGAACAGTTGAAATGAAACTGGTTGCACAAACTGGAAGAAGAGATGTTTGTAGGTCTGAATTTGTGATTTTGTAGATGAGCTATTTTACATGATAACAAGATCCAAGATGTGATTGTGAGAGTAGATGGCTAAAATGAAGTGGAGACAATTAATGAAGATGACAGTGGGAAGAACTGAGAGTCCAGGTATTGGAGAAGTCATCTGCATGGTCACTGAAAGCACCTAGGTTATGTCAGGTTTGGGGCTGCAAAATATTGCAGTCTACATAAAAACATTTTCAAAGAAAAACGGAGTGTGATTGGGAGATTACAGCAGAAGTTGACAAACTTTTTCTCTGAAGGGTCATGCTAAGCTTTGAATATTTGTCCCCTTCAAAATCATTTTGAAATTTATTGTCATTGTAACAGTATTAAGACATGGGACCTTCTTTTTCTTCAAATTTTAAGTTCAGGGGTACATGTGCAGGATGTGCAGGTTTGTTATATAGGTAAATGTGTGCCATGGTAGTTTGCTGCACAGATCATTCCATCACCCAGGTATTAAGCCCAGCATCCATTAGCTATTCTTCCTGATGCTCTCCTTCACCCCACCACACCCTCCGACAGGCCCCAGTGTGTATTGTTCCCCCTCATGGGTCAGAATGATTTATAACAGAATGATTTATATTCCTTTGAGTATATACCAGTAACGGGATTGCTGGGTCAAATGGTATTTCTGCCTTTAGGTCTTTGACGAATGGCCACACTGTCTTCCACAATGGCTGAACTAATTTACACTCCCACCAACAGTGTAAAAGCATTCCTTTTTCTCAGCAACTTCACCAGCATCTGTTCTTTCTTGACTTTTTAATAATAGCCATTCTGAGTGGTGCAAGATGATATCTCCTTGTAGTTTTGATTTGCATTTCTCTAATTATCAGTGATGTTGAGCTTTTTTTCATATTTGTTGGCTGCATATATGTCTTCTTTTGAGAAGTGTCTATTCATGTCCTGTGCCCACTTTTTAATGAGTTTGTTTTTTTTCTTGTAAATTTGTTTAAGTTCCTTTGTAGACACTGGATATTAGACCCCAGGCCCTTTAAGAGGTGATATAAGGGCTCCACTCTCCTGGAAAAGATTTGTGGCAATATAAAAATGTGTGTTTGTCCCCCTCTTTTCTCTCTGTGGCTCTTCTGCTCTTCTGCCATGTGGGGAGCAGCATTCCTCCCTCCGAGGATGCAGCATTCAAAGTGCCATCTTGAAAGAGGACAGGACACTGGGCTCTAACCAGACACCAAACCTGCCGATGTTTTGATCTTGGACTTTCCAGCCTCAAGAACTGAGATAAACAAATATGTCTTTTAATAAGTTACCTAATCTCAGATATTCTTTTGCAGCATCACAAAACAGACTGAAATAGTCCAAATACTAAATATTTTAGGCTTTGTGGTCCATGTAGTCTCTGTCACAACTACTCAACTCTACCACTGTTGCATAAAAAGCATCACAGAGAATATGTAAATGAATGGGCCTGACTGTGTTCTAATTCAACTTTATTTACAAAAATAGGCAACAAGCCAGATTTGGCCCACAGGCCAAGGTTTATGACCTCTGAGTTAGAGGATAATAGCAGTGAATCAAGGAAGAAAGGGATTGTTTTGTTTTTCTTAAAATATGTTGCTCATAACTGACAATACTGGTACTGGAGATGGTTTTAGGTGATTCATGAAACAACTATAAAAGCTTTAATTGTGGAAAACTCTAAACAATATACAAAAAATACATAGAATAATTATGAAAATTATATAGAATAATTTCCCACATACTGAACATACAACTTCAACAATTATCAACTCATAGGCAATCTCATTTTATTTAAACCCTTATCAACTGCTGCCTTCCAAGATTACTTTGGAGAAAATGCAAGACTTCTTGTTTATTTTAGTATGAATCTTTAAAAGATAAAGATGTCATTAAAAAAAAGCCATAATCTACCACCAAAACTAAAAAAAAATTAGTATTTAATATTATTCAATATCCCATCAGCCTGATGTTATATTTTGTTTTTTTTTTTAAATTAGGATGCAGATAAACTAGATATATTGTGATTATTTGGAAATTCCCTTTTAATCTGAAAGCTATATTACATTTGTTATTTTTCCTTTGCGATATATTTGTTGAATAAATTTGATGATTTGTCCAGCCTGGATTTTGCTCTTATAGTCCCATAGTATCTCTATGTTTTCACCTTATAGTTAGACTTATAAACTCTAAGTTATCTTATATTCTTGACAGAGACTTGATAACATTTAGGTTTTCTTTTTTCTTTTTTTTTTTTTTTGGCAAGACTACGTGATAGATGATGCATAGTTATATGAGAGGCACATAATTCTGGTTACATGATATTAAGAGCCACTGGTGAGCCTTGCCTACATCCATTAAATCATTATGATTTGCCGAATAGAAATATTCTATCATTCCCTAATTTATTAGCTTAAGTATTTCTATAAAGAGAAACTTCCTCTCATCAACTTATTATTTATTTGATGTATAGTTTGTATAAGAAAAGCAGAATAGATACTTGATTCTTTCCCTTTAATCACCAGTTTTAAAAATGAGTTGGTTAACTAGTATTTTTAGAAAGTGACCCGTAAGTATTTTATGTTAAGTATCATGAATTTATATGAACTTAAACATACTGATGAATTTCAATTCATTACGGTTATTATCCTTATTTTACTGAAAATTTCCCATATATAAAACCTATTAATCCTTTGTTATATAAGTTGCAAATATTTTCCCAGTTTGTCATTTATTCTTACTTTCTTATATTGTTTGCAATGCAGCATGTTTCTTATTTTTATTAAATAAAATCTATTACTCTTTTCCCTTATTGGTCCTGATTTTAAGTTTTGGTCAAGAAAAGTTTTCTTCATTTCCAAATTATATAAGAATTCACTCATAATTTCTGATACTTGCATGCTTTCTTTTATGAGCATTTAAATTTGTAACATTAGGTTTCTGGTGCAAAATAAAAACACCTAAATTTACATTTTTATATATCTCTAATGCCTTCTTCTATATTTTCTACTTTTTTTCCCTTCTGTGATTCAATTAGGTATTCACCTGTCTTCCAATCATGAACTCTATCTCTATGATGTCCAATAAGTTTTTACCCCATCAAATTAGTTCTTAATTTCTGATATTGTATTTTTAAGTTATTTGATCACATTTGATAGATTTTTAATTTTTGATAAATTTGTCCACCTTTTGATCTACTTCCTCCATTTCTTCTCTGTTTTCTTGACTATATGAAAAAGAGTTATTTTAAATCTTTGTTGGATAACTCCAAAGTCAGAAGCATTTGTTTGTCTGTTCCTATGTCTATTTTTCTCTTATTTTCTTTTTTTGCAACTTGCTCCACCGTATCTCCTCTAAACCACTCTGTATTACTAAATATACTGCATCTATATCAAACTATAAAGTACACGTATATAATAATATATGTATTAAACTCAACAGTTCAGTGTTAAATTAAGGATTTAAAGCAGCAGTACCCAACTTTTTGACACTAGGTACCGGCATGGAAGACAACTTTTCCATAGACTGTGGTGGAGGGGGATGGTTTGGGGATGATTCAAGCCTATTACATTTATTGTGCACTTTATTTGTATTATTATTACATTGTAATATATAATGAAATAATTATACAACTCACCATAATGTAGAATCAGTGGGAGCCCTGAGCTTGTCTTCCTGCAACTAGATGGTCCCATCTGGGGGTGATGGGAAACAGCAACAGATCATCAGGCATTAGATTCTCATAAGGAGCACACAACCTAGATCCCTCAAATGTGTAATTCACAATAGAGTTCGCACTCCTATGAAAATCTAATGCAGCCACTGATTTGGCAGGACACAGATCTCAGATGGTAATGCAAGTGATGGGGAGTAGCTGTAAATACAGATGAAGCTTTTCTTACTCACACACTGCTCACCTCCTGCTGTGTGGCCCCATTCCTTAACAGGCCACGGACAAGTACCAGTCCATGGTCCAGGGGCTAAGAACCCCTGATTTAAAGAATTTCATGTTCTTTAACAAAATTAAGAGAAAAGAAAAGAAAAATAAATGTATGTATAGTTTTTATTTACTCACATATGAAGACTACATATATAATTTTTCATATTTACTCACGTATTTACCATTTTTTGTGCTCTTTATTTTATCCCATGAATTGGAGTTACTGTTTGTTGTCATTTCTTTTCAGCCTGAAGGACTTTAGTATTTCGTGTAAGACAAATCTACTTGCAATGAATTCTTTCAGATTTTTTCATTTTTAATTTTAAAGGATAATTTCAATGGATATAGAATTCAGAGTGGATTGTTTCTCTTTCTTTTAGCATTTTGAATATATCTTTCGATCGCCATTATTTCTGATTAAAATGAGCCACTAGTTATATTATTAGTCTGCTGAATGGGATGAGCTTTTGTTTTTGTTTGTTTGGTTGGTTGGTTTTTGCTCCTTTCAATTGCTACTTTTATAATTTAGTCTTTCTTTTTGGCTTCCAGAAGTTTGATTATGATGTGTCTTTTGGCTTTCAGAAGTTTGATTATGGGTGTCTCTTTGTGTTTGTCCTATTCAGGTTTTGTTAAAGTTCTTGGATGTGTAGATTAATTTTAAGAAAGTTTTTAAATAATCAAATATGTGAAGTTTTTGGCCATTTTTTCTTCAAATATTTGATCCATCCCCTTACTCTTTCACTTCTTTTTCTACTACTCCTGTTTCATGTATGTTACCATACTTGATACTGTCCTATATGGCTCTGAAGCTGTTTTCATTTCTTTCAATCCTTTTTCTCCCTTGAGATTAGATAATTTATATTGAACAATGTTCAAATACACTGATTCTTTCTTCAGCCATCTCAAATTTGCTATTGAGAACATCTAGTAAATTTCTTATTTTTGCTACTGACATTTCAACTCTAAAATATACATTTGCTTCATTTTATAGCTTTCTATTTCTCTACTAACATTTCCTATTTATTGAGTCATTGTCATATTTTGCTTTAATACTTTGAATAGACTAATAACAACTTCTTTTTTTTTTATTATACTTTAAGTTTTAGGGTACATGTGCACATTGTGCAGGTTAGTTACATATGTATACATGTGCCGTGCTGGTGCGCCGCACCCACTAACTCGTCATCTAGCATTAGGTATATCTCCCAATGCTATCCCTCCCCCCTCCCCCCACCCCACAACAGTCCCCAGAGTGTGATATTCCCCTTCCTGTGTCCATGTGATCTCATTGTTCAATTCCCACCTATGAGTGAGAATATGCGGTGTTTGGTTTTTTGTTCTTGCGATAGTTTACTGAGAAAGATGATTTCCAATTTCATCCATGTCCCTACAAAGGACGTGAACTCATCATTTTTTATGGCTGCATAGTATTCCACGGTGTATATGTTCCACATTTTCTTAATCCAGTCTATCATTGTTGGACATTTGGGTTGGTTCCAAGTCTTTGCTATTGTGAATAATGCCGCAATAAACATACGTGTGCATGTGTCTTTATAGCAGCATGATTTATAGTCATTTGGGTATATACCCAGTAATGGGATGGCTGGCTCAAATGGTATTTCTAGTTCTAGATCCCTGAGGAATCACCACACTGACTTCCATAATGGTGGAACTAGTTTACAGTCCCACCAACAGTGTAAAAGTGTTCCTGTTTCTCCACATCCTCTCCAGCACCTGTTGTTTCCTGACTTTGTAATGATTGTCATTCTAACTGGTGTGAGATGGTATCTCATAGTGGTTTTGATTTGCATTTCTCTGATGGCCAGTGATGATGAGCATTTTTTCATGTGTTTTTTGGCAGCATAAATGTCTTCTTTTGAGAAGTGTCTGTTCATGTCCTTCGCACACTTTTTGATGGGGTTGTTTGTTTTTTTCTTGTAAATTTGTTTGAGTTCATTGTAGATTCTGGATATTAGCCCTTTGTCAGATGAGTAGGTTGCGAAAATTTTCTCCCATTTTGTAGGTTGCCTGTTCACTCTGATGGTAGTTTCTTTTGCTGTGCAGAAGCTCTTTAGTTTAATTAGATCCCATTCGTCAATTTTGGCTTTTGTTGCCATTGCTTTTGGTGTTTTAGACATGAAGTCCTTGCCCATGCCTATGTCCTGAATGGTAATGCCTAGGTTTTCTTCTAGGGTTTTTATGGTTTTAGGTCTAACGTTTAAATCTTTAATCCATCTTGAATTGATTTTTGTATAAGGTGTAAGGAAGGGATCCAGTTTCAGCTTTCTACATATGGCTAGCCAGTTTTCCCAGCACCATTTATTAAATAGGGAATCCTTTCCCCATTGCTTGTTTTTCTCAGGTTTGTCAAAGATCAGATAGTTGTAGGTATGCGGCGTTAATTCTGAGGGCTCTGTTCTGTTCCATTGATCTATATCTCTGTTTTGGTACCAGTACCATGCTGTTTTGGTTACTGTAGCCTTGTAGTATAGTTTGAAGTCAGGTAGTGTGATGCCTCCAGCTTTGTTCTTTTGGCTTAGGATTGACTTGGCGATGCGGGCTCTATTTTGGTTCCATATGAACTTTAAAGTAGTTTTTTCCAATTCTGTGAAGAAAGTCATTGGTAGCTTGATGGGGATGGCATTGAATCTGTAAATTACCTTGGGCAGTATGGCCATTTTCACGATATTGATTCTTCCTACCCATGAGCATGGAATGTTCTTCCATTTGTTTGTATCCTCTTTTATTTCGTTGAGCAGTGGTTTGTAGTTCTCCTTGAAGAGGTCCTTCACATCCCTTGTAAGTTGGATTCCTAGGTATTTTATTCTCTTTGAAGCAATTGTGAATGGGAGTTCACTCATGATTTGGCTCTCTGTTTGTGTGTTGTTGGTGTATAAGAATGCTTGTGATTTTTGTACATTGATTCTGTATCCTGAGACTTTGCTGAAGTTGCTTATCAGCTTAAGGAGATTTTGGGCTGAGACAATGGGGTTTTCTAGATATACAATCATGTCGTCTGCAAACAGGGACAATTTGACTTCCTCTTTTCCTAATTGAATACCCTTTATTTCCTTCTCCTGCCTAATTGCCCTGGCCAGAACTTCCAACACTATGTTGAATAGGAGTGGTGAGAGAGGGCATCCCTGTCTTGTGCCAGTTTTCAAAGGGAATGCTTCCAGTTTTTGCCCATTCAGTATGATATTGGCTGTGGGTTTGTCATAGATAGCTCTTATCATTTTGAAATACGTCCCATCAATACCGAATTTATTGAGAGTTTTTAGCATGAAGGGTTGTTGAATTTTGTCAAAGGCTTTTTCTGCATCTATTGAGATAATCATGTGGTTTTTGTCTTTGGCTCTGTTTATATGCTGGATTACATTTATTGATTTGCGTATATTGAACCAGCCTTGCATCCCAGGGATGAAGCCCACTTGATCATGGTGGATAAGCTTTTTGATGTGCTGCTGGATTCGGTTTGCCAGTATTTTATTGGGGATTTTTGCATCAATGTTCATCAAGGATATTGGTCTAAAATTCTCTTTTTTGGTTGTGTCTCTGCCCGGCTTTGGTATCAGAATGATGCTGGCCTCATAAAATGAGTTAGGGAGGATTCCCTCTTTTTCTATTGATTGGAATAGTTTCAGAAGGAATGGTACCAGTTCCTCCTTGTACCTCTGGTAGAATTCGGCTGTGAATCCATCTGGTCCTGGACTCTTTTTGGTTGGTAAACTATTGACTATTGCCACAATTTCAGCTCCTGTTATTGGTCTATTCAGAGATGCAACTTCTTCCTGGTTTAGTCTTGGGAGAGTGTATGTGTCAAGGAATTTATCCATTTCTTCTAGATTTTCCAGTTTATTTGCATAGAGGTGTTTGTAGTATTCTCTGATGGTAGTTTGTATTTCTGTGGGAAAGGTGGTGATATCCCCTTTATCATTTTTTATTGTGTCTATTTGATTCTTCTCTCTTTTTTTCTTTATTAGTCTTGCTAGCGGTCTATCAATTTTGTTGATCCTTTCAAAAAACCAGCTCCTGGATTCATTGATTTTTTGAATGGTTTTTTGTGTCTCTATTTCCTTCAGTTCTGCTCTGATTTTAGTTATTTCTTGCCTTCTGCTAGCTTTTGAATGTGTTTGCTCTTGCTTTTCTAGTTCTTTTAATTGTGATGTTAGGGTGTCAATTTTGGATCTTTCCTGCTTTCTCTTGTGGGCATTTAGTGCTATAAATTTCCCTCTACACACTGCTTTGAATGCATCCCAGAGATTCTGGTATGTCGTGTCTTTGTTCTCGTTGGTTTCAAAGAACATCTTTATTTCTGCCTTCATTTCGTTATGTACCCAGTAGTCATTCAGGAGCAGGTTGTTCAGTTTCCATGTAGTTGAGCGGTTTTGAGTGAGATTCTTAATCCTGAGTTCTAGTTTGATTGCACTGTGGTCTGAGAGATAGTTTGTTATAATTTCTGTTCTTTTACATTTGCTGAGGAGAGCTTTACTTCCAACTATGTGGTCAATTTTGGAATAGGTGTGGTGTGGTGCTGAAAAAAATGTATATTCTGTTGATTTGGGGTGGAGAGTTCTGTAGATGTCTATTAGGTCTGCGTGGTGCAGAGCTGAGTTCAATTCCTGGGTATCCTTGTTGACTTTCTGTCTCGTTGATCTGTCTAATGTTGACAGTGGGGTGTTAAAGTCTCCCATTATTAATGTGTGGGAGTCTAAGTCTCTTTGTAGGTCACTCAGGACTTGCTTTATGAATCTGGGTGCTCCTGTATTGGGTGCATATATATTTAGGATAGTTAGCTCTTCTTGTTGAATTGATCCCTTTACCATTATGTAATGGCCTTCTTTGTCTCTTTTGATCTTTGTTGGTTTAAAGTCTGTTTTATCAGAGACTAGGATTGCAACCCCTGCCTTTTTTTGTTTTCCATTTGCTTGGTAGATCTTCCTCCATCCTTTTATTTTGAGCCTATATGTGTCTCTGCACGTGAGATGGGTTTCCTGAATACAACACACTGATGGGTCTTGACTCTTTATCCAATTTGCCAGTCTGTGTCTTTTAATTGGAGAATTTAGTCCATTTACATTTAAAGTTAATAGTGTTATGTGTGAATTTGATCCTGTCATTATGATGTTAGCTGGTGATTTTGCTCGTTAGTTGACACAGTTTCTTCCTAGTCTCGATGGTCTTTACATTTTGGCATGATTTTGCAGCAGCTGGTACCAGTTGTTCCTTTCCATGTTTAGCGCTTCCTTCAGGAGCTCTTTTAGGGCAGGCCTGGTGGTGACAAAATCTCTCAGCATTTGCTTGTCTGTAAAGTATTTAATTTCTCCTTCACTTATGAAGCTTAGTTTGGCTGGATATGAAATTCTGGGTTGAAAATTCTTTTCTTTAAGAATGTTGAATATTGGCCCCCACTCTCTTCTGGCTTGTAGGGTTTCTGCCGAGAGATCCACTGTTAGTCTGATGGGCTTCCCTTTGAGGGTAACCCGACCTTTCTCTCTGGCTGCCCTTAACATTTTTTCCTTCATTTCAACTTTGGTGAATCTGACAATTATGTGTCTTGGAGTTGCTCTTCTCGAGGAGTATCTTTGTGGCGTTCTCTGTATTTCCTGAATCTGAACGTTGGCCTGCCTTGCTAGATTGGGGAAGTTCTCCTGGATAATATCCTGCAGAGTGTTTTCCAACTTGGTTCCATTCTCCCCATCACTTTCAGGTACACCAATCAGACGTAGATTTGGTCTTTTCACATAGTCCCATATTTCTTGGAGGCTTTGCTCATTTCTTTTTATTCTTTTTTCTCTAAACTTCCCTTCTCGCTTCATTTCATTCATTTCATCTTCCATTGCTGATACCCTTTCTTCCAGTTGATCACATTGGCTCCTGAGGCTTCTGCATTCTTCACATAGTTCTCGAGCCTTGGTTTTCAGCTCCATCAGCTCCTTTAAGCACTTCTCTGTATTGGTTATTCTAGTTATACATTCTTCTAAATTTTTTTCAAAGTTTTCAACTTCTTTGCCTTTGGTTTGAATGTCCTCCCGTAGCTCAGAGTAATTTGATCGTCTGAAGCCTTCTTCTCTCAGCTCGTCAAAGTCATTCTCCATCCAGCTTTGTTCCGTTGCTGGTGAGGAACTGTGTTCCTTTGGAGGAGGAGAGGCGCTCTGCGTTTTAGAGTTTCCAGTTTTTCTGTTCTGTTTTTTCCCCATCTTTGTGGTTTTATCTACTTTCGGTCTTTGATGATGGTGATGTACAGATGGGTTTTCGGTGTGGATGTCCTTTCTGTTTGTTAGTTTTCCTTCTAACAGACAGGACCCTCAGCTGCAGGTCTGTTGGAATACCCTGCCTTGTGAGGTGTCAGTGTGCCCCTGCTGCGGGGTGCCTCCCAGTTAGGCTGCTCGGGGGTCAGGGGTCAGGGACCCACTTGAGGAGGCAGTCTGCCGGTTCTCAGATCTCCAGCTGCGTGCTGGGAGAACCACTGCTCTCTTCAAAGCTGTCAGACAGGGACATTTAAGTCTGCAGAGGTTACTGCTGTCTTTTTGTTTGTCTGTGCCCTGCCCCCAGAGGTGGAGCCTACAGAGGCAGGCAGGCCTCCTTGAGCTGTGGTGGGCTCCACCCAGTTCGAGCTTCCCGGCTGCTTTGTTTACCTAAGCAAGCCTGGGCAATGGCGGGCGCCCCTCCCCCAGCCTCGCTGCCGACTTGCAGTTTGATCTCAGACTGCTGTGCTAGCAATCAGCGAGATTCCGTGGGCGTAGGACCCTCCGAGCCAGGTGTGGGATATAGTCTCGTGGTGCGCCGTTTTTTAAGCCGGTCTGAAAAGCGCAATATTCGGGTGGGAGTGACCCGATTTTCCAGGTGCGTCCGTCACCCCTTTCTTTGACTCGGAAAGGGAACTCCCTGACCCCTTGCACTTCCCAGGTGAGGCAATGCCTCGCCCTGCTTCGGCTCCCGCACGGTGCGCGCACCCACTGGCCTGCGCCCACTGTCTGGCGCTCCCTAGTGAGATGAACCCAGTACCTCAGATGGAAATGCAGAAATCACCGGTCTTCTGCGTCGCTCACGTTGGGAGCTGTAGACCGGAGCTGTTCCTATTCGGCCATCTTGGCTCCTCCCCGAATAACAACTTCTTTGAAGTCTCTTAAATTCAACACCTGGGTCCACCCAGATTCAGCTGCAATTACCTTTTTTCCTTATTATGGGTCACACATCCCTGATTCCTCCATGTCTCATAATTTTGTGTTGAAAACTGGACATTAAAAAATATATATATATTTATAGACAGACTATAGAATATATATATATGTTGCAACTCTATATTATGTCTTATTTAGGTTCATTTTGTTTCATTTTAGTAACTTATCTGTGCTTAAATTGAATGTCTCCTTTGCAATGCAAGGCCATTGATCTCTCTTCTCGATTTTTATACTAATAGTTATTTTTTAATTTGGCTTGCAAGAAGTTGCCCCTGCATTGGCAAAGCCACTTTATTGGTCCAGCCATGATTTTGGCAAAAGTTATGCTCAAATACTTAAATCCATTAGGCTTCCTCTCTTTATGCATAGATTTGTGTGTCAATCAGGGAGTGCATTCAAAGTTGCAGCCAGTTGTCCAGACTTCCTGGGCTTTTACATTTTGCTACGCTCTTTTGGGTCTCCCTGACTCAGTGTGTAGTTTCCTAGTCAGGGTATAATCTGTGAAGTCTTTATCTTAGCCATTCCATGACTCTAGTTTCCAGGATCTCCATGTTAAAGGTCTTTCTGGTCTAGCACTGTCTTTGTTTTGTGCTGCTCTAACAGAATACCACAGACTGATACATTAGAAAGGATAGACATTTATCTTCTCACAGTTCTGGAGGTTGAAAATGTCCAAGATCAAGCCATTGACATCTGGTGAGGGCCTGCTTGCTAAATCCTCTGGAGGGGAGAAATGCCATGTCCTCACATGGTGGAAGGCAGAAGGGCAAGAGACAAAAGGGGAATTAACTCGCCCTTTTATAATGGCATTAATGCCACTCATGAAAGCTCTGTCCTATCACCTCCCAAAGGTTCCACCTTCTAATACTGACACAATGGCAACCAAATTTCAACATGCATTTCAGAGGGGAGAAGCATTCAAATCATAGCAGCCACTCACTCCAGATGGGAATACAAACCCAAACTAACCAAGCTTCAGGTTTTAGGCACCTACGAAGTTTGCTTCTGTTATGGGAAAAGGTGAAAGGTTTCTATCCCTAGACCTAATTTAAGTCTGCCCATTGTGGAAAAAAAGCTGCTGGTTTTTGCAACCAGCTCCATGTGGCTAAAACTACATTTCTTAATGACCAGGTTGGAGAAGGGAATGGATGGAGCTGAGGCAAAAAGATTGAAGTCTCCTGCTGTTTTTACTAAAGCTCTAGTGATTTTTCAATAAGAAATGCTTTGCAATTTAATGACTACCTTTAGTCAATTTCCACGGCCCTAAAATTGTTGTTGTTTTTTTAAACACATTTCCCCAGTTTTGTACTTGTCTGTTTTTACTGACCTCCTCATGTCCCCATAACCAGAAGTCTCTCATTCCTACACCCCATATTTTGATATTTATATTGTATCTTTATTTAAAAACATATATTCATCACTATTCCCTTTGTTGTAACAATTATATATTCTTAGTGCTAAAGGTAAATAGATAATCAACATTTACCACTAACCTTTATGTAAATGCATCTCCAGTTTGAAATGTATTCTATTGGAGAATCCTCAGGAAAGGCTCATAGCAGCAATATTCTCTGAGTTCTTGTGTAACTCTAACATCTTTCTGTAGTCTTTATTAAAAAAGACTTTATTAAAAAAGAATATAAAATCTTTGGCTCACATTTTCTTTCCCTGAGTATATTAACTATGTTACTCTATTGTTTTCTGGCAGAGGACTGCTATCAAAAAGCTAATAACAATCAGATTTTCTTTCCCCATGTTTGACTTTGCTCGATACTTTTATATGAACATGCTTAAAGTTGTCCATTCTGGGTCTATTTTCCTATTTTGCAGTATAATCGTTTAATGTGCAGTTTCTAGTCATTTTAAATTTTATTATATTTTTCTTGAATTATAGTTTTTAATATTTGTTCTGTTCCATTGCTTTCATCTTTTTTCTTTAATGTCTTTTATTGTACATATATTTTTATCTTCTTTGCATATCATTTCCTTTGAATCTCTTTTATCAACTTTTTTCTTTTTTTATAATTACATATTGCTTTATTTATTTCAAAATTTCCCTCATTCTATTTTGAAAATGAACTTCAATGAATTAACTTTTGTGTTTCTGTGTTTCTGGTTTCATTCTAATTTTGTCTTAGTTTCTGGAGTGATTTTTAAAAATTTATTATTTCTAACCCTTTCTCGAATTTCGTTACCTATGTTTTGTAAGCTTTTTTCTTCCACTGGACTCATTGGGAACTTTCCAAAATTGTGCACAATTTCATCATTTTATTTCTTTTAGCTCATTTTGAATAATTTGGCTATAGTTTTTATTTACTTTGTTGTCGTGTCTTGATAATATGCTCTCATTGTTGTAGGAATGTTATTTTGTTCTCTATTCTTTTTTTGCTTCTGGTATCTTTATAGGTTATTCTATCTCATTCCCTTTCTATCACTCATGCTTAAGTTAAATGCATTCTTATCACAGAGGAGTGGGCCAGCCTAGCTTTTCTAGAGTGTTCAGTATCCCTAAAGCCGCCTCTTCTGTTATTTTCAAGGTAAGTAATTTACCATTGTACTTTCTGAGTGTATTTCCTTTGCTTCTATCCCTCACTTTTACCTAAATTGCCTATTTGATTTCTCTTAGTGGACCTGTCCTGTCTTATTGGATTCTATGTCCAGCAGTTTTTTCTCCCCATGGCATGTGTCCTGAGAAGTCCTTTCTGCTCCAGCACTGACAACCTTTTTCTTATTTTTCTTGAAGACACTGGTGATTTGGTGCCCGCAAACTCTCTTCTCCATTTGAGCTACTATTCTTGGATTAATCTACCTGTCTTTCCAGTGATTACCTGTTACTAGGCAGAGGGAGGTGGTATGGGTTCTCTAGTTCTAAGATCCATCAGAAGCCCAGTTGATCTTCCTCTGTTTCTGCACAGTTACTGATAGCACAGTGGTTTAGTGGATTTTTCCCCACCAATTAAGAGGGATGTGTTGTTATTTAGTGTTCGTGTAGATATGATCTATGTATTTTTAGTTTTGTTACCCTATTTATCTTCTTTGTTTTTATAGAGGGTTTCAGGTATATTCAAAAAGTAATGCCACTTATACTGCCAGCTTCCCAGATTCTGGACAAAATTTACAAAAATGTAATACTTATGTATTTGACTGATGTTCATTAAAATATAACTAACATATTTGGATTGCATGGACTTCAGAGATATTCAGTATATTTTAAATAAATATATATAAGTAAAACAATTACAATAATTTAAGAATAAAATTAGATAGTAGTAATGGTCTTATGCAAATATGGCAAAAAATGATGATAGTAGAGATGGTATAGAAACAACTCCATTTGGAAGTGCTGTGATAGCTAAGTGATTTTTTTTCTCCTTAAGGGACAGGGGTCTTTTTTTTCAATTATGGGCTTGGAGTACTATTTGGAAACAGCAGTGGAGAGCAAGGAAAGCACTGATCCCACCTCCAGAACTTGAGGAATTAGAGTGCAAGAAAATATATAACCACTATTTGGAAATGCTGTGGGGAAGATGTACCCTAATGGGAAGATCTGGTTTTAATTAGGAAAAGGAGGAGGAAAGAGTTATTGGTAAAGAAGATAGATGATATTGATAAGAGATTAAAATATAACAAAGATCTAAAGGCTAGATATAAAATTTATAAACAGAAATATGCCATTAAAATGTATACTGTTATATAGCATATATTTATATATATATTTATATATATAATTTTTAGCCCTAAATTGGTGCTTTAATCTTCAGTTTCCTTTTCCTTGATCAGAAAGACTATAAAACTTCATAACCTAGCCTTTGCCTTTTTATTTTGATGGACTAATACTGTATAAAAGTTATACCGTTTTATAACATATATATATATATTCACAATGTTAGTAGCAATAAGAATGTTCATACTCAATGATCCATTAATTATACCTCAGAGAATTTATCTTAAGTAGCTGAATGGTCAGAAGAAAGCTATTAGCATGAGGATGATCCTTGCTATATAGCATGTAATGGTTTAAAATAAAGTAAAAAGTCCAAACTGAAAGAGCATAATGATTCAATAATTGGAAATGACTAAATGAATGATGATTAGTATATATGATAAAATGACATGAAGCCCCCATAAATTTAAATCACCTGTAGTTCAAGAATCACACAAAACATTCTAAAGTAACAACATATATAACATTCATTGGTAAACAGGATTGCAGACTATGAGAATACATGCATGTATGCAAACAAGATTTGAATATAGAAAAAAGAATATAAGATTTTTAGGATATTTAGATGGTAGAGTTGCCTTTATTTGTAAACTTCTTTTGATGCTATAGTTTAGTCACAAATTTATATGTATGTATATAAAACTTTCCCAATAGGAGAGACTACAAAATGGATATTTATCTTCTATTACCTTAAAAATGAAAATAATTAACACTGCTTCCTCAAAGTTTCCTTATATATGTTTGTGTCATTCCTTTGTGGGAGGAATGTTTATAAACTCTGGGAAGACTGTTAGATATGAAGACTGTAAAAAGAACAGAATTTTAGGGCAGGAAAACTATTATGTATGATACTATAACTGTGGACACATGTCATTATACATTTGTCCAAACCCATAGAATGTGCAAAATTAAGAGTAAACCCTAATGTAAACTATGAACTTTGGGTGATAATGAAGTGCCAGTGTGGGTTCGTTAATTGTAACAAATGTACCGCTGTGGAACAGGATGTCCACAGTGGGGGAGGCTGTGGGTGGGTAGAGGTAGTAGATATACTGGGAACTTTGTACTTTCTGCTCAATTTTGCTGTGAACCTAAAACTACTCCAAAAAATAAAGTCCAACAAAATAAAAAGACAGTTAAGGCTAGGTTATGAAGTTTTGTATTCTATCTGATCAAGGAAATGGAACCTGAAGATTAAAGCACCAATTTGGGGCCAAAGCAGAACATGCCAAATCATGAGTTTGATTCTGTTGGGGTCATTTCCTTGTAATTTTTCAGTGTTTAGCAACAATTCTGTGCTCCTCAGTGACTCTGTTTAGCCACTTATACAATGAGGGCTATCGTGGGAGTTTGCCTCTCTTTTTCATAGGTGTACCCTGAGGACAGATGAATCCCTATACTAAAACTGTTTTTGTCTCTTTGATAAAAAGCACTTTACAAACCAATCAGAGATTCACATATTTTCTACCTTATGTTTTGTTACAGTTACAGCAGATGAATGGAACAGCAACCATACGATAGAAATAGAGATAAATCAGACTCTGGAAATACCATGCTTTCAAAATAGCTCCTCAAAAATTTCATCTGAGTTCACCTATGCATGGTCGGTGGTAAGTGTTGCCCTTTTCAGTGAATAACCTCAATGGTCTTTAAACATTAACGAAGTAAAATGAATAAGCAGTAATAATAGGGAAGGAAGCATACAAATAACAGGCAGGCATTATGCCAGTGGTGGGAAGAGGGGTAGGGAAGGAAGGAGAGGTCACTCAGATTCCTTCTCACAGGCAAGCCTCTGAGTCTATGAATGCAGTGAATTAATTTATAAATTTGCTTCTAAAGATTGATTTTTACTTCTATCTATATACCAAACCATGGTTACAGAAAGAACAAAGTGTGATAGTGCCCTAGAAAGGAGCCATATTCAGCAGAAGCCCCTACTCACAGATACTTGTTTCACAAACAACATATGCAGAGCTACAGACTCCTTTCTCCAAAAACACTTATTACTACATCCTGGGAAATATCCAACATTGGGTTAGATAGGGAAGCACAGACTCTAATGCTTGTGAAATATAAGCAGCAAATGTATATGAGACGAGCAGGCCTTGTATAAGAAACAGTCACTGCCCAGCTCTTGTAATGCCACAGGGGGCTGCAGGCCTATAGTTGCATGCCTTCTCATTAAAAAACAAAAAACAGACAAACAAACAAAAGCCAGAAATCTGGATTTTTATGAAAAATTTTCCAATTTTAAAAATGATGTGTAGAGCAAAAATGAATAGTGGTCTATTATTTTGATGTTAGAGCAAAAATAAGTACTGGTCTATTATTTTGCTAAGACACTGTAAAATATAACTCTAATTATAAATTTAAAAAATTTCACTGAGGATTCACTTTGGCAGTTATGGTGGGCCAACTATTAAGTTGCTTAACATGCTTAACATGTCCTGTGATGACTAAATTCTCCCACTACTTTTCTCTCCTTGAAATACTGCAGAGTTCATCTATACAGATCTTTATCTAATCGGATTTATGATTTAATTTGGCCTGTCCCTTAACAAAACTGCATCAGTTATCTACTTTGTCTGCCTTTGTTATTTTATCCTTAGTCTACATTGTTCTGCCTAATGCATCAGTTTATTTTTAAAATCTAAATTTAATCTTAAAAACTAAAATTGAGCTTTTTCTCATAACACGTAAACAAAATCAACATGAGGATAATAATAAATATGAAAGAATTGTGTCATTATAACTTTAATGTTAGTCAACCAAATGGCAGCCAGCTACTAACCAGTGTATACAGTAAACCCCTAAAACTGTTAAAAACAAATGACAACAAAGAGACAAACACAATTATAGAGGTGATCATAAACATGATTTCAAGAATCACATAATAGGGCATTCATTTAGATGATACAGAATATGATTACTGTATGTTAATTTTTATATTTTTGTCAAAATGAAAACAAAGGATTTAAAAATTCTTATGAAACTCACAGATTCTCATGAATGTAACAGCTGGCACAATTTGGAAAATACTGTGATTCAGATGGCTGATTATTCATATTACAAGCTACCTAGATTTTTGTGGACAGTCTTGGAAACTAGACCCTATATATAAAAACATTTCCTTGGGTTTGTGCCAAACCCAAAATAATTGACTTGTACTAAAAACTTTAAATACAACCTACTGATAATTTTTCACTGTCTAGGTATTTTTCAGATAGTAAATAATAAAAAGAATTATATTTTAAAATAACTTTCCCAAATGGTTGTAAAACCTACAGTATCTCTTTGTCATCTGTCACAAAACTCGTCTGCCCTTTTATAGGATTTGCTTTCCAAAAAGTAAGTCTTCCTGGACAGTAGGCCTATCATTAGGATGAGTATAAGTCCATTGTTCTTAATAAACATGATGCAACATAGTTCTGAGAAAAAGGTTAATTAAGTGAGATAATTTCAGGAGGACAGAAATGTACTATACTAAACCTTTTAGTAATGAAATGCATAGCTTGCTTAATATTTTCCACCAACAGAGCAGAAAGTTCCTATCCCAGTTATCTCAAATTCATTAACAATGGCAACTGGTTTAATAAAGCCTTACTGTAGATATTTTTACTGTAGTGTTCTTATCTTGTCTCATGGGTATGTAATCTGTTTTTCTAAGCAAATGTAAAGCCTTCAGTATGTGTCTTTTATGTGAGTCTGAGCTTCTCCTGGACAAAAAGTTGTATCTCTCATTTCTTTTTTTTTCCAAAGTATAAATTCATATTTTGTAGGAAATGTAGTTTACAAAACAGTATCAATCGCTACCCCCAATCCAGATGACCCACTTTCCTCCGAAGGGGGACGTTTAGGTCCTATTCCACTGGGCAAGGGTAAAATGATTCAGTAGTCTTCCAGGTTAACAGTAAATTCTTCTCCCAAGGCTGGGGCCGTCAAGGCACAGTCTGTATGAGGCTCACCCTGTCTGACCCTAGGCTGGGGCTGCTTGCTCGGTAGGCAGGAATTGGGGTGGGGGTGGGGGCTCAGGGAAGGGTCTGCACCCTGAGACTTCTGCTTACAGGAGGGTGCTGGGAAAACCCTGCCTTGGGTTGGGGAATCCCCTCTCTCCCACCTTTGGGGAATAGGGTGGGGAGGGGGTAAGTGGGACCCTGCTGCCTGGAGGGCTCAGGTCTGAGCAGCAGGGAGCC
This sequence comes from Homo sapiens, assembly GCF_000001405.40. Taxonomy (NCBI): domain Eukaryota; kingdom Metazoa; phylum Chordata; class Mammalia; order Primates; family Hominidae; genus Homo; species Homo sapiens. The sequence goes on from NC_000003.12 coordinate 111,570,231, forward strand.
CTTAGTGCCCACTCCAGCAGACCTATTGGGAATTTACTACCTGAAGACAAATTATAGGTCTAGGGTCTTCTTTGTGATTTTGGGGGAGTCGAGGCATTGGGGGGTGAGAGGTATGGTCTAAGGTCACAGTCTGGGAGAGGAGTCCTTGGGATCAAAGGTTGTGCAGAAGCACCTTCCCCACCTCCTGCCTCATGAGATAAGGTTGCCAGGATTCCATTATCATGGTGAATTTCTCTGGGCTCGTGGGTTAGGGGTCACAGTGGAGCCACCAAGGTAGAAATCACAAATGGGACGCATGTGTGTTAACTGACAGTGGCCTGGCCAGACATCAGGGGGCACTAGATCCTTGGCAAGAAAGCTAAGGGATCAACAGGTGAGATGTGAGACACCAGGCGCATGGCAGCTCACACGTACATGGCCCGGGACATGACAAAGCATTTGCCCTGGTAGGAATCAGAGGGGCTGCTGTAGGACAGAGCATCATAGATGGGGTTGATCTTGTCCAGATACTCTTCCTCCTCCTCCCCCTCCTCATCCTCTAGATCCAGGGAAACGTCTTCCAAAGCAGGTGGCCCTGGAGGCACCGGGATGGGGGACCCCAGGCTTGTGGCTCCAGGGTGCAAGGGTCCTGACCGCTCTTCCAAGGTGGGCAGCTCATGGTATCGAGGCATTTCCTGCTCAGTGCATGAGGCGCCAGCGTCAAAGTAGGGGGTCTTGAGTGGGCTGTGCTCTGAGGCCACCAGAGTGAAAAGCTGGGAGGGCATCTCCTGCTCCTCCAGCTTCTCTTTTGGGGTCAGCGGCTTGTAGGAGGGAGGTCCCTCCAGGCTGTGGGGTAGGAGGTAGGTCAAGTGGAGACTAAGACCCGGGCATCCCTCTGAATCCAGGGTTACAGCACATGCTGTTCCCTCTACCTGGGTCCCCCTTTTCCCTGCCCCCTTTTCTTGCCTGGAGTAAGAGTTTTTTTGTTTTGTTTTGGTTTTTGGTTTTTGGTTTTTTTTTTTTATTGCTCATTTCAAAAATCTCCAGCATCTAGTATAGAGTCTAGAGCATAGGTACTCATAAATACTTAATAAATACTTGAATTAATTTATTTCTATTTGTCCCCTTTCCCCACAGTCTTATTCATTGTTCTCATATTAAATTAATGATCACTAAATTCATGCTGTTTGATTGTTTAATGAGTGGCAGCTCATTAAGTATCAAAGACTTGACAACTGATGAGTCACCGTTTATCAAGTAGCTTCCTTTAAAGAAACTAAGAAGGCCATGTAGACATTACCTTTGGATTCTGCCAGGACATTTAGAGTAAATGAATGCCAGAGAGTGCATCTAAGGTCACACAGTGAGAGGGTGAATCTTAAACATCCACTAGAACCTCAAGCCATGCTGCCACTTTAAAGAATGCACCATGATACCAACAACTTGAAGAATCTTTCTAAAGAAACCTTTCTTCAAAGGGAACATGGTGTTGGCAAATGTGCTGATTAAAATCCTATGGTACATTTCCTTTCAAAATGTCAAAATCTATTTGCTCCTCTCATTTACATCTATGCCCCACAATATTGATGGCTGTAGGATTCAGCCAGTCTATTAAACCATCTAATGTCCTTATAAAGTAGATTACATAGGGTGGTTATAGTCTCCCTTAAATGAGAACAAACTTCCTAAATAAGTGGAGGGAACAAACTGCCTGACAGTTCATAAACCACACCCTGGGCTCATGGTTAGAACATCCCACAGCAAGGAAGTAAAGGAACAGAATGGAAAAATCCCCACATTCATGCAAGTGCAGAAACCCATGATTAGTGTCTTTGGGCTGACCTATGCTCATCATAATGGTAAAAAACACACCCATGAGTAGAGATTTAAGATGTTAATGAGACATGCCATGTATCTACCCGCACGTACAACAATAGCACATGCACATCGGGAGGACCACCCCGAACATGCTTAATAGCAACACACCTTCCCAACCCTTCATGAATAATCATATGAGACTCTCATAAAGGGAGTTTCCCTAGTGTCAGTCAGCATCATCTCACCTTTGAGTAGCCCGCTGTGATCAGCGGTGAGTGTACTTTTGCTTTGCAGTAAGCTCTCTTACCTCTTTTCATTTTGAACTTGCTCTCAAATTCTTTTGTGTGGTAAAGTCAAAAACAAACTGGTGCCACTGGCAACACTTATATTAGGGAATAAACTACAACTCTTAGTATCATAATTGTTACATGTCTGCAAAGGACACAAATATTCCAGCCAATCCATATTTTTGGTCTTTAATCTCTTCTTAAACTAAGAATAAGAATCATAAGATAAGCCTATTGTTCTTACAAACATATATAATCTCTTTAGAAAGAGATTACAACATAGAAATGATGAAGGTGAGCTCAGGAGAGCAGAAACTTCCTATACTGAACTCTGGGAAGTTTCAAAGGCCTTCTGCCCCAAGTGACTCATGAAACCCTGGAAACAATTTACAAACTAAAATTATCTAAGTCACTGAAAAACAAAAGTGATGTCTTCCTGTTTGTGGAATTTTATAAAAGCTAATTAATTCAATTATGACCCTCATAGGAAAGGTTATAATTGGGATTCTGTCTCATAAAATAAACTCTTATGCCACATCTGCCTGATCTCATGCCAAGGCTGTGTTAAGTGTGTTAATGGGACAGACTCTGCATTTTGGGAAGTTACATCGCAGGACTGGGAATACACTGAGGTAGACGGGCATCAGGTGCAAATGGACAGTGTATCTAACATTCATCCAGCATGAGGGGTAACTAAGTAAACACAAAGGGTTAACTCTCTAATGGAAACTAATAATCTACGTGAATGGAGGAGTAATATATAAGAAATCCTAGAATATGTGTACTTAGATGGGATGCAGTTGGAAGCTGAAAGATAAGTGGTATTTTTTCCCATCTTATGCATTGGGACATAAGCATATAGTCATGAGGGAAGTTCTGCAGGCTTATTCTGGAAGCTTCTAAATATACTCTAATATTCTGTTTTCATAGCAAACTATCATCCTTGTTTCCCACAGCATGAATTTCAGTTCAGTCCAATAAACATATATGAATCTGTTTTGAGCACTAAGTCCTGCAGGGATACAAAACTATATTGGACATATTTCCTACCATGACATACACCTTTAATAAAAATGTTAAAAACGGCAGCATGGGGAAAATAGTTCAATTCCGACTAGATGAACCTGGGAAAGCTTCTTAGAAAAGGTTATATCTGAGCTGGATAATTAAATAGTTGGCTAGCAAAAGACAGACATATACTACACCAAGACCCTGGGACCTTTAAGTACAAATTGGTAGTGCAGACGGGAAAATGCATAAGAGGGAATATTTGTTCCCAAAGTCAGTGAAAATAAAGAAATTCACGATTTTTCTCTTTAAAATCATGAAGAGAAGGACAAGAATATTTCCAATTCAAACAATTCAATATTAGTGACAAAAGCACATAACTATAGATTCTCATCTATCTTAAAATTTTTATCTATAAATATATCTTCAACATGCTCTTATTTAATATTTGTGCTATTTATGTTAAAAGGTAAGTGGTACTATAGACAATGTTTGTTATGCTTATGGATGCCTCACTATTCAGAAAACAAAACTGTAACCTCTTACCTGATGGCAGCTGATTCTAATTGTCTTTAATAAAAAAATGAAGTGCCAACCAAACTACAAAGTGTTGATAACCAACAGCAATGGTTAGAAATATATTGTTCTGGTGCTCTAGAAAATGGATGTGGGGAGCTTTGCAAGCAGCTTGCTTTGACAGCACTGACTGGATGGAGAATAAATGGAGGAAATGTGAAGATAAGAAACAGTTTGGAGAAAAAAGGAGTAGCAATCAATACAGTTAACAGCAGTTATTGAATGAGCTCTGTACACTCAGCACCTGCCATGTGCTGTGGTCAGTGCAGCCAGCTCTGACATGGAGCTGGTTTCAAGGAGCTCAGGATAGCTCAGAGATGAAATATCATCACTAAATCAAGGAGGTTGAACATCCCAAGTCTGAAAACCTGAAATTCAAAATGCTCCAAAATCTGAAACTTTTTTAGCGCACACATGATGCTCAAAAGAAATGTTCAATGGATCATTTCAGATTTCAGATTTTCAGATTTAAGATGTTCAACTGGCATAATGTAAATAGTCCAAAATCCAAAACATCTGAGCCTGAAACATTTCTGATACCAAGCATTTCAGATAAGGGTTACTCAACCTGTAGTACAAAGATTCCTGTTCTAAATTGAAAATTTTGATTCTAGTTCAAAAACAAAGCCTAAATGACTTATTTTAGGATTTGTCAAGTATTTAAGGGACATATAACAGCAGTTTCATGATTCAATAAGATCCCTTTCAGCAGTTATCATGCTAATTATTTTATCAAGCTCCTATACATAATTTAATTATGCATTTGTTTCTTTTCTGTGGCTCCTGATTTTCATATTTGTTTGTGTGTACATGTTTGTTCTTCTCCTTAAGTATATTTTTAGTGCAAAAAATCTATTTAAAAATTATATTTAAAAATATGAATTTTTAGATTTTTTTTTTTTGAGGCAGTGTCTCACTTTGCTGCCCAGGCCGGAGTGCAGTGACATAATCTTGGCTCACTGCAGCCTTGACCTCCCCAGGCTCAGGTGATCCTCCCACCTCAGCCTCCCAAGGAACTGGGACCACAGGCATGTGCCACCATACCCAGCTAACTTTTTTTTTTTTTTGTATTTTTAGTAAAGACAGGGTTTCACCATGTTTCCCAGGCTGGTCTTGAACTCCTGGGCTCAAGAAATCCACCAGCCTTGGCCTCCCAAAGTGCTGGAATTACAGGCATGAGCCACCAAATCCAGCCCTTAAGTAGATTATAAGTAGGAAAGGCTAAGACTGTTTCTTTTACTACTTTTGTGAGACTGTATATAGCAAAGTCATTAACAGTGTGATATTTGGAGGGAAATTGCTGTTTTCAAGACCTGGATCTCCACTACTTACTGGCTATGAGACCTAAGGGCTGGGATTAGAGTGAAGCAAGGAAGGCCATTAACCTTGGAAGCAAAATTTAAAGGAGCACAAAAAGTTAGTGATCAAGATAAATATTTTAATACAACATTTTTAAAAATCAGAAGTTAGGGAAAATCCATGGTGAACAAAACATCAAATTTGTAAATAAAGGCAGACTGTTGCTTGTGTGTTTTTCAGACCTTGCTACATTTATATTGTTTAAGGAACAGTATTTTCCAATCAACTTGTTGTTCATGGCCATTGTGTCCCCCAAGGGCCAACCCTTACGGGTTGACATTGGCAAGAGAGCAGATTGAGCTATTCATGGCTTTATAACTGTCTTAATCTATTTTGTGCTGCTACATGTAACAGAATATCTGAAACTAAGAAATTTATAAACAGAACATTTATTCTCTCAAGTTCTGGAGGCTGGGAAGTCCAAAATCAAGGTGCCAGCAAGTTAGAGCCTGGTCTCTGTGCTTCCAAGATGGCACCTTGAATGCTATGTTCTCCAGAGAGGACAAAAATCTTTGTCCTCACATGGCAGAAGAGCAGAAGAGAGAGAACTCACTACTACAAGCACTTTGTAGAGTGGCATTAATCTATTTATGAGGGCAGAGCCCTTTGGATCTCCCATTAGGCTTCACCTCCCAACACTATGCCATTGGGGATTAAGTTTCAATATGAGTTTTGGAAGGGACAAAAACATTCAAACCATAGCAATGAATCTCCATAATTCCTCAGTTTAGCCAGGCACATAGTGAATACTCATGAGATAGCAGGTTGATCATAGGCTGGACTAGATAATAATAAGCTTGTATTATTGAACATCTATTAAGTGTCAGGACTAGAGTAAGTATATCATATATGTTACCTCATTAAATCTATATTTCCCATTAAAATGTGGGAGTCTACCAAGGTGTGAATCCATAAAGTTTTAGAAATACTTATTAATATTTTTTAAAGTGGACAATTTTTTTCTTTGAAGAACAGGAAAAGAAAAAACTGGTAGAAATAAGGCTGTCACATACAGGTTCTTGCCTCTATCTGTCTGTTTCCTGAAGACTAGGTTAGCTAAGAGCATTATTATCAAGTAGGAGTTGAGGTGTGCTCTAAACACCTATCATCAAAAGTGGGCCAATATGTCATACAAAGGCCCCTTTCAATCAACAAATTGCCCTCACCCCTGTAATCTACAACTCACATGAAAGGTTCTAGCTTTCTAAAATTTCTATTAAATTTCTCACTGTAGATACTTCAGAAAGGTTTTTTATTTATTATTATTTTATAGTTTGGTTCTTATTAGTACAAATTGTATCTGAGACTTATTTGTCCCCGGTTCTGGGCCTCCTTGCTTTTTGATGCTGTGACTTAAATAACTCTTACTTTGTGTGATCTTTGATCAAATTTTTAACCTCAATTTATTCTACATAGTTGTAAGAAGTAAATAAGACTTGAAAGGACTTTGCAGAATTCTTAGAATATAGTAGGTGCTAAATAAATTTAAACTATGACTAATAAGATTATGAAAGTTTAATAATGGTCATAACATAATACTAGTATTATTTCTCCCTCTCCCAGTCCTAGGCATTTCGTTGTTTGCCTGTGCTAATTTTTTCACCTCTCCTCCCATTTGCTCTGTGAAGGCAGCCACTCATATGTAAGTTCTTGCTACTGCCCCCTTTATAACTGAAGACTCTAGAATGTCTTAGGATCTCCTTATATTGTAGGTTACGGGGCATTCTTTGCAACTGAATCCCATCTTTCCTAATGAAGGAACAAACCCTTCTTTCTGCAAAAGTCAACTGCCCAGGGGAAAAAAGCAACCTTTGGATAAGTTGGAAGGTTTTGTATTTTTTCTCTATCAACTAAACCACCTAGTCACAATCTGCTATATAATAAAGAAAAAAGCAGTTTTTCTCACCAGTCTCCAACTTCAGCATGTAACTGCTCTTTTTCCCACAACAAAGTGACAGTTGATGGAACTGTTCCAAATGGCATTCATATACTAAATGACCAAGGAGCATTTTCAACTCTAAAATCCTGACACACAAAAAAGCAAGAGGCTGCCAAACGTACCTGTGCCAAAAGATCTGCAGGGGGTACCTGCCTTCTTAATTATTGACCTCCAGACTTGCCAGTGCTGAGTGACATGCTCTCCACTTTCTTCTCCTGTCCCCACCCAATACTTAGAGCTCCTCTGGGGGATCCTATCTCTGTAATACAGTCTTTCTCCCTTCTTCTTTTGCTCTTCTTCCTTAGGAAAACAGCAGCACGGATTCTTGGGTCCTTCTTTCTAAGGGTATAAAGGTATGTAAATTGCTGCAGGAAAAAGAATTCAGCAGAGTATGATTATTTGCAGGCAATAACACAATACTATCTGTATGTAAGACTGACACAAATCCTAGCCAGATTCAGCTAAAGAACGGTGTCTTACATAAGAGTTTCTACTAAGTATATTCTGGAATTTTCTATTTAAACTATTTAAGAAGTCTACCTTAGTCCATCCTCTGTTTCTGCCCATACTTGAATGTGGTTTCCATTTCTTGTAGCCTGATCTGTCTCATTTTTAAAACTAGAGATTCCAATTCATAGATCTTATCATTATTTTGTAACATTTCCCCCATTGAATGCACTCCTGTTTACCCTTCTCCATTTTACTTCCCTCCATTTCCCCTGATGACTGTACACAAGGATTCATCTGTTGTTTAGAGTTAGGCCAGTAGATGTCAGCCCTGGATCTCCTGAGTACCTTAAAAGCAATTGTCCTAGCTATGGCCTTATCCCAGACAGACTGAATTAGAATCTCTAGAAGACAAGCTTGTGCATCAGAGTGTTTTAAAAGCAGCTCAACTGAGAATGTTGAGTCATACTAACAGGATATGAAGACCTAACCCATCCTCTACCCTTGTGCCCGTCAAGAATCCCCTCCTTACTGGGCCCCTAGTGAGCACTTTTATTGACATCAACCAACACTGTGACACCCCAGGGAGTTTGTCCAAAAAAATTCCAGGCACAGAGAGAATAATAGGGCTTTTCATCACAGACCGAAGAAAGGATACGGGATAGAAGAACCAAGTACCTCAAATATACTCTGATCTCCAAAATTCAGATTAACATTTTCAGGCTACTCTTCATGCATCCTCTTTGAAGCTAACACAAACACAGAAGAAAGGGAATAAGGTTAGGACCAGAACAAGGCTGTGAAATGAGGCAAGGAGCTGCCCCAGGGCACAAAATTTAAGGAGGTACTCACTGTTGGGTGTCAACATTTCACTTGCAAGACTTTGAGAATGCCACTTTACCTGATCCTAGTCCAGGCTCGGGGAGGAGCTGACAAAGAGTCATTTTCTAAAGGAATTTAGGGATAGCTGTAATCATCCAGTTTAAATGAAGATTTTATGAAATCTTCACACTGATACAGTCTTCTCATCTTAGCAGTAAGATGTCAGAACTTCTTAAATAAAAATTAAAATCTGCCATTAGTCCTGCCCATTCCAAACCCCAAATCCTGCTCCAGATATACAGTTCATAGAAGATTATGAAGGAGAAGCTCTAGTCAGAAGAACAGAATGCTTCCATTTGTTAGGAGAGGGTAACAATAGTTTTTAACTGAAAGTCAAGTGTATCATACTTTCTCTAGTAATATACTAAATGTCTTCTAATTTCAATCCTTCATTCTTCCTCTCTACTTTACAAAAAGTAAATGAATCAGTGCTTGTCGAATGCCTAGTTCAGAGCTGGCACAGTTGAGGACTCAATAACTGGTAACAATTTTTCTCACCAGGAGGATAATGGAACTCAGGAAACACTTATCTCCCAAAATCACCTCATCAGCAATTCCACATTACTTAAAGATAGAGTCAAGCTTGGTACAGACTACAGACTCCACCTCTCTCCAGTCCAAATCTTCGATGATGGGCGGAAGTTCTCTTGCCACATTAGAGTCGGTCCTAACAAAATCTTGAGGAGCTCCACCACAGTCAAGGTTTTTGGTAAGGGCTTTTGTTCTACAGACTCACTGGCATCCTCCTGTCTCCTGCCCTGCTCTTCCTTGAAGAGGAAGCACCCTATTATGCTGCAGAGCAGCCACATGTGGGTAACAGTGCTGGAGTCTGTTTCCCTGGATACTTGTCATTCTTGTTGGGCAGGGGGATGAGGGTAGGATGCTAAAGAATGATGATTCTGTTAACAGAATAAAATCATACAGAAGCCAATAATTTTCTGTATTGGTCAGTTTTCTGTTGCTTACAATGAAATACCTGAAACTGAGTAATTTGTAAAGAAAAGGAATTTATTACTTACAGTTATGGAGGCTAAGTCCAAGGTCGAGGGGACGCATCTGGTAAGAGCCTTCTTGCGGATGGGGACTCTCTGAAGAATCCCAAGGTGGCACACGGTATCACATGGCGAGGGGACAGAGTTTGCTAATGTGCTAACTCAGGTCTCTCTTCCTCTTCTTATAAGGCCACCAGTTTCCCTCCCATTATAACTCATGACTCCAGTAACCCATTAATCCATGAATGGATTAATCTTATTCATAAGGGCAGAGACCTCATGATTCAATCACCTCTGAAAGGCCCCAGCTCTCAATACTGCCACACTGGAGATTAAGTTTCAATATGAATTTTGGAGTGGACATTCAAACCATAACAGACAGAACAATTTCCTGGTGACCACTATCTTATTTACAATGTTAATATTTCTCAGAATACTGGAAATCTCTTTAATTGTAACTGCCAAAATCTAATTGTTTAGTTGTCTAATTGTCTTAGTTGCTTGCTTGAGCAAGGTGGAGTAAAGTCAGTGAGAAAAGGAAGGTGATAAATATAGCCCCAGAGAAACTGCAGAAGTTCCTCCTCCCCTGCTATCCTGCCAAGGCCCAGCTGGGGTGAGACCATCCAGGTCCAGCCCTTCCAGCAAAGGAGCCTTTAGGAAAGGCCCTCTGAACCTGCACTCTCAGGAGTGTGGAGCTGAGCTGTGAAATCCACTGTGGCCTCACTCAAAATGCAGACTATCTGCAGCGTGCCAATTTAAGGAGGAAAGGTTAAAATTCTATTTTCCCCAGTGGTACAAGGAAGTACCACTAATTAATAAACACCATTAATGAAGGGAAGCCTCTGCCTTTGGATGTTTTTTTCATTTTTTGTGACAAAGATCTGTGTTTTTTAGAAAGTCAATTTTAAAGAAGGCAAAGAGAAAAGCAGTGAGGTGGATAGACAATTAATTATTTTTGAAAATGAGATAAACAAAGAGAAAATAACTTCACAAACCTATGGACACAGGCTGCTAGATTGTTCCTCAATTCTCTAAAGGGCAGAGCAAGCAAAAAAAAATTATTTGGAATTGTATTGCCCTATTATTGGCAGTCATACAATTTAGTATTTTGAAGAAAACACAAAATTGCCTCCCCCTTCCCTCCTCTGTCCTCCCCTTCCCTCTGCATCCTCCCCCTTCTCTTTCTCTTCATCTCTCCTCAGGGATGGACTAGGCAATAATCATCCCTGATGATCAGGTTCCTTACGGAGCCTAAACAGTGTCCTGTGAAGAGTTGGAAACAAGCTGTTCATCTCTTTTGCTATCACCATTTGTTTATTTACCAGGCTGTGACTGTCTTAGTGCAAACATGAAACTGCTTCATCTGGTCTATTGTCAAACCAATGAAGGCAGCCATCCTCAATGTAGAAAGAAATATCAATTTTAATCTAGGCAAGCTGTGTCCCCTATTGATCAAGACTTTTTGCATCATAACTTGATCTAATTGCCTTGTCAACATTTATGCTGTGTCCTGTATCTCTTTGCTGCATTAAAACACCTCTATCTTGATCTTAAATGTTTTTCAGCCTTCTATATCTCATTTTTATCACCCTATTGGATTCTACAGCTCTTTGTCTCTACATTTCTCTTGTTTCTTCTTTGAAGTCCTTTCGGTGGATGCTTAAAAATATGAAACCCTGCCTGCTTGTTCAGAAAATTAGATTTTTCGTGCTTCCTGGTTTTTGCATTTAGTAAATTGGCTGGGCGGGTTGTGTTTGGGTGGAGTCTCATCCAGTCCTTAACCTATTTTGAGGTGTTACCCAAGTATATATTGTGGCCCTGACCACATATCTTATAAGAACCTACTTTACATCCCTTGGTGATTCCTCATATAGAATAAGTCTCCCCAAAACACCCATGAAAACCTTGAAATCAATACCCAAATATATATCAGATCTATTCCACATGCCCTAAACCCAGCATATTTCTTCTTCCCAAACAATGTCCATTGCTCAACTCTTCATTGTCTAACAGACCAGGGACAAGAGGGGCTACTCCAGCAATTTTGCCACTTCCTGCATCTCCTTCACTGGTCTCCTTTGGTTTTCCTTTCCTTGGCAGGGAGTCACCTGCCCATCACAGGGTTCTGTTCCACTCCTAAATTCCAAATCTGATTGTCCTCAACCTCAAAGAAAATCTGTCTCACCCTGTCACCTCTGCAATTTTTAGTAGTTGTTCTTTCTTTCAGGGCTTTTATTCTGCTGGTATTTGTTAACAGGAGGTAAGAGATACCTCTCCATCCATTAGTGTTTCAGGTTGTATCTTGGTTTTGGGTTCCCCTGAAATAAAACATCGAGATAAGGATTGCGGTTAATTTATTTGAAAGGCCATCCTGGGAAACATCAGAAAAGGAGTGAGAAAGTGAGTCAGGGAAGGGAAGGAAGATAAGAAAATGTACAAGATTATATCAGTTAGCACCATAGGTTTAGAGCTCATCTTACTGGGAGACAGCATAGAACACACATCAGAGTTATCCCACATGAAGGGCAAGAAAGCTGGGGTATTCATCTACCATCTCTCCATCTGTATCACTATTAACTCTCTGGGACTCCCAGTTTTTACTACTTGTGGACTAAGTATACTCCCATAATCTCAATAAATCATTATGCAAAGAGTCATCTAGTCATCAAAGAGTTATCCCAGTAAGAGATCTTCAGTATGCCAAGGTAAATGGCTAGTGGCTGTAGCAGGCACTGACAGCATCTGTGACTGGAGGTTTAGCATTCTTTCCACTGAGTCATAGAAGGCTGTGTTTGCTATGCTCAAGAATTTACTTGAAGCCACTTCTGTTCAACACGATGTACTTAATGTCTAGTTTGTGCTGGGCAGTTAAGTGCTAGAGATGAAGAAATTGATAAAATACTGGCTCAGAGGCACTTAAAATCTAGTAAAACAACAAAATCACTGAAATATTCCCTGATATTTCCTAGTGCCAAGCAACCAAACAAGAATCAAATGTTTCTCTGCTCCACTTCAGGGACCTTTATAATGAGACTTTATTTCTAAGCTGCATTAGTTCATTTTCATGCTGCTGATAAAGACATACCCAAAACTGGGAAGAAAAAGAGATTTAGTTGGACTTAAAGTTCCACATGGCTGGGGAGGCCTCAGAATCATGGCAGGAGGTGAAAGGCACTTCTTACATGGCAGCAGCAACAGAAAAATGAGGAAAATCAAAAGCATAAATGCCTGATAAACCCATTAGATCTCATGAGACTTATTCACTATAGCATGGTAAAGACCAGCCCTCATGATTCAATTGCCTCCCACCAGGTCCCTTCTGGGAGACACAATTCAAGTTGAGATTTGGGTGGGGACACAGCCAAACCATATAATTTCACCCATGGCCTGTCCCAAATCTCATGTCCTCACATTTCAAAATCAATCATGCCTTCCCAACAGTCCCCCATATTCTCAACCCATTTCAGCATTAACCCAAAAGTCCAAGTCCAAAGTCCCATCTGAGACAAGGCAAGTCCCTTCTGCCTATGAGCCTGTAAAATCAAACGCAAGTTAGTTACTTTCTAGATATAATGGGGGTATAAGCATTCAGTAAATACAACCATTCTAAATGGGAGAAATTGGCCAAAACAAAGGGGCTGCAGGCCCCATGCAAGTCCAAAATCCAAAAGGGCAGTCAAATCTTAAAGTTCCAAAATGATCTCCTTTGACTCTATGTCTTGCATCTGGGTCACACAGATGCAAGAGGTAGGTTCCCATGTTCTTAGGCAGTTCTGTCCCTGTGGCTTTACAGGGTACAGCCTCCCTCCTGGCTGCTTTCACAGGCTAGTGTTGAGTGTCTGCAGCTTTTTCAGGAGCACAGTGCAATCTGTTGGTGGATCTACCATTCTGGGGTCTGGAGGATGGTGGCCCTCTTCTCACAGCTCCACTAGTCAGTGCCCCATTAGGGACTCTGTGTGGGGGCTCCAACCCCACATTTCCCTTCTGCACTGCCCAAGCAGAGGTTCTTCATGAGGGCCCCGCCCTTGCAGCAAACTTTTGCTGGGTATTCAGACATTTCCATAAATCTTCTGAAATCTAGGTAGATGTTCCCAAACCTCAGTTCTTGACTTCTCTGCACGCACAGGCTCAACACCATGTGGAAGCTGCCAAGGCTTGGGGATTCCACACTTTTAGAAGCAATGGCCCAAGCTGCACGTTGGCCCCTTTCAGCCATAGCTGGAATGGCTGGGACACAGGGCACCAAGTCCCGAGGCTGCACACAGCAAGGGGACCCTGGGCCCAGCCCAGGAAACCACTTTTTCCTCCTGGGCCTCTGGACCTGTGATGGGAGGGGCTGCTGTGAAGGTCTCTGATGTGGCCTGGGGACATTTTCCCCATGGTCTTGTAGATTAACATTAGGCTCCTTCCTACTTATGCAAATTTCGGCAGCCAGCTTGAATTTCTCCCTAGAAAATGGGTTTCTCTTTTCTATTGCATAGTCAGGCTGCAAATTTTCCAAACTTTCATGCTCTGCTTCCCTTATAAAACTGAGTGCCTTTAACAGCACCCAATACACCTCTCGAATGCTTTGCTGCTTAGAAATTTCTCCTGCCAGACACCCTAAATCATCTCTTGTAAGTCCAAAGTTCCACAAATCTCTAGGGCATAGGCAAAATGCTGCCAGTCTCTTTGCTAAAACATAACAAGAGTCACCTTTGCTCCAGTTCCCAACAAGTTCCTCATCTCTATCTGAGACCACTTCAGCCTCAACCTTATTGTTCATATCACCATCAGCATTTTTGTCAAAGTGATTCAACAAATCTCTAGGAGGTTCCAAACTTTACAACATTTTCTCGTCTTCT